>NC_000010.11:99082489-99385519 GCF_000001405.40 Homo sapiens | reverse complement strand
TGTCTAAATTGCTGATGCCACACACAGGGTGGAGGTGGGGGAAGGAGCAGTGTCCTCTCTGCCCCCAAAGTCAGTGTGACTGGAGATTCTGTGAAAGCAAGACTAGGTCTTGGAAAAATAAATCCTTAATCAAGAAAATAAAGCAAAAGGGAAAGTAGGGGAAGGAAGGCAATTCCGACTATGGACAGTGGAGAAGCGGGACAGAAGGAAAGGGACAGTGAGTGAAGAAAGGAGAGGAGGAAGAGAGAAGGAAGGGGCTGTTTCAGTAGGCTTTGAAATGGATTTCCTGGCTCAGGGCCCCTATAAGTTGGTAGACTGGCTGCGTCCCCCAGGCTGGAAGTCTCTTGGGAATGACTACTGTTGCAAAATGCTCTATATTATTTAACTAATTTATTTTTGGAAAAGTTCTGCCCAGATTTTATCTTCAGTGAGTTGTACCACTCTTTTTTTAATTTTTTTTTTTTTTTGAGATGGAGTCTCGCTCTGTCTTGCCCAGGCTGGAGTGCAGTGGTGCAACCTTTGCCTCCCAGATTCAAGCAATTCTCGTTTCAGGCTCCTGAGTAGATGGGACTATAGGTGCACACCACGACGCCCAGCTTATTTTTTTGTATTTTTAATAGATACGGGGTTTCACCATATTGGTCAGGCTGATTTTGAACTACCGACCTCAGGTGACATCACCCTCCTCAGCCTCCCAAAGTGCTGGGATTACAGGTGTTAGCCACTGCACCCGGCCTCTTTTTGTTTTTAAAAAACAATGATAAGCCCCTCTTGTTACCTGGAATCAAGGATCCAGGAACTCTAACCCTCTTTTTAAGCATTGTCAGGGAGGAAAGGACGGGAAGAAAGTATTTTTGGTAACAATACTGAGTGAATGGGACACACTTCCTCGTGAGGTACCGAGTTCCTCATCATTGGAGGCATTCACACAGATGTTAAGCCACCACTTGTCAGTGATGCTAAAGAGAAGATTCAGACGGCCACACTAGTGGGAAGAAGCACGGCAGTGTATGGCAGTGAGGGTGGGGAGGGGGAGGGGCTGGAGAGGGTCTGCACTGTTGGTGGGTGTTTATATAAAAGGAAAGGTACCACCCAATGGCTAAATCCTCTATGTGACTCACAGCCTTAACAGCCTTGCTTTCTTTCACACAGCTCTCTTTTTAAAAAAAATTTTTTTTTAAATCATGAACTCCTGCCATGTCAATGTGTTGCCTTAAAAGAAATTGTTGACAAGGTGCCAATGTATCCAGGGAAGCAACTCTGCTCTGCCTCTCCCAGAGGCATTTCTAGGTTCGGGTATCACTTCTTGTCAGTTCCTTCCCCTTGTTCAACAACTCATGACAACTTATTTTAATCTAGCGTAATACTGTTGAAGAGAAATGTAACGTGAGTCCCGTCGGTAATTCAAAGTTTTCTAGTAGTCACATTTTAAAAAGTAAAAACAAGTTAATTTTAATAACATATTTCATTTAACCCAATATATCCAAAATAATTTCACATCATCATGTGATTAGTTAAAGTGATTAGTGAGGAATTTTACATTCTTTTTCGCACTGGTCTTGAAATACAATGTGTATTTTGCACTTATAGCACATCAGTTGGAAAGAGACACACTTCATGCATTCAACAGCCACATGTAACTAAATGGCTGTATTTATACATGGCTACTGGCTGCTGTACTGGATGGTGAAGGTTTAGTGGACGGCCTAAACAGCTGTGCCCAGTTTCGATGACCTGGCCTCGCAGGGCCAACAGCACTCCCACTACTCACCAGGACAGAACCACTGGTCCCACCCAGCTTCTCTCTCTACCCAGTCCCTCGAATGCGCCATGTCTACTTGCCTTCCATACCTGTTTAAGGGTGTCCCTTTGCATGGCATTGCCTTAATTCTCCTCTTGTTCTTTCCAAACTCCTAAAGTACATTCTCCAGCCAATTAGTGCTTAAAAAATTCCAGATAGTGGCTCACACCTGTAATCCCAGCACTTTGGGAGGCCGAGGCGGGCGGATCACAAGGTCAGGAGTTCGAGATCAGCCTGACCAACATGGTGAAACCTTGTCTCTACTAAAAATACAAAAATTAGCCAGGCGTGGTGGCGCATGCCTGTAATCCTGACTACTCAGGAGGCTGAGGCAGGAGAATCGCTTGAACTCAGGAGGCGGAGGTTGCAGTGAGTTCACTGAGTTGAACTCAGTGAGGTAGAAGATCACGCCACTGCACTCCAGCCTGGGGGACAGAGTGAGACTCCGTCAAAAAACAAAAAAAAATTCCACATAATTTTGTAATGAATTAGATAGTACCCTGCATTGGTCACTATTATTTAACTTACCTTAAGCTTCCTCTCTCTAACTGGTCTTAATCTACTTATAAGGCAGAGGATATATTTTTATTAGATTTATATTTCTGTAGTATAGCTCATGGCACCCAGAACCATTGTTAATGCTTAACAAATACTTATCAATTAGTTGACTGAGGGAATCAAGCCACTTTTCAACAGACTCCATGTTTTTGTTTCCTCTTCATTGCAGTAGATATAACCATTTATTAGCAACAGCTTTAGTTCAAATTGTCTTCTCTTATAGAGTGGCCAGTTTAGAATCCAATCACCCACTAAGCTACAAAGGAAGCGGAGGTCTGTTTATTCTGAAAGTAGTGAAAAGCAAGGGTGGCTTTCTGGACTTTTTGACTTAGCAGCCAAGGTGTCCAGAAGTTAACCTTTAGGCTAATGTGATGTCTCCTGTCATTTTATTTTAGAGACAGGGTCTCACTCTGCTGTGCAGGCTGGAGTGCAGTGGCATGATCACAGCTCACTGTAACCTTGAACTCCTGGGTTTAAGCAATCTTCCTGCCTCAGCCTCCCAAGTAGCTGGGACTACAAGTGCATGCCACCATGCCTGGCTAATTTAAAAATTTATTTTTATAGAGATGGGGGTCTCACTTTGTTGCCCAGGCTGGTCTCACACTCCTGGCCTCAAGTGATTCTCCTGTCTCAGCCTCCCAAAGTGGTGGGATTACAGGTGTGAGCCACTGCACCTGGCCTCCTATCATGGTATGATGTTGTTTTCACTTTCAAGTGGTTTATTCATCCCTGAAGACACAATGCTGCAATCTAGGGTGATGAGGAATCTTGGTCAAGGTTACGTAGT
Source organism: Homo sapiens (assembly GCF_000001405.40). NCBI lineage: Eukaryota > Metazoa > Chordata > Mammalia > Primates > Hominidae > Homo > Homo sapiens. Next base: position 99,382,373 of record NC_000010.11, on the reverse strand, counting down.
CCAGACTGTAAGACATCTGCCAAGTAGTCTTAGCTTAATGATGACACAGAACACATTTCAAAAAACTTACTTCATAAGAATTCTTTGGTACCTTCATAACTTATTAACTACCATTAATCATGGCTTTGTTTAACACCTTTCCCAGATAACTATTAGATGCACCTTTCTATCTCATTTTGTAACTTATCTTGAAGTTCAATTACTCCTGGACTTAATTCTGGACCTTCAGTCTGTTGGATATAAAAAGCCCTTGAGAAACCTTCCAGCAGCCAACCACAGGGGCTTCGCCCTGTGAAAACACTCATCTTGCAGTCTTCTCTTTAGCTTCCCCCAAAACCCTCATGTTAAAAAACACAATAACAACAGAAGGAAAGATGGGGAGAGACAGGTGAGGGAAGTAGATAAATGAGTGGCCTAAATAACGTCCCTAACACAGTCTAATCAATCAGGAGGAGGTAATTTTCAAAGTTAATCTAAGGCAGAATCTTATATTAAAAAAAAAAGAAAAGAGAAAATCAAAACAAAAAAGACACTTGTGTTAAAAAAAAGAGCTTGAACTCACAGAATTCCTTTTTGGAGAACTACCCATTTTAATCAAAGTTTTTTTTTTGTTTTTTGGTTTTTTTTTTTGAGACGGAGTTTCGCTCTTGTCGCCCAGGCTGGAGTGCAGTGGCGCCGATCTCGGCTCACCGCAACCTCCGCCTCCTGGGTTCAAGCAATTCTCCTGCCTCAGCCTCCCGAGTAGCTGGGATTACAGGTGCCTGCCACCATGACTGGGTAATTTTTTTATTTTTAGTAGAGATGGGGTTTCGCCATGTTGGCCAGAGTGGTCTTGAACTCCTGACCTCAAGTGATCTGCCTGCCTCAGCCTCCCAAAGTGCTGGGATTACAGGTGTGAGCCACCGCGCCTGGCCTAAAGAGGTTTTTGAATAACACTCTTTTTTTTCCTTTTTTTTTTTTTTTTGAAGACAGAGTCTCACTCTTGCCGCTCAGGTGGAGTGCAATGGCCTCGGCTCACTACAACCTCCGTGTCCTGGGTTGAAGCGATTCTCCTGCCTCAGCCTCCTGAATAGCTGGGATTACAGATGCCCACCACCATGCCTGGCTAATTTTTCTTGTATTTTTAGTAGAGACAGGGTTTCACCACGTTGGCCAGGCTGGTCTGAAACTCCTGACCTCAGGTGATCTGCCCACCTCAGCCTCCCAAAGTGCTGGGATTACAGGCGTGAGCTGCTGCACCTGGTTGAATAACACTTAATTGGTTTCCACCTTCTTCTCAACTTCTCTACTTCTGACATTTAGTCTTCTTGATTTCAAAATATCCAGGTGGAAAGAAAAATCAAATTTTGTGCTGCTCAGCTGCACTGATTGCAGCAAAGTCTTCTGTTTGGACAAAAAGGACAGACACCTACACCCGAGAACTGACCTGGGACTTGGGGTTTTCAACACTGAAACTATCTCATGTTGGGAAACAGACTTTTATGTTCCTTGTGATTTGTAGAATGTTCCCTTTCCTTATGTTCTAGGGTTGGAGATATGAGATCATTGGCAAGTTTTGTTTTGTTTTCTCTTTTTTTTTTTTTGAGGCCGAGTCTCCCTCTGTCACCCAGGCTGGAGTGCAGTGGCACGATCTCAGTTCACTGCCACCTCCGCCTCCCAGGTTCAAGTGATTTTCCTGCCTCAGCCTCCCGAGTAGCTGGGATTACAGATGCCTGCCACCATGCCTGGCTAATTTTTGTATTTTTAGTAGAAACGGGGTTTCGCCATGTTGTCCAGGCTGGTCACAAACTCCTGACCTCAGGTGATACACCCATCTTGGCCTCCCAAAGTGCTGGGATTACAGGTGTGAGCCACCGCACCCAGCCCATCGGCAAGTTTTAAGAAAATCCTTACAAACCTAATGCTAGGTGATCATCTTAGCACATTCCTCTGAGGAGTTGCCAAATCCATCTCCTGAAAGTACTGTCCAATCTGTAAAGCCTAATGATGTTTTGCCCATTGAACATGACTCTTCAAAATCTCCTTCACTTTTCTACTCCAAGCAGCAAACCAAATCTTCATACTGATTTTCTCAACTTCTGATATGAATGGTTATGGACTGAATGTTTGTGTCCCCTCAATATTCATATGTTGAAATCCTAACCCCAATGTAGTGGTATTAACAGGTGGGGCCTTTGGCAGGTGATTAGGATATAAGGGTGAATTCCTCATGAATGGGATTAGTGCCCTTAGAAGACGAGAGCTTGTCAGCACTTTGGGAGGCCGAGGCAAGAGGATCACTTGAGGCCAGGAGTTTAAGACCAGCCTAGTCAACCCAGTGAGACCCTGTCTCAAAAAAAAAAAAAAAAAAAAGAGAGAGTTTACTTCCTTTCTTTGCTCTCCACCATGTGAGAATACAATGAGAGGTAATCTGCAAACTAGGTAGTGAGCCTTCATCAGATGCTGGATCTGCTGGCACCTTGATATTGGACTTCCCAACCTCCAGAATGGTGAGAAATAAATATCTGTTGTTTAAGCCACACAGTCTATGGTAATTTGTTACAGTGGCCAAAACTGACTAATATAAATGAAAAGAGAAACAAACTTAAAAATTCTGGCTGAGTGCCGTGGCTCATGCCTGTAATCACATCACTTTGGGAGGCTGAGGTGGGAGGATCGCTGGAGGCTGAGAGTTTGAGACCAGTCTGGGAAACATAGTGAGAATCCTGTCTCTACAAAAAAAAAAAAAAAAAATCCCGCCACACTTAAAGTAGAATCCAAATTCCTTACTATGGCCTAAAGATACCAGGTGATACCACCTGTGATGCTACATTCTCATGGAGCCTCTGCCTTTGCACACCATGGGCCGGCACTCAGACCCTTAAACTACAAGCTCCTTCCAGCCTCTGTTGTTTCCATCTTGAACATTCACCCCCTCCCCTTTCAAGTCTCAGCAAAAATGTCCTTTCTCGGCCTGTCTGATAACCATTTCAAGAGCAGTCTCCTTGCCTTCTCTGCCCAATCACTGATCCCAATTACCTCTTTATTTCCTTCACAGCCCTTATTATTACGACCCGAAATTACCTAGGTTATGTATGTGGTTGTTGTCTTTCTCCCTCATTAGCCTGTGAGCTCCCGAAGGGCAGCAGCTTGCTGTCTTCACCACAGTATCTCAACAGTGCCAAGAACAGAGCAGGCCTCCATTAAATATTTGTTGAATCATGTAGTCATACTATGATTTTCCATTTCTTTCCCCACAGATCACATGTCCAACACGAAAACCAACCAGACTTAACATATTAGAGTTCCTCTTTTCCCACTTTTTCCCTACTTCCCCTTCTGGGGAAGGTCTGCATTAGCAATGAGAAGGCTTCTGGAAGCTATGAGGAGCAGAATCGTGGGCTATGATTTTCTAAGGTTTAACCTCCTTGTCACATTAGACTTAAGTGTCCGCAGTCATATGCACCCATGAGCATTGCTCGGTCAGCTCGTAAAGGCACTTCCCTGGGGTTCCTTTAGCTCTGATGTCCTGCCGCTCACTCTAAAGCCCACTGACTTCAGGGCTTGGATTCTGGAGGCAGAAAGACCCAACTTTGAAGCTTGGCTGTGCCATTTACTAGCCATGGGACCCTATACTCCTCAAACCTGAACTCTTCATCTAGAAAATGGGAATGACAGCAATACCTACCTCATAGGGTGGCTGTGAGATTAAATGGATAATTCAAACAAAGGACTCAGTAAAGTGCCTTGCACAGTTTACTGCAAAAAAATAGTTATTGTCTCACCCCATCCCCCAGGTTCCATCCCTCCCTCTGGCAACATTCCATGGTTACTTTTCAAGGTTACTTTTATAGGCTGATGTCAGTTTTAACTCAGGGCTGTCCACAAAGTCCTGAAACACAGAAAACCGGCCAGCACACACCCCTCTCCAAATAATGAAGGCGTGCGTTCTGGAAAGAAGGACCTTCTTCCACCCTGGTGATTTCAGTGCACCTCTCATGACCCAGCCTGCAACTGTGCAACAGCTACCAAGTGAACCCACTGGGTGTTCTGCTGGCCTGGGATAAATGGGGCTCTAGCTAGATCTCAGGACAAAGTTTGTCATGGTTTGCAGAATACTAGGAAACAAAACAGGCTGGGCGCGGTGGCTCACGCCTGTAATCCCAGCACTTTGGGAGGCCGAGGCAGGTGGATCATGAAGTGAAGAGATAGAGACCAACCTGACCAACATGGTGAAACCCCGTCTCTACTAAAAACACAAAAGTTAGCTGGACGTGGTGGCACGTGCCTGTAGTCCCAGCTACTCGGGAGGCTGAGGCAGGAGAATTGCTTGAACCTGGGAGATGGAGGTTGCAGTGAGCCGAGATCACGCCACTGCACTCCAGCCTGGGCAACAGAGCGAGATTCTGTCTCAAAAAAAAAAAAAAAAAAAAAGAACCTATGGAAACAAGAGGAAAGGGGAAAATGTTAAAGGCTCCTGTGCAATGCCAATCCCAGTGAGGGGTATGAGGAAATAGCTCCCCTCCTCTTTAATTATGAGGCCATGAGCCTTTTGCTACCTCTCTCCTGGGCAATTGCACATGGTTCTCTTCAAATAGCTTAGTAATTTTCAAGGGGTCTTACTAGTGACTACAAAAGATTTTCAGTTAACACACAGGTCAAGTTGTGTTTTAGACTTTAAGGTATAAAATTATATTATCACATGTAAAAGTATAGCATGGTTTCTTCTTTTTAACCAACAGACAGGCAGATGTATAGCATGGTTTCTTCTACACATCACTTTGTTTATTAATCACCTGCAAACTTATCTTAGAAAAATCTTATCTTAGAAAAACCAATGAATAAAATCAAACTGATGCCAATGGTAGGGGATGCAAAGGAAATGGTTCTGGCAGCAATTTGTGTCAGGCAAGCTAATCTATTGCTTTGTGCCTCATTTCCCCACATGAAAAAAGGGGGTCAGGAGATGTTAAAAGAGTGACAAATAATGAACCGTCCTAAAGCTTACTGAAAACAGCCTTTATACAGCCAGTAGCAGTTACCACCCAGCACTGTATTGGAACACAGGGGAATGGTGCACACATCCCTCCTAGGAATGGGGGTAGTCTTCTTGTCCCGCTCAGCCAGCCAACACTGCCCACTGGGAGGGAGAGGATAACCTTCCTGGGGGAGTTACCTTCACAAACTGCACATCGCTGAGGATGTGGACTGAGTAGTCAGGCATGTAGAGGTTGTTGCTGCTGCTGTACAGCTGGGTGTTGCTGCCCCCAAAGTCACTGCGCTCTCGGTTTGGAGACTCAGAGCGATTCAACCCACTGCAGCGAGAAGGGGACCGGTTTACTGCAGATGGTGAGAGATGGAGAAAAGACAAGGAGGGATGGGTGGGGAGGAAGAAGGGGGAGGGAGGGAGACAGGGAAGGAGGGAGAGACAGGTGTTGTTTACTGAGGTCCCATAAGACTTTCAGGCGATGGTAACACTGGGTGGTGGTGATGGGCCTCACCCTTCCCATCAGAGCCCGGGGAAGGAGCTGAGCTGCTTTGTTGATGTTTATTCCTAAGAGGAACAAATACCTAAGACAAACTCATGGCTCCCTTCCACTCAGCTGCTCCCCACAACCTCTCCCAGTGAGGAGCTGGAGCATCTATTTTCCCCAGACAGGGGGGACGGGTGGTTCACATCTTCCTTGGTTCTTGTCTTCAGGTTAGGTGCACAAGGACCCCGAACGAGATGAGGGCAGTACTACAAGCATGGCTTGCTACCCTAGACCATGCGCCCCTCTACCATGGTGAGGTATTTTACATCAACTCCAATCACAAACCTTATTTTAGAAAGGCCAAGGCCTTGGGTTTGCCCTCAAAACCATCTGTCACAGCACAGACAACCAATCCTCATGTGGCCATACATTTTAGTGGGAAGCATTCAGGCCTGCCCCCACATTGGCAGGGCCTGAGACAAACGGAAGCCCACAAACCAAAAGGATAAATATTTTTAAGTTAGAAGTCACATTGATAAACGGTAAAAATAGGCTTTATCCTCTTCCTTGACAAATGTTCATAGCAACCATGCCAGAAAACAGAGCTGTGGGTGGATAGCCAGCACTGGCCCTAGGGCTTCTGGACCCCTGGTCCCTTAGGATTGTTTGGGTGGGGATTCCAGGATTCTGGATATTGAAATGTGGTTTAGAAGGGAGGACACAGGCTCTGGCTCAGCACATCCCTTTGGCCCTGAGAACTCTTTGCCCCATATAGATGGACTAGACTGAGAAGGGCCAAAGTGTGGGTCTAGGGCTGGGCCCCGTCTTGCATAGGCCTGAGGGGGGCACTGGGATCATCTGCAGGCCTTCTGTCAAAGATCTCCTGAATGCTTAGCCAGGTTCTTTTCACATTTTAAAGAAATACTTCTTGGAAAAGTTCAATTAAGACCATGTCACTTGGTTTTATGTGAGCTGCCCTCTCCAGGAACAACAGAAAACAGGATACCGAAGGTGACTCCAAACATCATCTCAACCGTGGAACCACCCCAAGTGATAGACTGCAAAGCTCCCCCAATCCTTCTGCTTCTTCCAAAAAAGGGGATGAGGAGGCTGTCAGCTTCTCTTAACACAGATTTAGCTCAGGGGCCTCAAATGAAAAATCAGATTCTTTATAGATTCTGCTCTTTCAGGGTAGAACCTTGGGAATTTAATCCTGTCTCTTGAGATAAAGCAAAATATTTGATTAGCCTCTATTTAGAATGAGTCATGGAAGGTTGATGATCTATTTAGCTGCCAAGCTGTTGTCTGGCAAACCATGTAGCAGAAAGAGTAAAATAATAGGTTGAATCATTTTCTCATTAGAACCATAATCATCACTGCCTTGATCTGATTATGGAATTAAGGAGTCCACTTCCAGTCTTCCCCCTTCTCAGTAAGTGTCATCCACTTATATGCAGTTCCTGAAACCAGAAACCCCAGGATTGTCCTTGACTCCTGCCGCTCCCTCAGCCCCACATGCAGCCTTGCGATCCATCTGACATAATGAGCCCATCGGTCCTATCTCTGTCTCCACTCAAATCCCAGCTACCTCAGCCTCACCTGGACCACAGTCTCCCCACTTAGAATCTTATAATCTGTTTTCACCTCAGCTGCCAGAATCACATTTTTAAAACACAAATCAGCTTCCTGTTTTGTCTGAATAAAATCCAAATTCCTTGCTGTGACCTGGCCCCTGCTTTCCTATCTGATCTGATCTTGGGACCTCCTTTCCCCTCTCTTGCTTTGCTTTAGCCACTGGCCTCCCTGGGCATCCTTAACTAAGCAGGCTTTCCCCACCTCGATGAATGCCATTTCCCTTCCCCACCCCACCTCCTCCCGCCTCAGCTAATGGCTGTCTGCTCCTCAGTCACTAGTTCTCAGCTGAGGCACCACCTTCTCTGAAGACCTTGTCTGGTCACCTAGGAAGATTCCTCCTGTTCTCCTCTATCATGACTCCCTGTCCATCCTTTCAAAGCACTTTCACAAGTATTAATTACATATTAGTAACTACTTGTTACATCTACTTAATTCAACTTTTAATTCCATGAGGGCAGAGACCTTGTCTTCTCTGGTTATCCTCATTGTACACCCAGCACCTGGCACAGTGCCTGGCCTAGAGAAGGTACTCAAGGAAAACATGTAGAATAAATGAGTCAGCACGTCAGGGTCCCACAGGGCGATACAATGACTCTTAAAGTTTATAATCTAAATTTGTTTTATAAAAAGGTTTCAGAGCTCTTAAATCATCACAAAGCTAAAGTCATTAAAGCTCTTAAATCATCAAACTAAAGCTCTTAAAGTCACTAAAGCTCTTAAATCATCACAAACCTAAAGTCATTCTGGGGAAGCTGACTTCCCCAAGAAGTAAGGGTGGGGAGCAAGACACTCCAGAAATGTGGCTGGATAGAGTAAAATAGTGTGCAACTAGAATCAAAGGGCATCAAGAAGCCTCAGGCCTTGACCCAGTAACTTGAGGAAGAGGCCACATGGAGCAGCAAGACTGTTTGTTTAATAAGGGCATGTGAAACAAGGGGTCCTGAAGTCAGATGCCCAGGGCCCTACCCATCCACTGTGTGATGAAGGACCAGACCCTTCTCCAGAGTGACTAAGAACTGACGGGGACAGGGACAGTGATGGTAATGTAGAGAACAACATGAAGCACCAAGGTAATTAATTGTAAAAAGCAGAAGAGTTGGGCAGAAAAAGGTACATTTCACTTCTGGGCCTCATTCCTTGAAAACAAACTGATGAGTTCTTAAAAATATAACTACCATTCAAGCCAGAAATCCCACAACTGGGTATCTACCCAAAGGAAAAGAAATTATGTAAAAAAGATACCTGTACGTGTATGTTTCTTGCAGCACTATTCACAATAGCAAAGATACAGAATCAACCCAAGTGTCCATCAATGGATGACTGGATAAAGAAAATGTGATTTTGTATATGTGTGTGTGTGTATGTGTGTATACACAATGAAATATTATTCAGCCACAAAAAGAATGAAATCATGTCTTTTGCAGCAACATGGATGGAAATAGAGGCCATTATCTTAAGTGAAATAACACAGAAAGTCAAAGACTGCATTATTTCCCTTGTAAGTGGGAGCTAAATAATATGTACAAGTGGACATAGGGAAATAATACACATTGAAGACCCAGAAGGGCAGGAGAGGGTGAGGGATAGAAATTACTTAATGAGTACAATGTATACTATTTGGGTGATGGCCACACTAAAAGCTCAGACTTCACCACTATGTAATATATCTATGTAACAAAAATGCACTTGTACCCCCTAAATCTATTAAAAAAAGAAGAAAAGAGAAAGCAAATTGATGAGTTCTGGCTTGGCCAGACCCATTTGTAGCTGTTTTAGGGTGGTGGCTGGATAAGTCTGTGTTCTTTCCTCCAGGCTAGTTGTTGCAGAAAAGCGGGGCAGAGAGTCCTGCCCAAAAGTAGCTTCTTTGGCCCCAGTGCAGCATCTGGAAAACCATACCTTGATCTGGTGGGTTTTGACCTCAACTCAGTTTGGACATAACCAAGGGAAGAGAGTGTGAGCAGGGCTTGTGGCTTCAGCTGCCCAGAGAATCACCACCATTCCTCAATAATCCTCCACTTTGCCTGGCCAGACATGGGCTTCACACACCCTACACCAGTTGTTCCACATCCTCATCTCTTATGTCACAATTCAAGATATGTTCAGGGAAGACAACAGGGAAATAGCCCTATTTTATCTACTAAACTCCTTCCATCCGTGGAAGCTTCTCCTGTTGAAAACAGAGGCAACAGCTACATCCCAGTTCCCTCCAAAGCTCTCATCATTTCACTGGCACCCAGTGTAGATGACACCCACAAGGACTCACATGTCAAACACAAGCTACATCACTATTGTGCTGGGAGGAGGAAAAACATGTCTTTTTTTTTAAAGTAAAAACAATGTTATTGAAAGTTTATTTATAAAATCATAAAGGATTCCCAACACCAAACGATACAATTGTCTTACAAAGATCGAGTCTATAAAAGCAATTTTTAAAAGAAAAAAGAACCTTTACTCCGTGAGAAAGTCCCGGCCCCTCTGAGTATTGCGCAAGATCAATGTTTTCGTGTCCTGGAGTCTGACATTCCTTAGTAGGTTGGATGCTGATGACTTGGCATTTTGGTAATTATGCATATACACTCAGAGGTTTCTGAGCAAGGGACATGGAAATGCTTTTAATAAAAAGCAGAAGAAATCAGTAACAGACGAGTGTCTTAGCAGCATGGCAAACTAGTTCAAGTTGTGTAATTCCCCTTGGCATATCCTAAGAGCACAGAGGCACAGCTTGGGGGAGTGAAGCGAGGAGGAAAATCCTAAGTATAATGCAAGGAGGTCTGGAAGGAGACAGATCAAACAGTATGATATGTGACACCAACCCGGGACCTGTCAGCAGGCAGCAGGCCAAGCAACCAACCCATCCCTTGCCCACTCTTGCTCTTGCATCAGACCCTCAGGTTGGCTCAGGTGTAACCGGGTGATGGGGAGCAGGGTTTTCTGCTCTGTGAAATTGTGGCAGACCTCATTCCTGCAGCCTTTGAGTGGTCAGTCTCTAACAGATATCTGTCCTGGGTTGGCTACTTGGATTGCTGAGGTTTGGGTGGGGAAGGCACTAGGGTAAAATTGGGGGCAGGGTGGCAAAGGGTATGGAAGAGGACTTCACACTGTAATCGGGGCTGGATGGAATCTCCTCTCCTTCTGTAGTAATAGTCAGGGGCCCTGAAAATCTATACACAGCAGCTCTGGGACTCTTGCTTCATTTGTGACACCTGTATCCAGGGAGCCTTCACAACCCTATCCTGGAATCAGACCCCAAGATACAGAAGTAGAATGCTAAGCTCCCATTTTCCCTATGAGGATTTGAGGAAAAAGGAGGGTTCAGGGGTTGCCTGCCTACATCTTTTGTACCATCAGTGAGGGATGAGGGGGAATGGCCTACTTTGGTCTGACTGTGATTGTGCCGTGGGCCATCTCTGTTCTCCAAAATGGATGAGGAAGCTTAATTACATAGACCTGTAAGAGTACCAACTAGAATTATTAAAATTCATTATACTGGGGCAATATTTAGCATCAGACAACCGAACACCAAAGCCAGCTGTCTGTCAAAACTACGATGTGAACTCTAAGCCCAAGTTAGGATCCCAGATGAACTCATTCACTTTACACGGAGCTTTAATGGTTCCCAAATGTTCATCACACAAGAGCCAACCCGAAGGAATATTTCCACTTACCACATTTTGCAAAGTAGAAATATTATTTTTAGAGATTCCCTGTATATTCAAGCAGAAAACTGTCATTATTGATCTCAGTGCACATTATGAATAGATAACCGAGCACTGAAAAAGAACCGTTGGTTCCAAAGTCTCTGTCTCTGTGCTTTTGTGGATTTGAAAGGACTGTTATGGGGAATTCAAAATTATCTCCACCACCAGGAGAAGAAAGAAGGAGTGAATATGGGGAAAGGGAATGCTAATTGCAGTGGGGCTGTGTACTTTCAGGGGAAACCCCTGATCAGAAGTTTCATTTTTAAATGAAAGCACCTGCCAAGTTGGTTAACCACACCACAACCTGGAGGTAATCTGTGAACCACTGTGTTCTTATTTCAAACTAAGGCTCAAATAGAAAGAGACTCCCTATGGATAATGATGGCAATATTTGGTGCAGAGACCCCTAGCCTCAATCTAGTGCGAGCACCAGATTCGTAATTAGCACTGCTTTCAAAATGCAAATAAATCACAGCCCTCTAGGGGGCATAAAATGTCTATATTCAGAGGTACAGCAAGGTCCCAGGCAGTAGGTGGAGAGCAGGATCTAAGACTTAGATTCCAGTCCTTGTCCCTCTGCCTACCTAATACACATACAACACTGACTGACTTTCTCAGAACCTGTTTTTTAATCTGTTGTTTTTCAATGACTATTCCTGCCTATCTCCCAAAGTGATTGTGGGGAGTCAAATCAGACAATGACAATTCTTTCTTAGACTTCAAGACCCTACTAATCTCTAGGATTTATTTTCCTCCCATATAAGATACGGTTGAGATTTAGCATATATGTAAATTAATGTATCTGGATCAGAAATCAATATTTCCACTTAGCACATTTTGCAAAGTAAAAAAAATTTTTAGGTACTTTGGTATATTCTAGGAGAAAATGGCATCATTGTTGATCTCAATGCACACTATGAATGGACGATCGAGCACTGAATAAGAGCCCTTGGTTCCAAAGTCTGTGCTTACAGGGCCAGAAGTTACCTGGAACTTCTTTCTACAAAAATCCCAGACCTCTGAGGCTACTTCTTTTAATGATTTGGAACAAAAGCAAGAGTGACAGAGGAAATACCACAGAATAGGTCCTGTGGATGTCAGCTGATCACTGGGAAGGCACAGTGATTAGCTCTAGATAGAGACCAGACACAAGGTGGAGAGGAATAAGCCAAAGGAGAAACTAGGCATTCCCTACCTCTGGTTTTCTCCCACTGTACCCACCATTGCTCCACCCTGCAGAGTTAAACCAAGGGTGGGAATAAGCTTACCTCTTTATGGGTAGGGTTTCCATTGTGTTGACACTAATCTCCTGTTGTGTTGAATATCCACAGTCATGGAAAAGGGGGGAAAGTTGAAAATACTCTCAGGGGCACATGACACCACCCAGAGTTGGATCAGAAGTCTCAGCACTTCCTGGGGGTTCTGCACAGCAGGAGGGAATCACTTTCATCTCTGTCTGACATTGGGTTATCATGGACTTTATAATAATCAATACAGATGAACTAGAATTAACCTTCCTTTAACTGGGAAGTTACAATTAACTAGGTCATCTGGTTAACTGAAGGTTAATTAAAAAGGAAAACACATCCTCGCTTTGATCTTTTGGGCTGAAAGTCTTTTAAAATGTGCATCTCCCCTTTCCTCTGAACCTTCACAGCACACTCTTGGCATTCACCAAGATTCACTGCATGTGAAGGAACTTGAAGGTCCATCAAGTGGTCATTTCTAATTTTGCGGGCATGTAGGAGTAGACCATTTAGCTGGTGAGGGCACCAGATTGGCATTTCACATTGACTGTCCGATCCTGTAGTCATTATGAAGGCATGAGCTCTCACAAAGCAAGAAAAACTATTTCTTAGTGGAAAATCACCATCGAGAGAGAGAGAGAAAACTTTGGTGAAATTTGAGAAGGTGGTTAACTTATCTTGTATAGATCAACATGAGGACCAGATGGTTTTTGATGAAAAAAAGTGATTTTGGGAAAAAACAGAAGTCAACATAAATACTTCTGAGGTTGCAAATTGGAGGGTTTGAAGTCTCAAAACATGACCTTTTTTAAATGTTGAGGGTCTACTATATAGACAGAGAAACATAAGCGATTTCTCGATGACTGAGGATATGGTGGGGTCTTAGTATCATTACCCCAGCAACGTGATAAGGGATACAGATTTAGAGGGTAGAGGAAATTGGACTGTGTTCTAACTGCAGGGCAATTTAACAAATACATTCCTGGTTTAGTCATTACTTGCTCTATGAGCCCAAGAGAACAACCACTGGAGATGAAAACAAACGGTTGATCATTCAGATTTGTGGCATTCTACTCAGTCATTGAATCATTGTCTAGCTCTATGAGGAATTGTTACCCGATTAAAAAGAAACCCAGTGACTATTTCATTTATCAACAAAAGAGGTTAAACCTAATGAAAAGTTGTTTTGAAAGTTTTACATATAGCATCCTTTGTACGAGCAGAGCTAGTGAGCATATGATCATCACATAGTAACATTATTAGGAAGATGAGGACATGGAAGGAAAGAAAGGTAGAAAGAAAATAGGTAGAAATAAAGCACAGTATTCCACTATTCCTACTTCATTCATGCTGTACTCCTCATCCCTCCATTCTGTAGTCAGACAAATGAGGAAAAACTCACACTATCCCTCACCCCCACCATTTTTCCATGTGCATACACAGATACATTCCTGGGAGGTAAACTCACAAATGACACCACTGAACCAGCAATGCCTGGGTGGTATGTGCAAATGAGTGCTATTTGTGCAAAGTGCTATGCCTTAGTCACAGGAGTGCCTGTTGGAGTGATTAGTTCTCATGCAGGAAAGTGACAGAGGCCAAAGGCTTCTTGCAAACCCCTCTGGATCTACAGAGACCCGAGACACCCATGCATGTTTACCTGGGGAGCCTGCCAGAGAGTCCCCTCTGCTGACAGCGAAGGTACGAGACACAGAGACAGGCACTAAAGAGTCAGGGGCCAAGGATTTGTGAGTTGCGAAAGGGAAGATATAAACACAAAAGGAAAGAGACAAAGAACAAAGTGGGTGAGACAGTCTGTTCCTGGATCTTCACAACATCACATTTCTCTGCAAAAAGGAATCTTGACTCTGAAAACACAGGAATCACATCCTCTTACAAAGTCACACTCCAGAAAGACAAGAAAATAAAATGGATTTTGCTGAAGGTCATCTGAAAAGATGTGCAACACATCTTGGAATCAGATGTACAAGCACAAGCCGAGCCCTGTGGGAAGCATGTAGGCAGCATTCTCTGAGGCTCCCATTTTGAGCCAGCAAACATGCTGGGAGCCCAGCGCTGCATTCCCACCAAGCTCTCCCAGCTCCCATGGAGCTCAACTGCCAAGGGCACCTGCACAGGTACTCAGAGGCCTGAATGGAAAGCGTGTGCTCCTGCTAGGGGCATCCTTGAGGAAGCTAGATCCTGCCTCAGACTCCTAGGAGATCCCTCTGCTCACAGTGTTGGTGAAGAACTGTGCATTGCTAGAGGATAGGGATAAAGGAAGAACAATATCTCTAGCAGTGTTAATGTGAATCAACTTGATGAATTAAATCAAAGCCACTTTGTGGTAAGTACCAGTGGTCCAAAGTATCTCTCCGTTCCATTGTCCTTCTCTTTCCCCACAGAGTTTGAAATGGTGCTGGCTATCACTGGGGGGCCCGGGTAGAGTTCAGTGTGTATAACAGTCCAGCCCCTCCCCCTTCAAGTGGTGTCTGGGCAGGGGAACTATGGGAACCTGTCTTCATCTCTCTTATCTGATCATTCCCAGAGTCCTTTTTAAGGAGCTAAATGAAACCAGTCTGCAGATGATAGCATATGGAAATAGACTGCTTCTGCAGTTTTATTTGCTACATCAAATGATTTTATTTGAAATTACCTACCTGATAATCCTTTGCTCTGACATGAGATGTTAATGAATATTAGAATGGGCCTCTAATATTATGAGACACAATGGAGTTAAGAAACTCTCTATTCTCAAGAAGAATCATAGTTCTAAATGTATAAATGTATACACCAAACTGTATACATTGTATACACCAAACAGACAGGAGACCTGTTCTTTCCACATCTGCACACCTGTGTGTGCACCTATTCCAGCTACCCTGGGTTCCTGGCAATCAGAACCAAGAAGAAGAAGACAGTGTAGATTATGTTCCCTTCACCTCATGCAGGAAAGCCAGAGACTTCTTTGTAGCCTCAAGTTCAACTTTGAAGCATAGGTCATCGTGCCAGTATTCCAGCAAACTCATAATCTCACTCCTCATCCTCAAAGGCTGATTAAGCTAGCTTCAAGCATAGGGGGACGGGGCTGGGCCAAGACCCTACAAGATTTTATTGCCTTTTAGCTTAGACTTAAGCTCTCCCTCAACCTATAGGTTGAGGTTCTTGGCCAGTGAAAGATGCTGGGTGGCTGGACCATGGGCTGAGCATTCACCCGGGATAACTGTGGGGTATGGCTGGCCTTTGCAGTTACTTCACACTTCACTACACTAAGTATGGGTTCGGGGAGGATGGAAAATGTCTTTTTACCCCATTGGCTAATAATATTTCTTTTTCCTTCTGAAGATTTACAGAGATGCTCAGTAACATGGGGAGAGAAAGAGAAAGAGTGCTATGTTTCTTTTCAGTTAACTAGTTTTAAAGGAGAAATCAATGTTGCAACTTTATTTCTATCTCACTGATGCAACTGAAAGCTTTTGAAAGAAAGAACTAGAAACAGGAAGGAAGGAAAGGAAGAAATCAGATAACATCTTCCTTCTACTTAAAACAATTTTTTTTTTGAGATGGAATCTTGCTCTGTAGCCAGGCTGGAGTACGGTGGCATGATCTTGGCTCACTGCAACCTCCACCTCCCAAGTTCAAGTGATTCACCTGCCTCAGCCTCCCTAGTAGCTGGGATCAAAGGCACGTGCTACCATGCCTGGCTAATTTTTGTATTTTTAGTAGAGACAAGGTTTCACCATGTTGGCCAGGATGGTCTCGATCTCCTGACCATGTGATCCACCCGTCCTGGCCTCCCAAAGTGCTGGGATTACAGGTGAGAGCCACCATGCCCGGCCACAGCAATTTCTTTTTTTTTTTTTTTAAGAAAGAAGGTCATATAAATTGGGTGGGCTAGGAAGCCATATGTAGGTCTTTTTTTCTCAGAATTTCCACCTCTTTTAGTCTTCTGGAAGAGATCACAGACATTTCTAGGTAACATATTAGAATCCCAGGAGTAGTCCCTAATGTGATGGATGATGGAGATTTCCTTTAGAGAACTAAGGTTTGCCAAAGTCCTGTAGCCCGTCCCTCACCCATCCAGAGTTCTACTGAACACTAATGCTTCCTTCATCAACCTTGATTGAGATTCATTGTCTTAAGTATAATAATGTACCAGGGTCTTTTCAATTTTACAGATCTCCTCCAACTCAAGTTCTGCCACTCTTCACACTGGGCAGGTACTTCATTTCAACCACTGGCTGGGCTATTACACTGTAACAATTACACTGTAAATTGTTCCACTATTTCCACTTAGAAATTGCATTCCAGAATATGATGGATCTGAAATCTGTATTTTATTGTGCTGTGTGAACTAGCCAGGACACCAGGAAGCATCTTGGCCGGTCACCAACTTACTGGGTGATTTGAAGCAAGTCATTTCCTTAGTTTCACTCATGTTAAAATGGTATCTACCTTGCCATGTTCCAGGGACTATGATATCAAGCTCTGGGACCCTCTGATAATTCCCACCACAAGGCAATATGTAAAATCTTTTTTTATGATGAGAGGAAAGACCCTATTTGGCATTGAAGTGGTCACTGTAAACACTAACAGCTGAAAGCAATGCAAAATTCAGAACTGTGAATCAGAAAGAAATCTAGAGAAATAATTCTTTCTGTATCACACTTTTAATCACAAAAAATGCCATGCCCTTTAAGCACAAGTGCAATAACTACACAGAAAACAGCAAGAAGGCACAGCACAGAAAGGGCAGAGCAAACCAGCCATCAGCCCTGTGCCTGCCCCCCACCAACAGCATGCACAGCCAGCTGGCAGATACCTCTCCACTAGCTGAGAGGTGGAGAACCAAGAAAGAGAGGCAGATAAGCAACGTATTGCACAAAGGTGGAACTTACATCCCCAAATCTTGCAGTCACTTCTTACTGAGGACAAACCCCACAGACACAATAATAGCATATGACAGTGTTTGAGTAAAGGCCATGGGTGAATTGTTATTGCACAGAAGGAAGGGCTGAGCCTCTGCCCAAGCACACAAATCACCTGCCTGCATTCACTGGAAGGTGGCAATAAGCAGTGCCTTCCCTCACAACCCCTGCATCCCCCCAACCATGTGAGCAGAGAAGCAGCAGAAAACATTCCAGACACACAGAACCTAAGCTCCCATGGTCTGTGGGTACCTGGCAGGAAGCAGTGTTCCTGGCAGAACATTACAAAGGGGCTGCCAGCATTTGTCTTAGCCCCAGCCCAGGCTCAAAGTGCTCGGTCCAGGTCCCCAGAGCGGGCTGAGGCAGGACTACGATGGGGAGGACGAGGAAGGGGTTTGAGAGATACATACGAAAGACAGAAGATCCAGCCAGACTTCCAACCTTCCGCACGTCATTATCTAAGGACAGAAGCATGCAGTGGGTTTCAGAGGCAACTCAGAAAACACACTTCTTATGGGAATCTTCCCTCTTCTATCCACCCCCAGCACCAATTAACCCTGTAAAAACCAGGCAATTAAATGGAAGGGTAGGGAACAAGTATAAAAAGCAAAATAAACTTGTCTTTTCATACTGAAATCTACCACCCTAGATCCCTAACACTTGACAATATTACTGCTTTTTACAATTCAATTTTTTGTCACTTTTTTTTTAAGCACTAACTGAATGAAAAGTGATTCATACACCCATTTTGCAGAGGAAGGAACTAAAGCCAAGGAAGTTAAATGGCTTGTCCAGGCTGATTAACAAGAGTCAAAGGGGGAGTCAAGACTTGAACCCCTGTGCTTTTTCTACCATATCCCATTACTTTCCCAATAAACAAATGGAAACTAGAATACCTGAGCAAGCAGTGGTCATGATGGCTGGGACGCCATAGTAAGTAAAGGCTCCATTTTCAAAGCGAAGGCCTTCCTTACCAACCTCCACCTCCACTTTACCCTGGAAAAAAAAAAAAGGAAGTGTACTATGAATGTGTATGAGCACTTCCAGTTCTACTATTGACTCGAATCCTAAGCATTTCTGCTTGGATAACAAGTGGACTAGACCCATGTTCTTATCACAGAGGAATGTTAATTCTCTCCAGATTTACATGTGAGAAAGCACCACCAGCTTTAATAGCTCTTTGCAGTAAATTCAGTGCTTCGTTGTTCATAAAATAGCATCCAGTCATGAATAACCAAGCTGTCCTTGCATACTGTAGTGGCCCTTCCATGATGCAGGCCTAAGCACCAGCTAATCCAGGGCCTCATAAACTGCCCCACTGGTTTAGTCCAAGATTGGACCATTTCTAAGTCAGGTCAAGATAAAATCTAGGCCGAGTGCGGTGGCTCACACCTGTAATCCCAGCACTTTGGGAGGCCAAGGTGGGTGGATCACGAAGTCAGGAGTTTGAGACTAGCCTGGCCAATATGGTGAAACCCCATCTCTACTAAACATACAAAAATTAGCTGGGTGTGGTGGTGCATGCCTGTAGTCCTAGCTACTCAGGAGACTGAGGCAGGAGAATCACTTGAACCAGGGAGGCAGAGGTTGCAGTGAGCTGAGATCGGGCCACTGCACTCCAGCCTGGGTGACAGAGCGAGACTCTGTCTCAAAAAAAAAAAAAAAAAAAAAAGATAAAATCTAATTCTGTGTGAAGCTTGTTTAATTCATTGCCAATAATAGTGATAGCTGATATGTAATGCATAGCATGCATGGACATGACACTGTATTATGTGCACTGCATAGATTCTCATGCAATTAGCCCCACAACCCCATGAAGCCTATGCCATTTTTATCCCTGATTTACAGGGAACTCAATTTTGAGGCTCAGAGATTGAATAACTTGGTCCAGGTTAGTTAGGAAATGGCAACAATGGAATTTTAAAGCCATATTTTTCAAATTTCTGAGCGTACACTCTTGCTACTACATTTTATTCCATGTTTTATTTGAAAACCGTTAAGTTTATATTCAGCATAAGACATGAAACTATGTGATCATTACATTATACAAACAATGTAACAGGATTCTTGTTGATTTCCAACAGTGAAGCACATGACTACATTTTTTGGAGAAGAGAGGTCATTTTGTTCAGACCATTTGGAAAGATATATGTGAGGCAAGTTACAGTGACAGAGCAGAGAGGCTGGAAGTGGACAGTAACAAAGAGACCATTTCTAAGTTCATGTGAGCTTAATCAAGATTTTAAAATACAATCAGTGTATTTAGGATTCACAACATTATGTTGGGAAGGGACAGGGAATCAGTGACAGAGCTAATGGTGAAGCCAGACAGGGCACCAGCAGTGTTACAAGCTGCAATCATGTCAGACACTTATTTAAGACAGGCCTATTCAGGTATCCAGAGCAGAAGGTGATCATACTTATGTGAGCACTGGGGAGATGTTGCACTTCTTTGAACAGGTCATTTTCCCCCTTCCTGGTCCTCTGAAGGGGGAGAAGATTTCAGGAACTGCAAAGGCTGAAATGCAGCTGAGAGAATGAATGTGTCCCATGTACCTCCAGAGAGCAGAGCAAGGACCAGTATGGAAGTCACAGATGGTGAGATTTCCACTTGACAGAGAGAAGGGTTTAAAGAAGAGTTGTCTAAAGTTTAGGAGGCAGTGGGCAGTTTCATTTCAGGGGATGTTCAAGCAGAGATGAGGAGGTATTATAGCTTCCGCAGAGCAGCAGTTCTGGAAGTTTAGATGCAGAACCCCTCTATTGGAGAGGTATTCAACCCACCCCAAACATCGCTGAGTTGTCAAACTAAATGTCAAAGATCCCAGCACTCCCAGGACACCAGTCTTCCATGTCTAGGCCCCTCCTGTGGGTCATGAAGAAATGTCCACCCAGCTGGCCTTGTTGCTGAGGCAGCCAGCCAAGTCTTGGAACTTGGTGCTGACGGAGGCATGGCCATTTCTTCACCCTGGAGATGCCCTCCTCTGGCTCTCAGAGGTTCCCTGACTTTCCTACTCACCTGTAGAAGCAGCACAAAGTAGTCCACAGGGCGGTTGCGCTGGTAGAGGTAGTGTTCCGGGGCCTTCTTGTTCTTCTCATCAAACTTCAGCTCCTGGATCACGTTGGGATGTTTCAGGAGCCGGAGCAGGATCTTCTCCGAAAGGTACAGAGACTTAAAGGGCTCCACTTCTAGAGGAGAGTGAGTGGGAAGGGAGGAATCAGCATCAGCTGTGTCCCACCCATTCCAGCAGTGGCAGCTGGGAGGAGTCAGAGTGGGCACAACTGGGACCCCTGTGCCTGTACCTGGGCATCAGGTTGGCAGGGCTTCTGCAGTTCCTCCGGAGTGGAGGATCCTAATCCCAAGTGTGCATCTCAGGGCCTTACCCACGTCCTCTGGAGATGTGTGTCCCTGCACTGGCATCTCAGGAGAAACAGGTCTCCATTTGGAAATGTCTGTTTCATTATTAATTTTCTTTGATTTTATTTAAAATTGGACATGGACAACTAAGCCACATAAACAACAAAGACTTTAATGCTATAATTGAATGAAATGCAGATAATTTAATCTGGCTTATTTGTATGACATATATCTGCTGAATGAAATGAAATCCCATGTTACTAAAGACAGGCAATTATTTAAATAATAAGTTGTCAATAATGTGAGGCATCATTGCATCATATTTATATATTACAGCTATTGCTTATATTACATATGTTAAACTTATATTACTTATATAACATAGGCTCTGGGAAGTAGTTAAAAGAAATCTGTACTCAGAACTAGAAATTCTATCTTAAAGCAGCTCCAACTTAAAATTTTCTACTCTTTAGCACCTAAAACAGTGCTAGCACTCATTACATACTCAATAAATATATGTTGGATTAATTAAATATTGAAGTTAGTGATAGATATGATCATTCTAGGTCAGCACATTAATTAGGCATGGATGGTCAGAGGGTTCAAAGACAAACTTTATCTTCTTCACAAGAAGGAGTTTATCTTTGGATTTTCTCACTTTTTTTTCTTTCTAAAGATCCCAAGATTCACAATACACTTCTGTATTTTAAAAATTCATAGCTCACAGGCTTCTGTGGCACTGCTCTAGGGCACTGCAAGTCTAACAGACAGGGAGATGGCCTCGGGCTTCAGCGAGGAAGTGAGTAGAAGAGGGAAAAGTGCAGCAATGGTTTCTTTAGCTCTTTTCTCTGGTAGAAGAGTTGAGTTATACTCATTTCTTCCTCTATGAGATCAGGCCTGGGGCTCAATACGACAGTAGGTGGCATCCATTACCCTGTCTAAGGCAACCTCCTTCCTAGAACAGTGCTTCTCAGTCCTGACAGCACACTGGAATCAGGCTGGAAGGTATTAACAACGATTGGTGCCTGGGTCCCACCCTAGAGATTCTGTTTTAGCTTCTCTGGAGTGGAGACTTGTCCTACCTGTGGCCATGAAGCGGTGTGTGGCTAGCAGAAGCTGTGGTGAGATCTTCACCCGCATCTCCGTGTCCGAAAGCTTAAACAAGGAGAAGTCATGCCGCTTCCGCTCCCGTTGCGGGACCCTCTGCTTTTTCCGATTGTCAGCTGTGGGGTCACAGAGGACAGATTACAGCTATCTCAGAATCACGTTGATCTTTGGAGGTTTTCCCAGAATCACAGGGGACAGATAGAACATTTCTGCAGTGTCAACTATGGGTGACATCACAATATCACCCAGGAAGTAGAAGGATGTTGGTGAGGGATAGACAATGGGAGACTGCCATCATTTCAGTGTTTTCCACACTTAGGGGGTGTATAGTAGAAAAAGGGGAAAGCAGGCTTGGGGTACCCAAGTCTGGGGTTCTGGGGCTGGTTCCCCTACTTACCATGTAATCTCTCTAAGCATTAGAGTTTTTATTTTAATCTGTACAAGGAGGCTAATAATATTTAATATAGCTCTCATACTCATCTTGTGCAATTAATTATGAGACTCCAACTGGAAACTACCTGTGAGAATGCTTTTACCCAAAGTCATACACACACAAGGGACCTGCATTCTTAGTATCAAGAGGGTTGCAGGGGCCCAGGGAATTTCTGACTCTGTCCCCCTCCTTTGCCCTGAACTGGCCTCACCTAGTCTCCTGCTGCTTATGTGAACCATGCTCTGAGTGGTACCTGAAGCATGCCACACAAGGAAGGAGGGCGGCCACCACCTCTTATTTCACAATTTCCCTGCTTCAACCCCAGTCCCTCCACTGGGAGGGAATCAGGGGAAATATAGGGAAGAAGAGAGGAGAAGAAATAAGATTGGACCTATAATCTCTAAAGGTGGGTTTTCTGGATGGGGGCCTCAGGCAGGGTCTGGTACCTCCCAAGAGCCTATGTATCAGGCATGTAATTATTGGTTGAAAACATTTGCTTTTTCCAATTTAATTTGTTCTCATTCTTTTTAAAGCTTGTCTAAATATATCTACTTCCCCCCCGGCCCCCGCTTTTTTTTTTGTTTTTTTTTTTTTGGTAGAGGAAATGTTTTCTTTGGTTCTTTCTCTTTTGCTTTCCCTGAGTTTTGAGTAAAATTTTGAAACTGCTAGCCCATCTTACCTGCACTAAGGGGAACAGGGAGAGGGATTTGGGTTTTCTCCAAACTTCGCCTAAAGAGAAACAGGGCTGTGGGGGAACGTCTGGTGCAAGCTGAGTGGATGCAGTGAGAATGAAAGGGAATGAACCCCTGTGGCAGGAAAATAAGGCCCCAGAATCCGGCTCCCTGGTGTGCCCCCTCTCCTTTTGGGGCCTGCTTTTGGGTTTCCTTCTAGAAGGGTCAAAGTGCCCTCCTGCCGGTGCAGCTCTTCCATGGCCCGCTCTGACTCTGGGCCTTCACAGTCATCTGGCCCCTGCTTTGACACTCCTTTTGCTCAAGTCACAATGGGCAGACCCAGACCCAGGTGTCCAGATCACGTAAGAGGTCAGGGTCATGCAAGAAGAAAGACAGTATCCCTGGCTTCTGGGCCTTTTCATAGCTCTTAGGGAATCATGCCAGCAGCTATTTATAGGTAGAAAGACCCTAACCTGCTCCTGTAGAAAGAGGATCACTCAGCAAAAGAGTAGCAAAATACAGGCTATTAGCCCAGCTCTTTCGCTCTCACTAGTGAGCAACTTTCTGATTTGTATGATAAGTTTGCCTAAATAGCCCCCCTCTCCCCCATCAGATTGCCACTTAACATGGCATTATTAGGAAATCATTCCTCTCATCGCCCCCTTCTCCTTAGATTTCAATAGTGTGTGTTGGAAGCCTTAAGGTTGTTCAAACAAGTGCCCTGGGAGGAGCTTACTCATTTAGACTATTATCAGTACCTAACACCTTAGTGTGAATGGCTTCACTAGTTTATCTGAGACACCTGGGATTTTTTTTTTTTTTTTTTTTTTTTTTTTTTTTTTGAGACAGTCTTGCCCTGTCACCCAGGCTCCCATGCTGGAGTGCTGTGGCACAATCTCCACTCACTGCAGCCAGGACCTCCCAGGCTCAAGTGATCCTCCCACCTTGGCCTCTCAAGTAGCTGGGACTACAGGCACACGTCACCACGCCTGGCTAACTGTTGTATTTTTTGTAGAGATGGGGTTTCACCATGTTGCCCAGGCTACACCTGAGAATTCTAAATCAAGAGTGGCAGGCAGAGGTGGGGGAGGGAGAGGACATTTCCGAGCTCGTTCCTCATGTGAGGAAGACACGCCTGGTCCGGGCAAGCACAGCAGTGCCCAGGCTCTTGGAGGGAGGTGCCATGACTCTCTTGCTTGTCTTTGCCAAGGCCTGGCCCACCTTTTAGAGTTGATCTCTTCTTTGTCTAAAAGGAAGGCACTCTTTCTGCACTGCTCACTGCCTTATGGTATCAAAGCTCTTTCTACCAGGAGCCAGTTTCTGAAAGGCCGCATCTCACAAACTAAGGACCAAAGTCTGAAACGAGTTATCTGCAAGGAAGAAAAGGATGGCTATTCCATGAGATGAAATTCTCAGGAGGAAACACTTCCCAGCCTAGGGACTCCCATGGACTTAGATAACATTCCAATCCTAAAGACAAAGCATGCCTTTGTAATGTTTGCAAGCAAAGCTTTGATAAGGTTCAGTAACCCAAAGTACTCACATCTGCATAGAAAAGTCTGTATTGTTCCTGAGTGAGGGAGTTAGGAGGGGCAGCAGACCAGAAAGAAGGAAGCAGAGACAAGAGCAGGGATGCTGGTGGCAGGGAGAGAACAGAAACCCAGGGTGGTGGGCTGAAAGGCAGAAGAGGACAGGGAAGTTTGTAAGAAGGAGTATTCAGTTTTTGGCTTAGGCTGTGAGTAGGCAATCTCATGACAGTCTCCACTGCTCACTGCGATGTTCTGATGTGAGTGGAACCCCTGTTGGGGTCTGCATCTAGGTGGATGAAGCAACCAAACAAGAACACAGGGGACAGAAACAAGGGCAGAGAGGCCTCTGGGCACCGTCCTGGGAACACTGTGTTTCCTGTAGTCCCGTTTCTATCCAAAGGCTGGGAGGTCTCCTTTTCATAGTCTTGGCTCAGTTCCTGAAGGTTCCCTCCTGATAAACACTTAGCTAGCATGTTCCCAGTGACTCAGAAGTGATTCCAACTAGGGTATCTTGCCACAGCAGCACCTGGCATAGGTGGCTGACACACATCAGGGCACAGGGTTTGCCCTGACACCCTTTCTATAAATCAAATGAGGCTTTACCTGAGAGTCTTGGAGGAAAATAAGATGACCCTGGAGAACAGCCAAGGCCGTGCACTTACTGTAGAGATCAGTTTCATCCAGGATCTCCGACTTGATAATCTCCTCTATGATATCCTCCAGCGTGACAATGCCCATCACCTCATAGAAAGGGTCCCCTTCTCCCTCATTATTCACCCGCTGGACAATGGCCAGGTGAGATTTTCCTAGAGAACAAATGAAATCACAGTTAAGTATCGGGGACATTTTCAGAGATCTTTTTTTGTGAGAAAAATGATACAAAGTTGCTGTCTGACCAATCTCAGGATTGCACTCATCCCTGGACCTCCTTAAAATATGAAGTTTTTATGCAAGCGCTTATAAATGCAAGGGCTTATAAATGCAAACCTTATTCTTCTAGATTTGTGTTTCTATTTAGGGAAGTTACTGAATATATTCAAAACCAGTTAGTTTTTTTTCTTTGAACTTTTACATATTAGCAAGTATATGTTAGCTGATATAATATATACTAATTGAAAGAGCAAGAATTTAGAGTCAGAATTATGGTAAAAGTCATTCTCCTCCCCTAAGCCCCCTTCCCCACTAACTATCCCAGTTACTATTCCTTGACAAATCATTTAATCTCCACTGAATTACCATCTCTCATCTAGAATCAGGAAATAATGCCAGTGTGGTGATTTTAAAACATGGCCTTTGTGGTATGCCTCCCACGGAGAGGTGTGATCTACAGCCCCTCCCCTTGAATCTGGGGGGGCTTGTGACTACTTCAACCAAAAGAGAATGGGAAATGAATGTTCATTATAGGACTTCTGAGGCCAGGTCATAAAGGCATGTAGCTTTTGCTGCAAGAACATTGTAAGAAGTCTGACTACTACCCTGAGGCCACCATAGTGGAGAGGCCACATGTAGGTGCTTAGGTGCCAGTCCCAGCTGAGCCCACCCTTCCAGGTTTCCCACCAAAGTGCCAGGCAGTTTGGCAGAAGAAGTGGTCTTGGAAGTGGATCTGCCAGTCTCAGCTGATCCAGCCCCTTGTCTCACTCACTCCCCAGCCTTTCTTTCTTCCCTCCCTCCCTCCTTTCTTTCTTTCTTTTCTTTTCTTTCTTTCTTTCTTTTCTTTCTTTCTTTCTTTCTTTCTTTCTTTCTTTCTTTCTTTCTGTCTGTCTGTCTGTCTGTCTGTCTTTCTTTCTTTCTTTCTCTCTTTCTCTTTCTCTCTCTCTCTCTCTCTCTCTCTTTCTTTCTTTCTGAGATGGAGTCTCTCTCTGTCGCCAGGCTGGAGTGCAATGGTGTGATCTCAGCTCACTGCAACCTCCGCCTTCCGGGTTCAAGTGATTCTCCTACCTCAGCCTCCCGAGTAGCTGGGACCACAGATGAGCACCACCACGCCCAGCTAATTTTTGTATGTTTAGTAGAGATGGGGTTTCACCATGTTGGCCAAGATGGTCTCGATCTCTTGACCTCATGGTCCATCTGCCTCGACCTCATGATCCACCTGCCTCGGCCTCCCAAAGTGCGGGGATTACAGGCATGAGCCACCTCGCCCAGCCTCTCCCCAGCCTTTCAAGCAGCTCCCAGCTGTGGCCCCAGACACTGTGAAGCAGAGATAAGCCATTCCCGCTGTACTTCTTTTGAATTCCTGACTCACAGAATCTGTGAGCATAATAAAATAGTTGTTGTTTTATGGCTCTAAGTTTTGGGGTAGTTTGTTAGCAGCAATGGTAGTTTGAACAATCAGTACCTATAAGGTGACTGTGGAGCTCAAATGACCTAGTGAATATGTGAAAAGACTATAAACTACAATGTGTCACAGGCAGAGATTTCATAGACTTCATTTTTATTGCGCGATGACTGAATAATAATAGTTTCCATTTATTCAGGTCTTACTATGTGCCAGAGAACTCTAAATTTATCTATTTAATTCTCATAAAAACCACTGAGGTAAGTGCTATTCTCCACATTTTACAGATAACAGAACTGAGGCACAGATTGGTTAAGTAGCATGCCTGAAGTTACACAGCCTGTAAGAGCAAAGCTGGATTGCAAACCAGGTAACTAAGTTCAGTACTAACCTGGGACTGAAGTTTTGTCTAATAGTCCTGCTTCATATTGGTTTGTTTTCTTCTGCGGTATAGACACATTTCCTGGTCCTTTTTCTAAAATAAAAATCTGGTTGGTTCTTTCCCTTGGCTCAGAGACATTTAAGGAGAAAATCTGGGGTACTGATTCAGATGTTATTATGGAAAACAATAAAAAGCAAGTTCATGCTTTATTAGTACCCTTTATAAACTCTTTTTTTATTATACTTTAAGTTTTAGGGTACATGTGCACAACGTGCAGGTTAGTTACACATGTATACATGTGCCATGTTGTGTGCTGCATCCAGTAACTCGTCATTTAACATTAGGTATATCTCCTAATGCTATCCTTCCCCCCTCCCCCCACCCCACAACAGGCCCCAGTGTGTGATGTTCCCCTTCCTGTGTCCGTGTGTTCTCATTGTTCAATTCCCACCTATGAGTGAGAACATGCAGTGTTTTACCCTTTATAAACTCTTGCTTGGCCATTGCTAAAAAATATCAGTCAAGAGGAGTCATCAGTTAGTGGGAGGCATAATTAACCATTAAAATGTAAATGAACTTCTGTATCAAATATCTGAAATCATAAGATAGCTACCCCTTGGAGTTTTTAAACTGAAACGAAATCGGAAAGACGGCATTTGTATCACCCAAGAATGGTCTCTAATTTTTTCCCCACCTTCAACCTAACCTTCAGCCTCCTTCTGTACTGATCTGATCATGTTACAACTCTCCTCAAAAACACTATGGCTACCTACTGCTTACAGAATCAAGTCCAGGCTCATTAGTTTGGTGTAATATCATCAAGATTCCACAATGTGGCTCTTCCCTGTCTAACTGTATGCCCTGCTACGTCCCCTACTCATTCTATACTTCAGGCATACCAGGTTACCACCATTTCCTTGATTTCTCTTCCCCACTGCTGCCATCTCCCCTACCCCCAACTTTGAGCTCTAGCCCAGGTACCAGCTCTCCAAGAAAGCTCCCCCAGATCTACCCGACTCTGAATCTGAACCAACCTCTCTATTACAGCATTTATCACAAATTGCTACTTCTTGTAACTAGCAATGTATGTGTCCTACACTAGACAGCATTTCCTCCTCAGATCATGAACTACTTTAGGACAAAGGATCATATACTTAAATAAAGTTCCCTCCATATATCAGACAGCCAATCAGTGCCTGATGAACTGAAGACTGAATAAAAACTCATAATTTATACAATAGGTGATATTAAAACCAGATACTAAAGAAAGCCTTTATTTTTTGATAAAATATAACAGTATGTTTAAATTAAAATTTAAACCTTGCATCAGTGGTTCTAAAATTATCCTTCTTGGAAACAACTACATCCTACCCAGTTTGGCCAAAGTACTTTGTAGCTTAAATTAGATTATATTAATTGTTAGAATGTGCTCAATTTAAAGTTTTTCGTTTCTAACACATTTTTCTTAACTTATGGCACCTATTCTCACTTTTCTGCTAATATGTGCTAGCAGATGACAAAACAAATAACTAGTGTAACGAAAAGCCTTGGAAAAGTGATTTCTTAAAATTGCTTCCTATAATTGGATATTTTTTGGTAATGTGAACCCTAGAATACATATAATACAGCCATACTCCCTACCACTAACATAATTTATTCATATGATGAAATTAAATTAACAGTTTTTGATATTTTACAAAGAGTACTATAATTTCCACATTAAAAAACCACCATTGCTCTACACTTTGAAAGTTCAGTTTGAGGACACACTATGTTATCACCAAGGAATAGAGATTTTAAGCCCTAATTATATAATATTTAAGATAATGTACCTAGGTAAGCTATTTAGAAACATTTTATAATTTACTCTCAGCCTCTGAGCTTCCCTCCAAAGCCTGTTGAGATCTGCTACACACAAATGAAGGAAGCCATTTCTTCTTAAGTACAGACTGGGATGGGAATTGTCAATCACAATCCTTATTCCGAGTTGACACTCACAGAGACAAGAAAACCAGCTGTTTCCATGTCACACATACCACACACACTCATGAAAGGTTGGTCTTGAAGAGCCCTATGCCTGCACCTCCCTTACTCCCTTCCTGGGCCCTAGAGGTGCTGGGGGTGGCCCTATGTGAAGCCAATCTTGAGACAAGCACAAGTCACTCCCTCCTGCCACAGCACTTTGTACACATCTCTGTATTGGCATTTATAATAACAATAATAGCTGTTATTATTATTATTGAAGCTACCTGTTGCTATGCACACTCTAGGGGCCAGGCACAGTGTCAGGCATTGCACACACATTATTTGACCTTGGTTGTTTTCTATTTATATGTGATCCCCACCCCCACCCGTGAGGGTAATCTCCCTGAGAGGCAACAGGTATGCTACATCCTATTTACTTCTGTTTCCTCAGAATCTAGAATAGCACCTGGCATATCATCAGTAAGGAAATACAAATCAAAATCTTACAACTCTTAAGAAGACAACTCCAAAAGTGGGCAAAAGATTTGATTAGATATTTCTCCAAGGAAGATAAATAATTGGTCAATGCACATGAAAAGATGCTTAACATTGAGAAGTCAACAAATAGTAGCTGGTAACTGGATATCCACATGCAAAAAAGTGAAGTTGGATGCCTACCTCATACTATACATAAAAGTGAACTAAAAATGGATCAAGCACCTACATATAAGAGTAAAAACTATAAAACTCTTAGAAAAAAACATAGGAGAAAACCTTAGAGATTGATTTCTTAGGACACCCAAAACACAATCAAATTAAAAAAATAGATCAAATGGACTTCACCAAAATTAGAAACATCTGTGCAAAGTACACCACCAAGAAAGGTAAAAGACAATTCACAGAATGGGAGAAAATATTTGCAAATCATTAGATAAAAGACTTATATCCAGAATATATAATGAAATATTACAACACATAAAAAACCAACTCAATTAAAAAGTGAGCAAAAGATTTGAACAGATATTTCTCCAAAGAAGATATACAATTGGTTAATAAGCAAATGAAAAGATGCTTAACATTGTCATCATGAAGGAAATTCAAATCAAGATGCTAATGAGATACTTTATACCCACAAGATGGCAATAATAAAAAAGACAGATAATAACAAATGTTGGTTAGGATGCAGAAAAAATTGAACCTCTCAGACATTGCTGGTGGGATTGAAAAATAGTCTGGTGGTTCCTCAAAATGTTAAACACAAAATTATCAAATGACCCGACAATTCTACTTTTAGAGAAATGAAAACATATGTCCACACAAAAACTTGTACATGTTTCCAAACAAAATGTGTTATATCAATACAATTGGATATTAACCTGCCATCAAAAGGAATGAAGTGCACCCTACAACATGGATGACCCTTGAAAGCATTATGCTAAGTGAGAGAAGCCAGACACAAAAGGCCATATGCTGTATGATTCCATTTATGTAAAATTTCCAGAATAGACCAATCTACAGGGGAAGAAGTAGATCATGGTTGCCAGAAGCTGGGGAAAGGAGAGTGTGGGGCATGGCTAAGTGAGTACAGAGTTTCTTTTGGGGTGATGAAGTGTTCTGGAATTAGATTAGTAGGGATGCCTGCACAACTCTGAATATACAAAAATGCATTAAGTGTGCACTTTAAAAGGATGAGTTTTATGGTACGTGAATCCTATCTCAATGAAGCTATTATTTTTTAAAAAGAAAGCCAATTGAAAAAAATAATAATCCATGCCTGAATGAGCAGGAAGTTGGTGTGGCTGAAAGTTACAACCTGCAACACAAGTTGAGTAAAAGTAGGGACTGCTTCGTAAAGAGAATGGGTTGAAATGAGAGGAATGCTGGTTTGGACTTGGGTAATAACTTCCAGCACACATGATCATTTTGTGCTCTAGGATGTGTGGAGAGTAAAAACGGTCTGCCACAGGTGAGGCCACTGGGAGACAAGAAATAGGGGAGAAGGCACCGTATTATGAGTTTTGTGCAGGCGGAAATGGTGAACAGGGATGAGGGCTTTATCACAGGCAGGAGAGGGAAAATATGAGAACAAAGAGCTGTTGGCCTGGTTCACATCTTTCAGAAACCTCATCAACTCTCAGGGATGACTTGTGAATATTTACAACTCCTAAACTGGGTCCAACTGGGGCAGTGGGCGCTCAAATATCCCAAGCATTCCCATCTTTCTCTGGGCAAATGCTTGTATCTAACACACATTATTTCTCCTCTCTACCTGTTTACCATTTCTACCTTTACTTCCTAATGGCATATGTGGTAAAGTGGCATATGTGGCATATGTGGTAAAGTGGGCAAAAAGTAGTAATTGACTATTCAACGCTGGGTTTGGGAAAGGGTCTCTTTGTGGCTTCTGTACTAATCTCCTCTGAGACATGCTTGAGATACCACATTACCTATTAGGCTCTTGGCACATTTGAGGTCAGTAAAATTACCCATTACTGAAGGTCAAATTAGTGTTTTCCATTGCCCCAAGAATCCAAAGGGCAGTCCTAGTACTGGTTACTGGCAGTGTTCTACCTAAGGTGTTATCATCACTACCTCGTATCGACATACCCAAACTACAAGTCAGATTTCTTAGAAGATGAGGTTTTCAGGCATTGCTTTTAAAGCAGTGGTTCTCAAATGGAGGTGATTTTGCCCCCCAGGGGACATTTGGCCATGTATGGAGACAATCTGGTTGTCACAACTTGGGGCAGGGAATGCTACTGGCATTTGGTGGGTAGAAGACAGGGATGAAGCTAAACATCCTTCAATGCACAGGACAGTCCCCTCCGCAAAGAATTACCTGGCCCCAAACATCAATACTATTGAGGTCGAAAGCCCTGGCCTATTAGGGGGGTGGGGTTGGGGGAGGGAGAACATTAGGAAAAATAGCTAATGTATGCTGGGCTTAATACCTAGGTGATGGGTTGATAGGTGCAGCAAACCATCATGGCACACGTTTACCTATGTAACAAACCTACACATCCTGCACATATACCCCGGAACCTGAAATTTAAAAAAATGTAAAAATATACAGAAAGGCAGTGGCAGCAACATCACAACTGTATTTTGGTATCTGAAGAAGCTAAAATAGCCTCCAAAGTCTTTAATAAATATAGCCTCATCTATTCTACATGGTTTAGGCACATCCATAGATAAGAGCTCTCAAGGACTCCATTAGCATACCTCTGATGCCTTAGGGGAACAAAAAGGCAAATAATTGATTTGCTTCCTCTCTTCTTCAAAAATAGCTACAGCACTTTGGTAACTGTTCCCAAGATAAAATAAAAAGCTAGGAGGAAAGCATATTGCTTGGAAATAGAGAACTAAGCAAAATCGTTTTATGGTTTTATGGTTTCTGCCTCACTTGTGACCTTCACCTTATAAAATATAGTGGCTTTTGCTACGTTCTTCTTCCAGGTGTGCTTGCAGCATCTTTTATTCATTTGGTAGACAGCATTGAGTGTCTCCTCTTTCTTACCTTGGTCTTGGTCACTTGGTACCAATGGAAATGTATTCCTTGGAGTAGCAGCATGAACACTACCTGGGCCTTTGTTCAAAATGCAAGATCTGAGGTCCCATCCCTGCCCTACGGAATCAGGATCTTGCTGGGTGGGGCAGGGTCCAGATAGCTGTTTTTTGTGTTTTTTTGTTTTGTTTTGAGACTGAGTCTCACTCTGTTGCTCAGGCTGGAGTTCAATGGTGTGATCCTGGCTCACTGCAACCTCTGCCTCTCGGGTTCAAGCAATTCTCCTGCCTCAGCCTCCCGAGTAGCTGGGACTACAGGCACACGCCACCACGCCCAGCTAATTTTTGTATATTTAGTAGAGACGGGGTTTCACCGTGTTAGCCAGGATGGTCTCGATCTCCTGACCTCATGATCCGCCCACCTCAGCCTCCCAAAGTGCTGGGATTACGGGCGTGAGCCACTGCGCCCGGCCCAGATAGCTGTTTTAATGAGCTCTCCAGGTGATTCTTATGCACACTAAAGTTTGAGAAACACTGCTCTTGACATGTGCTACTCAAAGTGTGGTCCTTGGATTGGAAACATGGTATCACTTGGGAGCTTGTGAGGGAAGCAGAAATTCAGGCTCTCATCTTAGCTTTCTGAATCAGAATTTGCATTTCCTCAATATCTCCAGGTGATTCTTACGCACACTTGGGTATCAGAAATCCTGGTCAAGACTACCCTACTTCTCTTCCCACCCTTATGATTGGAACTTTTCTATTTCCATTGTGGATTCCTTTTTTTTAATCCTCACCTACAGATAAATATATCTTAAAGACTCCGACTCGTGATTCTCGACCCTGGCTGCACGTTGGAGTTACATACTGATGCCTGTGTCCCACCCACAGAAATTCTGATCTAATTGATCTTGGATGAGGCTGGGACACTGGAATGTTTAAAACTTCTTCAGGTGATTCTAATGGGCACTTGCAGTTAAGAACTTCTGCTCCTGTCTTTGATCTTCCGCTCATCTCTCTTGCTGATTAAAGATCCCAGCAAAGCCTATTAATTTAAATATCACAATCACCTCTTTACTGAGAACTGGATTTATATCTGAACATAGGTTTCTATTTTTTTATTTTGAGACAGGGCCTCACTCTGTTGCCCAGGTTGGAGTGCAGTGGTGCAATCTCAGCTCACTGCAACCTCCGCCTCCCAGGCTCAAGGGATCCTCCCACCTCAGCCTCCTGAGTAGCTAAGACAACAGACTCAAGCCAGCAGGCCTGGCTATTTGTTTGTTTATTTGTTTGTTTGTTTGTTTTTGTAGAGATGGGGCTTTGCAATGTTGCCCAGGCTGGCCTCAAACTCCTGAGTTCAAGCAATCTGCCCACTTTGGCCTCCCAAAGTGCTGGGATTACAGGTGTGAGCCACTGTACCTGGCCTCGATGTCTATTTTGAACACCCTTCCTGTTTTAGATATTTTGCCTGAGCTGTCCTCTTGTCAAAATCACTTACCCAAATAGGAACTCCTAATCTTCAAGACACATTGCCCCTGCTCTTCCTCCGTCTTCACTACAGTAAATGATACCATTAACTCTAGTTACCCTAAGTCATAACCCAAGAGTCATCTTTTATCTTTCCTTTATGTCAATTTAGAAAAAAATCCCCACATTCTTTCAATTCTTCTTCCTTTATTCTTTTAACAAGTACTTACTGAATGACTGCTACATGCCGAGCACTCTTCTAGGCACTTGAAATGCAGCAATGAGCACAATGCACAAAATCATTTTCCTCCGGCAGCTTACACTCTTGTAAGTAGAGGTAAGAGATAATAAAGCAAATACATATCTAAAATATATAGCATAAGGCTGGGCGCCGTGGCTTAAGCCCATTATCCCAACACTTTGGGAGGCTGAGGCAGGAGGACTGCTTGGGCCCAGGGGTTTGTGACCAGCCTGGGCAATGAATCAAAACTTCATCTTTACAAAAAATTTTAAAAAATTTAGCCAGGTGGGGTGGTGCATGCCTGTAGTCCCAGCTGCTTGGAAGGCTGAGGCAGGAGGATTGTTTGAGCCTAGGAATTTGAGTCTGCAGCTAGCAATGATTGCACCAATGCACACCAGCCTGGGTGACAGTGAGATGTTGTCTCAAAAAAAAAAAATATATATATATACACACACACACACACACATCATATATATAAAAAAATATATATAGCACACTGCTAAGGGGAAAGCGAAGCAGGGAATAGTGATGAGGGAGTGTGTGGGAGTGAGAGAACAGGTGTTACAATTTTAGGGAAGGGAGACGGGGATGAACTCCCTGAGGTGATGTTTCAATAAAGCCCTGAAGGCGGTGAGGTAGGGAGCCCTGTGGAGATCTCTGCAGTAGAACAGGGTGTAAAGGTCATGCATTGGGAGTGTAACTGATGTGCTTAAGGAATGGCAAGGAGGCCAATGCGGTGGCTGTAGAACGTGGGAGAGGAAAGTAGTGGGAGCCAAGGTCAGGGAGTTGAGGGGTAGGGGAGGTGCCAATGTGATAGAGCCAGGAAGGCCTTTGTAAGGACTTTGGGTCTTACTCTCAGTGACATAAAAACAAGCCATTGCAACATTTGTGTGTGTGTGTGTGTGTGTGTTGCAAAAAGGTGACATGATCTGACTTATGTTTTTGTTTTTGTTTTGTTTTGTTTTTTGAGACAGAATCTTGCTCTGTCCCCCAGGCTGGAGTGCAGTGGTGTGATCTTGGCTCACTGCAACCTCCGCCTCCCGGGTTCAAGCGATTCTCTGCCTCAGCCTCCCAAGTAGCTAAGATTACAGGTGCCTGCCACCATGCCAGTCTAATTTTTTTGTATTTTTAGTAGAGATGGGGTTTCACCATCTTGGCCAGGTTAGTTTTGAACTCCTGACCTCGTGATCCACCTGCCTCCGCCTCCCAAAGTGCTGGTATTACAGGTGTGAGCCACCGTGCCTGGCTGACTTATATTTTAAAAGGAACTCTAGCTGCTGTGTTTTTTTTTTCTTTTAACTTTTATTTTAGGTTCGGGGTATATGTGCAGGTTTGTTATCTAGGTAAATTCGTGTCACAGAGGTTTGGTATACAGATTATTTCATCACCCAGGTACTAAGCATAGTACCCAATAGGTATTTTTTTCTAATCCTCTCCCTCCTCCAGTGCCTGCTGTTGCCCTCTTTGTGTCCACGTGTTCTCATTATTTAGCTCCCACTCATAAGTGAGAGCATGCGGTATTTGGTTTTCTGTTTCTGCGTTCATTTGCTAAACTGCTGTGTTAAGAATAGACATAAGGCCGAGTGCAGTGGCTCACGCCTGTAATCCCAGCACTTTGGGAGGCTGAGGCAGGAGGATTGCTTGAGCCCAGGAGTTCCAAGATCAGCCTAGACAACATAGTGAAAGCCCATTTCTATAAAAAATTAAAAATATTAGCTGGGCATGGTGGCTCACGCCTGTAATCCCAGCTACTAAGGAGGCTGAGGTGGGAGGATCACTTAAGGAGTGTGTTTGGCAAAAAGAGTAGGAGCTCAGTTTTGGGCAGGTTTAAGTTTGAGATGTATTTTAGACTTCTAAGTGGAGATGTTCAGTGGCAATTAGAAATGTAAGTCTGGAGTTCATGTTGATAAGTTTGGGAGAATGAATGAAATAATCGAGGGAATGAGAGTAGACAGAGAAGAGATCAATTTCTGAGCCCTGAGGCACTGTAACATTTAGAGGTCATAGAAATGCAACATTCATGGGACAAATATTTGAGCATCTGCTATGGGTAGGCACTGTGCCAGGTGCTGAAGATACATCTGTGGATATGATGTAGGCAGAACCAGTAAAGGAGACTGAGGAGGAGTGTTCACATGTAATGAAGTCTAAGAGATTTTTTTCCTCCTCTAATTCAAAGTGTCCTTAATTTCTATGCCCTCATCCCATCTTGGACAACTGCACCAATATCCTAACCATTCATCCTTTTGGTTTTTCTAGCCCTAATACATCTTGTACACTAAAACCGGATTAACGATCCCCGAAATACTGCATTTGTGAGGTTACTCCCCATCTCAATCACATGTAGGAGGATCATTTAAGACTAAGCAGGATCATTTCTGAACTCTTCTTCCTTGCATTAAAGGCTCCTATGATTTTTTGGTATTTTTTTTGCCTTCTTTCCCACTACTATGTCAAAACGTATTGTTCATAAAATAGCTGGTCCAGAGGCAATGCAGAATCAAGGGTGGTGGCTCATAATCCCAGCACTTTGGGAAGCTGAAGCGGGAGGATCGCTTGAGGCCATGAGTTCGACACCACCCTGGGCAACATGGTAAGACCCCCATCTCTTAAAAAAATTTTTTTAAATTAAAAAATATAAAAGAAAACAAAAATAAAATAACCGTTCCAAGAATACTCCGCCAATAAATGGTGAAGCCAAAATTGAGCCCTGGTTAGGATTTCTGGAAAGCTTCAAGACCCAACTAGAAAAGTCTGGATACATTAAGCTCAGGCCTCTCAGATACAGAACTGGTCTTGGAGACTGCCTGGGTGGTCAGTTTGACTCTCTCTCTCTGGGTTCAGCCTAACCATACCCAGAATCCCCTGCTTAAAAATCACCATGGTGACCCAGAGTGATTTGGCTATGCTTTGGCAGATGGTGTCATTCTCAGGTCACAAACCAACCTCAGATATGAGGAGGATACATTGAAAGGCAAACAGGGCCAACTTTAGTCATCACTTAGTTCTGGGCCAGCCAGGGAGTGTGGTCAAGCTAGGCTAGTCCCTGGGAGAAGAGAGATATGTGGACTCTCAGGGGCACTGTTTGAAGTAAGCTAGATACCTGAGATGATCTTAAAATCCACGCTTTTGAAGGTTTTCATTGCAGCTGAAGACAGCCTACAGATTCGTCAGTGTTCTCCATATCATTTTTGATGTAAACCAAGCTGAATCCTGAGACTCCATTTCCTAGTTTTTGCCATAGTAGTTTCTGTAATACCTACTGTACATTGGGTGCATATGTTACCTCTGGTCTTCATAATATCTCTGCAAAAGGGGGGTTGTTATTACTAATATGTAGATAAGGAAACTGAGACTTGGAAAAATAAAATGACTTATCCAAGGACAATATTAGTATGTGATGGAGCCAGGAACAACCCCAGGTCTGTCTGCCTCTTGACCTTGTGCTCTTTCCAACACAATGCAGACTCCACATTCCAGGCCAAATCTCAGGTTTACTGTCTCTGACGTGTTAAGAGCAATGGGCACATACTCTGTAAATGCCTGGAGGCTGCAGGAAGGCATGCTGAGCTAATGCCCGGCACCTCCCTAGTGATTAGCAAGGGAGGAGAACGGCTTTGAACTGGGAAGGGGAAAGGAGTCACAATTCCACCTCCTTGCTACACTTCGCCTTCAAATCCAAGCCTTCTTATGTTTAGCCTGATATTTTATTTTAGTAGACTGCTTGGAGCTTTGAGGAGTTTTGTTTATATTGCTGTGTTATTTGTTTAAATGGTCAGGTTTTTTTATTTGCCTGAGATGTCTGAGGAAGAGCAGAGTGATGGGGGAGGAAACTGAATTCTAACTGATAACAGGATAAAAGAAATGGAAGGAACCTCCTACGGTCCAATTTTCATCCCCTGGGCCCTACCCAAAGTAAACAGCTTTCAATTTTGTTTTCTTATTATATACAGTTTTACATGGGCTGGATCAGAGAGAGAAAGGACTTGTTATACAAGATGACTAACTGTATACAATTAATTTAACTAGATCAGGGAGGTAAGAGGCAAATGGTGGAGTCTCTTTAGGGCTATACTGGAATTGTCTTCAGCCTTCAGAGTAAACTCACAATGTAGTATCACTATTCCCCCCCACCCCCACCTATTTTTTTTTTTTGAGACGGAGTCTCGCTCTGTTGCCTAGGCTGAAGTGCAATGGCATGATCTCAGCTCACTGCAACCTCCACCTCCCGGGTTCAAGTGATTCTCCCGCCTCAGCCTCCTGAGCAGTTGGGATTACAGGCACCCGCCATCATGCCCAGCTAATTTTTATATTTTTGTAGAGACGGGGTTTCACCATGTTGGTCAGGCTGGTCTTGAACGCCTGACCTCAGGTGATCCGCCCACTTTGGCCTCCCAAAGTGCTGGGATTACAAGGGTGAGCCAGCACACCTGGCCTATCTTCCATCTTCTTAAAAGGGGAATAGGCCGGGCACAGTGGTTTATGCCTGTAATCCCAGCACTTTGGGAGGCCAAGGCGGGCTGATCACCTGAGGTCAGGAGTTCGAGACCAGCCTGGCCAATATGGTGAAACCCCATCTCTACCGAAAAAAAAACAAAACAAAAATTAGCTGGGCATGGTGGCGGGTGTCTGTAATCCGAGCTACTCAGGAGGCTGAGGCAGGAGAATCGCTTGAACCCAGGAGGCAGAGTTTGCAGTGAGCCGAGACCATGCCAAGGCACTCCAGCCTGGGCGACAGAGGGAGACTCCATCTCAAAACAAAAAAACAAAACAAAACAAAAAAGAAGGAAGACAAGTCTCAGAGTGATATAGTGACCTGCCCCAGTCGTAGCTAGTCAACGAAGGTGCTGGGATCTGAGTTCAGGCCTCTGGGACCCTCTGTCTGTGTCCTTGGCTCCATGGTCTGAGGTGGCAAGTCAGACATGTGAGTTCTGGTTCCACCTCTGTCACTAACATTGAGCAGGACACTTCTGTCTTTAGATCTCTGGTGCTGCATATACAAAATGAGGATAAAAACTGCTGACCTCACATTTATGGTGGGCACACAATGAATTACTAAACTGGAAATTTTGTTTATATGGCTGTGATATTTGTTTATATGGTCATTAAAAAACATTTGCCAATAAATAAACATAACGCCTTTGCAACTACGAGGGATTATCATTTCTCTTTTTAGTATTTGTCCTTTCTGTGCCTCAGTTTTCTCAATCATAAAAGACATGCCGGGCGGTCACGGTGGCTCATGCCTGTAATCCCAGCACTTTGGGAGGCCGAGGTGAGCAGATCACCTGAGGTCAGGAGTTTCAGACCAGCCTGGCCAACATGGTGAAACCCCATCTCTACTAAAAATACAAAAATCAGCTGGGAGTGGTGGCAGGCGCCTGTAATCCCAGCTACTTAGGCTGAGGCAGGAGAATTGCTTGAAACCGGGAGGTGGAGGTTGCAGTGAGCCGAGATTGTGCCACTGCACTCCAGCCTGGGCGACAAAAGTGAGACTCCATCTCAAAAAAAAGAAAGAAAGAAAGAAAAAAAAAGATGGGACTAGGTGATCACCAAGTTTCCATTTCTGGCTCTAAAATTTTATGCTTTTATAAGTCTAAACAGTTCTGGGCTACAAAACAGTTTGGTTTTACAGGATACTTCTTTGCAATGATATATGCCAGAATTTTAACAGTGCTGTTAGAGCCTCTTGTGTTTATAAAGGGCTCTGAGCTCCTAATCTTTGTATCTTAATATTTGAAAGCCTCCTTTGGAATGAGATGAGAAACAGCTACCTTGACACATACTAGATTTTTGTTGTTGTTGTTGTTGTTTTTAACTATACAATCAAGTGAAATCATTCCCTACCAAATCAGGAAGAGAAACACAAAAATGTTATTCTACCAATCCTGCAGCAACCGCCTTGATTTGGAAAAACAAAACTGTCCCTTTCTCTAGCTTAAAAAAAAGGCTGTACTTTATAGTAATTATCCTGCTCTATTTTATCAGAAATAATCAACACCTTTATCACAAAATAAATTCTTGAGCCACTAAAAGGCAATTATAAAAAAGCCAACTGTGTCATCCAGAGCACCATGGTAACCAACATCACTAGGGCATGAAAAAATAGTTGT
The DNA here is from genome assembly GCF_000001405.40 of Homo sapiens. Classification (NCBI taxonomy): domain Eukaryota; kingdom Metazoa; phylum Chordata; class Mammalia; order Primates; family Hominidae; genus Homo; species Homo sapiens. The sequence goes on along the minus strand of NC_000010.11, from coordinate 99,342,373 downwards.
TCGTCACCAGAATCTAAGCCAGTTGGTGGTTTGGCTTGCTAAGCAACACTGTAAAAATAGCAGAGTAACAACCCATTATCTGGAGGTCTGACTTCCCACTGTTTTGAATATGGTCCCAGAAAGAACTGTCCCAGGTCTCTCCATTGACTCCCTACCCTAGGCTTACAGTCAAAACCTAACTAATCATTTAACCAACAAGTATTGATTGAAGTATACTACATATCAGGCACATGATTCTCAACATGGTATTCACTTAGTTTATCAGTGAAACAGAAACTGTAAGTGAGATATACACAGGAAGAGTGATTTTGTGGAGAACGGTGGGGCAGGGATTTGCTGGAGGCAGATTCAAAGAGAACTAACAGCTGTCAGCCAGAGGACAGAAAAAAATGTAAAAAATAGGGAATACAGCATAAAATAACTACACTCTCATGATCATGATCCTGCGTCATCAAGAAAAGATTAAGTTATATTTAGAATCCTTTGTTAAGAAAGGCAGGAATGGGTATAAAACATTTTAGAAATATCACCATCAAAAATGGTTAAAATATACAGTTTTAGCATTTGAAGGAAACAAAATTATGTTTGACAAATATCTTCGGCTGCCTAGCTCCCCATTTTGCTGGAAGAAAAGCAGCATTATGATAATGGCTTTCCCAGCGTTCAGACACAGTGTCGGCTCCCTCTCTGCCTTTCTTTTTCAGCTCAAACTCCTGCCTCAGCTGGAACACTCTTCCCTTCATAATTGCTTAGCAGGGTCCTTCTCCTTCTTTAAGGCTGAGCTGAAATTCCACTTTCTCAGAAAAGTTTTCTCAGATCACCCAGGGACTATTTCTCCCTTCCCTTTTCACCCACAGATGTTTTCTGGATTCCCTTGCCTGTACCCCAGGCTGCCTCTTATCATCATTTCCATCATGGCCCTTCCTTCTTTCTCGTTCCTGGAGGGCAGGTTCAGCACTGCATTTATATCCATGTCTATCTGCCGAGCCCTGGTACTCAGTACATGCTACTGAACTGACCTGCCCAGACGATGTTGAGAGTCACTGGGGGAAAACAGGAGGGTGGCTGGCAGAGGTGGCACTTTCCCTCCTGGATGTCACACAGCCCAGGAGCCCAGCATGGCACCCATGCTGGCCCTCCTTCCTCAGGGCCTTTGCATGTCTGTTCCTGTCTCCTGGGAAGCTCTTCCTCTGATGAACTCCTTCTCACCGTTCTTTAGGATTCAGCTCAAATACCACTTGGCAAGGGAGAGTCTCTTTACCTATAAGACCAAGTCTATCTATTATATGTTCAGAGCTCCCTATACTTTTTCTTCAACTCACTTAGGACAATTTGTAATTATTTATTGCTTGGTGTCGCCTACTCGACTGCAAGCCCTAGGAGGGCAGGAATGGTGTCTGTCTTGTCCACACTGCATCTCCAGTGCCTAACACAGGCCTGACAGAGAATGGCCATTCAATACAGGCAGGCAGGCAGGCAGGCAGGCAGGCAGGCAGGAAGGAAGGAAGGAAGCGGGGAAGGAGAGAAAGAGAAAGAGAAAGAAAAGAAAAGAAAAGAAAGAAAGAAAGAGAAAGTAAGAAAGAAAGAAAAGAAAGAAGGAAAGAGAGAGAGAAAGAAAGAAAGAAGAGAGAGGGAGGGAGGGAGGGAATGAAGGAGGGAAGAGAGAGAAAGAAAGAAAAGAATTGAGGAGAATCCCATTTTGAAAAGGAATATAACAGTAGCAAATAAAAAGAGAATTTAGAGCTGTTATTGAAGGTCCCAGAATCCCCAAACATGGGCCTAGAAGGAACTCGTTTTATGACAGTACTACTAGGAAAACCCACAGACCTTCCTTGGAGACACCCAAATGCTTTAAGGGAGCGAGAAACACAATCAAATGTATTTGGTAGCTAAAAAATCGAATTGAGATGAGCTATGATATTCTTCAAATAAAAGAATACTCACAAAGGATGATAAATGGAAAAAATGGAATTTAACTGCAGCCTGTGGGATTTAGTTAGATAAAAAGACAGGTTTGACAGTGAAGGCTGGTATGGCCCGGGAAAGATAACTAAATCTGAAAAAAGTGTGAATGAGATTCTCTCACAGGTTTTTTCAGTGCCCCTTCCAGTTCAGATTCTATTGTTACCTGGCATTTCTTTTGCCAGGCTGGAAAAAAATGAACATAACAACATTATAACAATCACAATGAAAATGTTTAAAGGAAAAAAACCCCACAAGTTTATCATCTTGAATATTATTCTCACTTTTTCATTTCCTTTCATTCTTTCTCTCTATATACAATGGACTACACTTGGTTTACTGTTTGCTCTATTGTTTAGAAAGTAAGCATCTCATTACAAATTTTACTAATTATTATTTAGCAACATTTAACACATTTTAAAAACGTAATACATCTATTTATAACAGTGAAATGTAACTGTGAATGAAAAAATTTATTTTCTTTTATGGAAGACAAAGAATATAGCACTAATGTTTTGGCAGGTATAGAATTAAGCAATGGAATGGTTATTCTTCCTGCAAAAATAGCTACGGTCAGCATTTGGAGTGTAAAGTAAACCACTGGCATTTTGGACTAGATTATTCTGCAGTGAAAAGGTCACATTGTGTGTCTGGGCCAGGAACACTTACTGGCTGGTTGGAATACTTTAGGCCAGAGGTCCCCAACCTTTCTGGCACCAGGGACAGCTTTTGTGGAAGATGATTTTTCCATGAACTAGGGTGGGAGGGGGCATGGTTTGGGGATGGAACTGTTCCACCTCAGATCATCAGGCATTAGATTCTCACAAGGAGCACGCAACCTAGATTCCTTGCATATGCAGTTCACAATAGGGTTCTCGCTCCTAATGCCCCAGCTGATCTGACAGGAGGTGGGGCTCAGACAGTAATGCTTGCCCACTGCTCACCTTCCACTGTGTGGCCCAGTTCCTACCAGGCCACAAACTGGTACCATTCTGCAGTCTGGGGGTTAGGGACCCCTGCTTTGGGCAACAGACCACTTGCAGGAAGACCAAAGATGGAAGAGGATATTTTTAGCTCCATAATGTCTGCCTAGCTCACCACTGTATTCCCAGAGTCTAGTGTAATGCCTGGCCCAAAGCAGGAATTCAAAAAATGTTTACTGAATGAATCAATGAATAAGCAAAGACTGAGTATGGATTGTGCAGTAGGCTGTGTTACAGCCATGCTAGTGTACAGGTGGAGCAGCCTAGCATACGTGGGTTGTGCTTTTTTGTTTGCAAAGATGGTGTTACTAGCCCAGCAAAGCTGAATTGTTTAATTGAGTTAAATGTCAGTCAGTGCTGTATTACTCAGAAGCTTTGACTTCAGAACAAAGCTTTATTCCTTTCCCCTGTTGTCTATACAGAACTCAGTGTCTCCTAAAAGCAATCCAATAATAGAGTAGTAAATTTAAGAAGTATGATAAATCTCTACGGCTCCATTTTTAAAATTAGTCTTCCCAAATTATAGCACTCAACCCTGAGGAAACTATAGCAAAAATACCACCCTATAAGAAAATCACTCTTAAGATTAGAATGGGACATTTGATTTGTGCTTGATGGCAGGACAATGGGCTTTTCCTTTTGTTTTCTTTTTAAGAATTTCATTAAGATTGTTATTATGTGCAATATATTTTTAATATGACAAAATATTGAGTTACTATTTCAGGATAGTGGGATGATTATCCTCATATGATTTTCATACTTCTTTTTTCTACTATTCTATATTTAAATTTTTTTCTGTATAAATTATAGAAACATAAACTTCAGTAAAAAATTTATAAAAGCAAAATATGACTGGGTGCAATGGCTCACACCTGTAATCCTAGCACTTTGGGAGGCCGAGGTTGGCGGATTGCCTGAGCTCAGGAGTTCGAGACCACCCCGGGCAACACGGTGAAACCTCGTCTCTACTAAAATACAAAAATTTAGCCGGGCATGGTGGCACATGCCTGTAGTCCCAGCTACTTGGGAGGCTGAGGCAGGAGAATCGCTTGAACCTGGGAGGCGAGATCACACCACTGCACTCCAGCCTGGGCGACAAAGTGAGACTCCATCTCAAAAAAAAAAAAAAAAAATGCCACCTAGTCATAGTTATTGTATCCTCCATGTTCCCATTGCATTTTTGCATTTCTAGTATAGCACTTTCATTTTAATGCTTTATGTACCAAGGTCTGTCTTACCCATATCCTGTACTTATATACTGAGACATGACTTGTAAATTCAAGGTCACTGGAAGTCATGGGAAAGGTGAGTGTCCAGCTTGCCTTCTAGCTTTGCAAAGGGAAGTGCTATTCATCCACTATGCTTTAGGCTCTTTGGGAACAGAGATTTTATCTCATACCCCTAACTCTTAGCACAGTGCTTTACATGTGAAAAGAAATTGTTGTAATAAATATTAATAGATGTACCTAAAGAAGCTGAGAAACAATAGATGCAACACTTTTCTTCTAACACTAACAAACTTATAAGTTTGATTTGTTCTGCTGCATAGTCCAAAATGATTTAATTCATTTTCTAGTGCTCTGCAGATCTCTTCCATTATATTAAAGTTTAACTCCTTAAGTCATCCATTCAGTCCTTAAACAAACATTCATTGAAAATTTACTATGTGTCATATGCATCGTTAGCTGCTGGAGCTACAAAGACAGATAAGACAGTTTTGCCCTGGAGATGCTCATTATATGGGTGGGAGGCACTTATAAACAAACACTGGTAGTACAGCTTGTTAGTTCAATGATTGAGATATGCACATAAAACAATGAAGCTGGCCAAAAAATCTATTTTTGTATTTTGGGGTTTACAGGAGAAGTCTCCCAGAGGAGGAGGCCCCTGAGCTGAGTGTCAAAGAGCTGGCAATGAATTAGTCAGGCAAAGCATATTCCTGACAGAAGTGCAATGTGAATAAAGGGACAAAGGCAAGAATAGCACAGTGCACCACAGAGTTCAGCATTGCTGGAGGGTAAAGCTGTGGCAGGGAGTGGTGAGCGATGAGGCTGGAGGGGAGGGCAAGAAGCAGGTCATGAGTGCATTGCTGGCTGCCTTACCAGCTTAGCCTCTCTCCCGTAGGCAGCGGGGAGCTGCTGAAGGGTTTTAAGCAGTGACATTACTGGAGATTATTTTAGTGGCACTAGAGAGAACGAATTTGAGGGAGACAAAAATGTGAAAAAGTGTAACTTCTTAGGAGGCATTTGCATAAATGAGTAATAGACTTGTGTTTATATTTAATAATCATAGCTAACATCTACTTAGTACTTACATGACAGGTAGTAAGTAAGCATAATGCGATAGTCTTAATATTTCACACAATCTTATGAGTAAATATTAGTATTATTTTCATTTTACAGCTAATGAAACAGACATAAACAGTTAAGTAATTTGCCCAGGGCCAGTATCAACCCAGGCATTCTAGTAAGTCTTATGTTCTTTTTTTGAGACAGGGTCTCATTCTGTTGCCACTGGAGTTCAGTGGCATGATCTTGGCTTACTGCAACCTCCCTGCCTCAGCCTCCTGAGTAACTGGAATTACAGGTGTGCACCATTACTGCCCGGCTAATTTTTGTATTTTTAGTAGAGACGGGGTTTCACTGTGTTGGCCAGGCTGGTCTCTAACTCCTGACCTCAAATGATCCACCTGTCTCGGCCTCCCAAAGTGCTCGGATTACAGGAGTGAGCTACCACGCCTGGCCAAATCTTATGTTCTTAATCACTATCCTGTTCGTTTAATTTCTGTTTCCTGTATTAGAGTGAAGCTCTATAGAGACAAGGACTATGTTGATGATGTTCTCCACTGTGCCAACACAACTATTTGTTGAATAAAATCAGTGAATAACCTAAGTGGAACAAATAGTGGATTAAATTATGTACAGATTTAAGAAATCGTCATGCACTGCTTAACTATGGAGACACTCTCTGAGAAATTCATTGCTAGGCAATTTCATGATTGTGTGAACATCATAGAATGTAGTCACACAAAACCTAGAGGATATAGTGTACTACACACATAGGCTATATGTTATAATCTATTGCTCCTAGGCTACAAACCTGTAGAGCATGTTACTGTGCCAAATACTGTAGGTAATTGTAACACAATGGTAAGTATTTGCGTATCTAAACATAGTAAAGGTAATGTGTTGCCTTAGGACGATGTTAGGTGTTATGACTGCTAGGACATCACTAGGTGACAGGAATTTTCCAGCTCCAATGTAATCTTATGGGATCACCATCATACATGCAGTCCATCATTGACCAAAATGACATGACTGCAGTTGGATGCAATATTGGCATCCAATTATTTGGCCAGCTTTGGTGATTGTTATGGACTGAATGTTTGTCTTCCCACAAAATTCATATGTTGAAGCCCTAACGACACCCAGAGAGGCCTCTAAGGAAGTATAGTAGTTAAGATTAAATGATGGCATAAGGGTGGGCCCTAATCCAACAGGATTGATGTCTTTCTAAGAAGAGAGGACCAGAGCCTCTTGCTGTCTGTGGACAGGCACTGAGGAAAGGCCATGGAGAGAAGGCACCCACATGCAAGCCAGGAAGAACGTCCTCACCAGAAACTGAGTTGGCCAAAACCTTGATCTTGGATGTCAAAGCCTTGAATTGCGAGAAAATAAATTTCTGTTGTTTAGGTCACCAGTCTATGCTATTTTCTAATGACAGCCTGTGCAGACGACAATGATTAATAGGATGAGGTGAATGCAAAGGAAAGCTTTCTAGTCTGGGAGACTAAAGGGACAAGTGGTGCCACTTACTGGGGACAGAGGCCCATGAAGAGGAAGAGGAGAGATTTGCTGGGATCAAGGAACAACATTAATTATTCCGTACTTAGGGTTCACCTCACTCAAACATAGAAATATAGAAGTTAGGTATTTAAAACCATTTATTCAATAAATGGTTATACATCCCCTAGCCATGGCGGTCACTATACTTGTCCTGAGAATACAAAATAAGTAAGATTCATTCTCTGTCCTCAAGGAACTTACAGTCCAGTGGTGAGAAATATTGTTCCCTTTTGTAAACCTCACACTCTAGTGTGAAAGACCATTTTCCTCTTCCCCACTTCTAAAGACTTGCAACTCATAAGAAGTAAAAAGATAAAATCCCATATCATCACCTGTAACTGCAGAGTTGTTTAAGATTGGACAAGAGAAGGTATATAGAAATGTTTTATCAAGTGCAATATGCATGTTAGCAATTACTGTAATTATAAAGCTACATTACTAACCTGCAGAAACTGGAGGTGAATCAGCCATGGGCAGCAATCAGAGGTGAAAAGGCTACCTTTGAACCCTGTGGGTGGCAGGAATTCCAGGATGGAGGAAGGAATAAGACAGGTGTAGCAGGGAAAGAACAGGCTTTCGGGTCCTACAGATGTAGTTCACATCACAGTTCAGTCAGTTATTAGTTATGGAAAGTTGTACAAGTCATGTTATTGATCCGAGCTTTAGTTTCTTCATCTGTAAAATGTAGTTAATGACATCTACCCAGGAGGGTTGTTCTGAGTATGTAAAGGGCCTGGCATGGTGCCTGGAAGAACTGTTGGTGCTCAATTAATGGTAACTGTGGCTCCTATTAATATCGTCATTTTCCTCTTCTACCTTCGAAGGGATTTGTTGGTGGTTACGTTACTTGAGAAGCAAGGAAGTAAGGAAAATGGAAGAGCTATTAAAGACCAGCTTTAAAAATTATTTTTTTCTTATTTATTTATTTATTTTGAGACAGAGTCTTTCTCTGTCACCCAGGCTGGAGTACAGTGGTGCGATCTCAGCTCACTGCAACCTCCGCCTCCTGTCTCAGCAATTCTCCTGTCTCAGCCTCCCAATTAGCTGGGATTACAGGTGTGTGCCACCACACCTGGCTAATTTTTGTATTTTTAGTAGAGATGGGGTTTCACCATGTTGGCCAAGCTGGTCACGAACTCCTGACCTCAGGTGATCCACCCACCTCGCCCTCCCAAAATGCTGGGATTACAGGCGTGAGCCACTGCGCCCAGCCAAAAACGTTATTTTTAAAGGTAAAGGAAAGCAGTTCAACCCAGCTTTCACCTCCTAACCTATGGTGCAAATGTATAACTCCTAAAGAAAATGACCACTATGTTATATGGCTTGCAGCCTGAGAACATCCACCTTGTTCATTATGTCTTATATTCTATCTTAAGTAGATCTACCAAACACTGTTAATAAGGGGTCTCTGAAGGCAATGCTTCTCAAACTTTAATGTTACATAGGAGCCACCTGGCAGCTTGCTAAAATGCAGATTTTCATTCAGTGGATTTAGGGTGAGGCATAAAATTCTGCATTTCTAATAAGTTCCCAGGTGAGACTCATGCTGCTGTTTCACGGACCTTACTTTGAGGAAGTAGCAAGGCTATGAAAGGAAGTGGAAATATCTTCCTTGGTATAGTATTCTCTGTAATGGCTTGCTTCTCTTTAGTGCTCTACCTAAATACAAAGTAGCTATTAATAGAACACTAAAGGAGCTTTTTTCGACCAGGTTTAGAAATTCTGCACAGGGATTCATTTCAGATCAATATCAACTTTTTGGAACAGCTTACTATTTACAAGGCAGTGTGTAAGGTGCTGGGGATATAAGAGTTGATATGACAATTCCTGCTTCGAAAGACTGCTCATTATGCCCTGTATATTGCTAACCTCCTGAGGACAGTCTTCCTGTCTCCCTTGTTGCCTAAAACTGTATAGATGTTTAAAAAATACTAAATGAGGCCAAGTGCAGTGGCTCATGCCTGTAATCTCAGCACTTTGGGAGGCCAAGGCAGGTGGATCACCTGAGGTCGGGAGTTCGAGACCAGCTTGGCCAACATGGTGAAACCCTGTCTCTACTAAAAATACAAAAATTAGCCAGGCGTGTTGGTGCACTCCTGTAATCACAGCTACTTGGGAGGCTGAGGCAGAAGAATCACTTGAACCCAGGAGACAGAGTTTGTAGTGAGCCAAGATGGCGCCACTGCATTCCAGCCTGGGCGACAGAGTGAAACTCTGTCTCAAACAAACAAACAAACAAACCTAAACAAATGAATGAATGAGTTCACAGGAGTTTCATTTAAAACATCTTCTGCCAGCACATGACAATGAGACACTATCTTAACTGCTCTGTATCTTAACTATCAGTTTTAAGAGGTGACTGAGTTAAAATGAGGCCATTAGGGTGGGCTCTAATCCAATCTGACTGGTGTCCTTGTTAGAAGAGAAAATTTGGACACACAAGGAGACACCAGGGATGCATGCATACAGAGGAAATACCATGTCAGGACACAGTTAGAAGGTGGTGACTGCAAGCCAAGGAGAGACGCCTCAGAAGGAACCAAACCTGCCAGACACCTTGATCTTGGACTGCTAGCCCCCAGATCTTTGAGGAAATAAATTTCTGTGGTTTATGCCACCCAATGCCCAGATCTAAGACCCTACTTCTGTAAGATATACAAAATGTAAGCATAATTCTAAGAGTGGATAGATGAACCTCAAGTTGCAGTGGGAACTATGAATGCAAGGATTAAGGCGAGATGGACTGAACAGGGTGAGACAGCAACCGAAAATGGACTAAAATAGCTGCCATATATACATTTCTCTCCCTTCTCATCATACCAACACAAAGTCTAGGGCTGTTCTCTCAAATCTGAGACTGAAAGTAGCTTTTAGACCTTTTTCCCCCCTTCCAGGCTACATTTTAATATTTAATATGATTTCAAAAATTGTGGCAGGAAAAAGACCCCAGATTTGTTTGTATTCAAAGTTCTAAAGATTATTTATGATGTTAAAGTAGTGAGATTGAATTTTCCCTTCCCTCCCTCCCTCCCTCCTTCCCTTCCTCTCTCTCTCTTTCTTTCTTTTTTGAGACAGGGTCTTGCTCTGTTACCCAGGCTAGAGTTCAGTGGCACAGTCATAGCTCACTGCAGCCTCGGGCTCAAATTATCATGACATTAAATTTTTGACAAAAAATTTATACAAAATGCAGTTAAATGAGAGTACTGCTAGCCATTAGGAAGCTATATCTGAAGGCTGAATCTGAAGTCAAGGGATTGATTTTTTTGGTTTTTGTTTTTAATAAACATTCCAACTCATATCAGATGAATGCCTCCTTCAAAGGAGTCATTCTGGGAAGTTCTACACTTATTCTAATTATGTCCCTGTTTTCAAATTATGATGTCTGGTGTTGCTTTCAGGGTTTGTGAGATAGTCTTTTGAATGCTCTCAGTGTTGACTCTTGAAAGTAGATTTGATTTTAAAAAACAATCAAGGGTTCTGGGCCAAATCTGGTGAACTAGGGGGGCGGTCAAACTGTGTAATGCCAAGAGGGGTGACTCTAATGTATCCAGGCTGATTTTTCTTGAGTGAATTTGTAGTCACCAGAAGGCACTTTCTGAAGACAAACTCAGACATGAAGTAAACATGTTATAAGCATGACATCAAGCTTGAGTTTGGGGAGGAGAGTTGGAAGATGGTGACTGCGCTGAAGGAAACCCCACTCATTTGGGTATGCAAGTTTTCTAGGATCTCCTCTACCCAGAATATTTCTTCAGGTCCAGATCTATCCTATTTCACAGGACCACAGTTCCCAGACTTACAAGGATCCTACTGCCTTAGTCAACTTTTAACCCCCAACCTGAGTACTTCCCTCCCCCCCGGGCAAAGACAGGGTCTTGCTCTTTTGTACAGTGGTGGGATTACAGCTCATTGCAGCTTTGAACTCCTGGGCTCGAGTAATCCTCCCGCCTCAGCTTCCCAAAGTGCTGGGATTAGAAGCATGAGCCGCCGCGCCCGGCCCTGGACCTGAGTACTTGATATGTGTGCAATCAATACCTGATGGGAAATTAAGTATGGGGAAGAACGTCTAAGGTGTCTGGGTTTAGTCTACATGATTCAAAAGGCAGAAGAGGTAGAAGGATTTGGAGACACAAATTCTGCTCTATATGAGGAAACATTGTCAGCCACTGGAGCTGTCCAGCAATGGAATTAGTTTGCTCTGTAAATAGTGAGCTTTCGGCCCTGGGAGGAGTTTAAAGCAAAGGCTGCTTGTATGGGAACCTGCAGAGGTGTCTCCTGTAATAGGTGGGGAGCTATGCAATGACCTTCAAGGGCTATCTCCCACCTACACAGTATCTGACATTTGGTAGGCCTTGGAAAAACCTGGTAGAATGGAACAAATAAGGAATATGGTGCATCTTGTGAATCAAGTAGAGAGGAAAGAGGCCTGGGGCTCAATCAGGAGCAAGAAGTGAGGCAGAAGTGAGATGAAAATAGCCAGGGAGCCAAGAGGTAGAGTCTTCCTTGGGTTTTTAGTACCATAGGAGAGAAATTGCTTTGGGTACCTAGAGCCTCACGTGGTTAGGAAAGGATAATACCTTTGAAGGGGATAGGAGTTGGGGGAGAAGATAGACTACTGCTCACCCTTCTTAAACTCCTCCAGAACCGTGTCCAGTCGGGTGTCATTGAAAACACAATGCAGGGGCCGGTTGTAGAAGCGGGTGACAGTGAGGAGCGGGGTGCAGTCGTCGGGGTCCACGAAGGCCAAGTCCTTGACAAATAAAATGTCCACAATGTTGTGCCGCTGGTCACCCTCGTACACTGGGATGCGAGTGTAGCCGCTGCGCAGGATCTCGGAGACAGTGGCGAAGTCGAGCACCGCGTCTGAGCGCAGCATGAAGCAGTCTCCCAGGGGGGTCAGCACCTCCTCCACAACTTTGGTGCGCAGCTCCAGGGCACCCTGTATGATGTTGAGCTCCTCCTTCACCAGGTCACTGTAGGGGTCTGCGGCCCGCAACGTCTCCAGCAACTTCTCCCGCGTGTAGAAGGTGCTTATCTCCTGGCGCAGCGCCCAGTCCAGCAGGCGGCCCAGCGGGTAGCACACGGGGAAGGCGGCTGCCATCAGAAGCCGGGTCAGGCACACGCTGTGCGAGGCGATGGCCAGCCCGTGCCGCGAACACACTGAGTAGGGGCAGATTTCGGCGCCCAGGAATACCGCGCCGGTGCACACGAGCGCCGGCAGCCACGGGAAGTGGATCCCCTCTTCGCTGTAGTCTTCCCCGGTGCCCCCGAAGCCCGGCGGCAGCGAGGTGTACAGCCAGCCAGCCAGGGCCGCGTTGGCTCCGGCTTGGCCCAGGAGTAGGGTGCAGAGCAGATGGGTCCCCCTGCCGCGAACGGCCTGCACGCGGCGCGCCTGCTCCTGCTCGGCGGCCGAGCCGCTGTTCCGCAGCACCCGTAACTCCACCGGGTCCAGCGACAGCAGGCTCAGGCGCAGGCCGCTGAACAGGGCCGACAAGGCTAGCAGCAGGAGCGCCCCGAGCGCCCGCAGCCACGCAGGGGGCAGCAGGTCCCCGCCTGGGCCGTACAACCGCGGGCGAACGCGCAGCAGGAAGCCGCCGGCGGCGCCGTGGTGGTGCCACGCGCGCCCATCCCAGGCGCAGAGTGAAAAGAGCTTCCCGCCACCGCCCGCGCCGCCCCGCTCCGCTTCGCCCTTGCGCAGCTCCCGCACTCGCACCTGGACCAGGGCCGAGCCTGCCACGCCCCCGGGACGCAAGGGCCCCAGGACTTCCACGTCCGATGCCCAGTCGCTCTGCTCCCTGCAGCGCTGCGGTCCCGGGGGGCGAGTGGGGACCGCGCTGGGGGCCACGCCGCCACCGCCCGGGGGCTCCTCGATGAACACGAGCCGCGGAGCCCAGTCGCCGGTGCCATTCTCCCCCGAGTTGAGGGTCGGTGAGGGCACCGGTGCGGCGGTGGCCGGCGGTCCTGGCTGGAAATAGACACGCAGGAGGAAGCTGGTGCCTTCGGCGGCGCGCAGGGTGCCCCCCTCCAGGGACACGCGGCCTCCAGCAGTGTCCTCGGGCCGCAGGCCCAGCAGCCAGGCGGCGGCGGCCGGGGGCCGAGGAGACAGGGAAAAGAAGAGCAGGAGCACAGCGCCTCGGCTGCAGCAGTCCCGGAGCCTGACACCCACCGCTGCTGCCGCCGCCGCGGCCGCCGCCATCCTGCACCCAGCGCAGCTGCACGTGATACTGCAGGAAGCCGAGCGAGAGCTGGAGGGAGGAGGAGCCGGAGCTGGGAACCCAGCCGCAGGCAGGTCACCACGTGTACGCCCACTGCGCGCGTGGGCTGGTGGCGGTGGGCATTCAGACTCCACCTGGGCAGGAGGTCCCCGCTGGAGGCTGGAGGTGGCCAGGCATCACCGCACTGTGCGTAGCGGGTACACACTTCGGTATATCTGAGATGCAGCCTGAAAAGTCTGGGTTTGCAGCATGGCCTCCTACTCCAAAAGTAAGGTGCTCCTCTGCGAACTCCTACCCGGCAGTAATTCCCTGCCGGCTCCACTGCTTCCCCATTGGCCCGGGAAATTTCCCAGCTTTTCGCTTCTCCTGCCACTTGCATTCCCCCTTCTGGTCAAAAGAATATTCTGGAGTCAAGTCTTGAATATGTGAAAACTTTTAGCCTCAACTCCAGCCGACCTTTCATTATTGTAAACATTTCTGGATTATTTAAGTTCAATTCTTAGTTAAGATCCGAATGTCCATCAATAAGAAACTGTTGAAATAAGTGAAACCACTGTGCAATGGAATACTATGCGGCAATAAAAAATAATGCGGTGGATCTGTTGTATATGTGATACGGAAAAAAATCTCCAAAGTAATTGTAGAAACAAAGTAAGGTGCAGAACAGCAAGTATAATATGCTACCATTTGTGTTAAAAGTATTTATGTATAAATTTGTACACACACACACACTTATATGAGATTTATTTATTTATTTATTTATTTTGAGATGGAGTCTTGCTCTGTCGCCCAGGGTGGAGTGCAGTGGCACAATTTTGGCTCACTGCAACCTCCACCTCCCGGGTTCAAGCGATTCTCCTACCTCAGCCTCCTGAGTAGCTGGGATTACAGGCGTGCGCCACCGCGCCCAGCTAATTTTTATATTTTTAGTAGAGATGGGGTCTCACCATGTTGGCCAAGCTGGTCTCGAATCCCTGACTTCAAATGATCCATCTGCCTCGGCCTCCCAGGGTGCTGGGATTACAGGCGTGAGCCACCGCGACCCGCCGTTTACATCTTTTAATTAATTTATTTATTTTGAGACGGAGTTTCGCTCTTGTCACCCAGGCTGACGTGCAATGGCGCGATCTCGGCTGACTGCAACCTCCGCTTTCCAGGTTCAAGCGATTCTCCTACCTCAGCCTCCTGAGTAGCTGGGATTACAGGCGCCCGCCATCACGCCCGGCTAATTTTTTTTTTTTTTTTTTTTGGTAGAGACGGGGTTTCACCACGTTGGCCAGGCTGGTCTCGAACTCCTGACCTCAGGTGATCCGCCTGCCTCGGCCTCGCAAAGTGCTGGGATTACAGGCATGAGCCACCGTGCCTGGCGGGTTACATCTTAATTATAGTACAATATCAAAAGCAGGAAGTTGATATTGGTGTAATGTGTGTATATAGTTCTCTATCATTTTATCACATGTATGGATGTATGTGACCATCACTGCACTCAAAATACAGATCTATTATCACCAAGATCTGGGAGGGAGACTTTCTTATTAAATTCCTTATATTGTTTGAATTTACTCGACTATATTATTTTTATGCATTTATTTTTAAACTTTATATAGTAAAATTCACTTTTTGGTGTACTGTTCTATGAATGTTGACAAATGCATATACATGTAAACATCACAATAAAAAGTAATTCCATCACCACCACCCCCCAAATTCTCTTACCGTCCTATTGTATGTAGTCAACCCCTCCCTTCGTCTTATCCTCTGGGAACTACTGATCTGTTCTCCCCTATAGTTTTCTTTTCCGGATTATCATATAAATGGAGAATACAGTCTGTAGCCTTTTGGGTTCTCCCTTCCTTTACTAAGTTAGCATAATGCATTTACGATTCATCTATGTTGTTGTGATTTTCAGTAGTTCATCCTTTTGTATGGCTGAGTAGCATTCCATTATATGGATGTGTCACTGTTTGTTTATCCATTCAATAAAGGATATTTAAGTTATTTCCAGTTTTTAGCAATTATTAATAAAGTGGCTATGAACATTTGTGTGATGGTTTTTGTGAGAACATAAATTTTTATTTCTCTTGGGTAAATTTATCATAAGTCTGTATTACATTTTAAAATATAGTAATCCTAACTACTTGGTAGGCTGAAGTGGGAGGATCTCTTGAGGCCAGGAGTTAGAGACCAGCCGGAACAATGTAGGGAGGCCCTGTCTCTAAAAAATTAAAAATTAAAAAAAATTAGCCAGGCATGGCGACACATGCCTGTAGTTTCATCTACTTGGGAGGCTGCAGCAAGAGGATCACTTGAGCCCAGGAATTCGAAGCTGCAGTGAGCTATAATCGCATCACTGCACTCCAGCCTGGGCAACAGCATGAAACCTTGTCTCTAAAAATAATTAATAAATTAAAAAGGAAGAGTTATTTTACATACCACCCTTGGCACCTGGGTTTAGTGTAAAATCATCCCTATGTGTGAAATCTCATTTTCCGTGGCATTTGTGACATGCCATTGTCTCAGAATACACTAGATCCTGTCCACTATAAGCTGCTTTTTGCATGGGCTACTTAAGAGACAGAAGGGAGGTTTAATCTTATGAGGGAACATTGAGGCATTTATTCGAAGTATAAGGGAAGGAGAGAACTGGGGTCAACCATATGATTGTTTTTCTTCCTTTCTTTCTTTCTTTTTTTTTTTTTATTGAGACGGAGTCATGCTCTGTCACCCAGGCCGGAGTGCAGTGACGCGATCTTGGCTCACTGCAACCTCCACCTCCTGGGTTCAAGCAATCCTCCTGTCTCAGCCTCCCAAGTAGCTGGGATTACAAGAGTGTGCCACCACACCTGGCAAATTTTTGTGTTTTTAGTAGAGATGGGGTTTCACCATGTTGGCCAGGCTGGTCTCAAACTCCTGACTTCAGGTGATCCACCTGCCTCGGCCTCCCAAAGTGCTGGGATTACAGGCGTGAGCCACCCGCCCAGCTGATTGTTTTTCTTAAGTGCAAAAAAGCGCTTACTTCTCTCCTGACACTTAGACTTCTTTCCCTTCCCAACCTAAACTCCTCAGCACAAAGATACCCGCTATCCTAAGGGCTTTCCCAGCTCTTTTAGACCACAGAACATTATCATCATTACAATACCACGTAACATCTTTAACAAGCTTTAAAGTTATGAAGGAATTTCTTATTTATTATTCCATATACACAAGAGCCCTGGGAAGTAGGTATAATTATACCCATTTTACAGATCAGGTTAAATGACTGGTAAAACTTCTTTGGACCCTAGCTTGATGCTTCCTTTATCTGGTAGAGCTGACGGAAATAAAATGTTTAAAAAATATTAGAGCAGGAATTAAAAAACTGAAATTTCTGGTTATAAAGTATTACATGCTTATTAACAAAAATTTTAATGCAGAAGAACATAAATAAAAATACACCATGACCCACCAACTAGAGATAAACACTGTTAACATTTTTTATACTACTTTTTACATTTTCTACATAGATAAGTAATGGAGAAATACATGCACACACACACACACACACGTGCTCTCCATATAGTTACATATTTTATAATTAAATATGTATTATACATAATTCTAGTCAGCTCCTGCTACTTAACACATCAAGGGCTTTTTCCCCAATGTAATAAAAATCATTCATAAATGTCATTTAAATAAATCAAATATATATGTATTACATATGTATTGAGAAAGAGAGAGAACTGTAAGAATGAGCCTATTCCCAATTGCACCAGCTCTATTATTAACAAATGTTAGGCTTGGAAAATCAATCTACTTTTCTGGGCTCATTTCCTCATTCGTGAAATGACAGTTTTAAGCTCCCTACCCTTTCATGAGTCAGTGAGTAAGGGCTAATGTACACTGTGTGAAGATAATCTAGAGAGACTGAGTACTTTTCCTTTTACTGAATAGGAGGTTCTGGAAAAGTACTGGGTTTCCAGAGCTCTGCTGTAACTGAAAGGATTCCTGGGGACAGGTTCAGGCAGTGTGATTCTCCTAAGGAAGAGCTGCCAAAAATAGCTCCCCAGAATCTGAATGTTTACTGTCTTCTTAGCTTACAAGATGGGCACTTCCTCGCTTCTCAGAGAGATGGAGGAAATAATACTTACTTTTAATATCATGACTATACTATTTCAGAATGTACATGTTAAAATGCTTTTGTTTATTTCATTTCTTGTTCATCCATTCCATAAATATTTGTTAATCATCAAAGTGCCAGGCCTTGTGCTAGATATTGGGCATATCTGACACCATCTTTGTCATCTTGGAGCTTAGATTCTCCTGAGGAAGACAGACATAAACCGGAAATTACCTACCTGCCTAATTAATTAATTATTGCCATGAAGGAGCTGTTCAAAGTGCCCTGAGGGTGCATGGGACCCATCATCTAGGGAAGAGGGTCTGGGAACTCTATCCACAAAAATTAGATGTTATAAAAATGGAAGAATTTATACATTAGGAAGAACATAAAATTATTAAATTTTGTATCTTCTATTCCTTTTTTGTACTTTAAAACTATGACAGTATATTAGTAATATTCCTAATAATGTAATCTGTTAGCTTTTTTTTTTTTTTTTTGAGGCAGGGTCTTGCTCCATCGCCCAGGCTGCAGTGCAGTGGCGTGATCTCCACTCACTGCAACCTTTGCCTCTGGGTTCAAGCGATTTTTGTGCCTCAGCTTCCTGAGTAGCTGGGATTACAGAAGCACGCCACCACTCCTGGCTAATTTTTGTATTTTTAGTAGAGATGGGGTTTCGCCATGTTGGCCAGGCTGGTCTCGAACTCCTGACCTCAAGTGATCTGCCCACCTCGGCCTCCCAAAGTGCTAGGTTACAGGCATGAGCCACCGTGCCTGGCCTGTTAGCATTTATTGAGTGTTTGCCATGTGCCAAGTACATTATCCCTCTTAATTCTCACAATAGATGAGAAAATTGAGGCTCAGATTAGGTGACTTTGTGAAAGTCACATGATTAATGGCTAGTGAAGCTCAATGGGACACATAGTTTGAGTCCAAGGTCTACAGTTCCAAAAGTTAGGAAAACGATAATACCAGGTAACCTTTACAAAAGGCCACTATGTTTCATGCATAAATTAACTTATTTAATTCTCATAAGAACCTTTGGAATTAGGTGTTATCATAATTTCCATTTTACATGAGGAGGCTGAGCTACAGAGAAATTAAGTACACTGGTGTCCAAGATTATACAATGAATGGCCAAGGCACTGCCAATACACCACACTATTTTACACAACACTACATTATAGCAATCTGTTGTACTTTTGTTTACACACATCGTTTTACATAGCTGCACTTATAATGTTCCTTTTTTTTTTTTTTTTTGAGACAAGAGTCTCGCTCTGTTGCCTAGGCTGGAGTATAGAGGCACGATCTTGACTCACTGAAACCTCCGCCTCCAGGTTCCAGCAATTCTAGTACCTCAGCCTACCTAGTAGCTGGGATTAAAGGCGTGCACCACCATGCCTGGCTAAATTTTTTTTGTATTTTTAGTAGAGACGGGGTTTCACCATGTTGGTCAGGCTGGTCTCGAACTCCTGTCCTCAAGTGATCCACCTGCCTCAGACTCCCAAAGTGCTGGGATTACAGGTGTGAGCCACTGCGCCTGGCCAGTTGCACTTACAATGTTCTTACCATTGTAGTATTCTTAACTTTTTTTTAACTCCTCATTATAGCATATTTTCCCTCACTAAAACTATAAACATGCTTTTCCTTTTTTCTTCCCTTCTTCCACCCTCAGTTGTTGTTGTTGGTGTGTGTTTGTTAGTTTTATCACAGGCACAGATAATTGAGTTAATCATCTTCCTCAGTTGATGGTTGATGGTACACTAGCATCATTGGCTATAAAAAGCCTCTCTTACCCCATTCTAATCCCCAGTCTCATCCCTTCCCCTTTCAGATAGCCACTCCAATATTGATTGATATATCTTTAAGTATGTATGTATCCTTGTAGAATACTTAGTATTGGTTTGTGTTTTTCTTTTATTGAGATACAATTTACAAACCATAAAATTCATCCTTTTATTTTTCTGTTTTTTAGAGACAGGGTCTCTGGAGTGCAGCACCAGGATCATAGCTCACTGCCCTCTTGACTGCCTGGACTCAAGTGATCCTCTCCAGTAGCTGGGACTACAGGTGCACACCACCATGTCCAGCTAATTGTAATAAAAATAAAAAAAAAAACTTTTGTAGAGATGGAATCTCTCCATGTTACCTAGGCTGGTCTCAAACCCCTGGGCTCAAGTGATCCTTCCACCTTGGCCTCCCAAAATTCTGGGATTACAGGTTTGCGCCACTGTATTCGGCCAAATTGACCCTTTAAAAAGGAAAAATTCAGTGATTTTTTTTTAGAATATTTACACAGTTGTTCAACAATCACCACAATCTAATTCCAGAACATTTTCATCACACCTAAAATAAATCCTGTACCCATTCACAGTTTCTCTCCAATCCCTGCCCCAAGCCTCCAGCAACCACTAATCTACTTTCTGCCTGTGTATGTGTTTTTAATTTTCATAAAATTACTATAGAACTTGTCCTTTTTATTACATTTTCACACAACACTCTGTGTAAAATCTGTTCATGTTGCTGAACGTATAGCTGGTTTGGTGTTCTAAATGCTGCATGGTGTTCCATAGTGGATAGCCAGAATGTTATTTTTATCCATTCCTTTGGAGATGGACATTTAAGTTACTTCCCATTACTACTGATAGAGCCACAGGGGAATCCTTGACCATGATCTTACTGGATCTGTGAGGCAATTCCTTTAGGATGTAGCTGCCATGGGACTGTTGGACCACAGTGTATGCGTTCCCTCAGAATTGCCTCTCCACCAGTAGTGCCTAAGGTTTTCTGTTTTCCTACATCATAGCCTACATTTGGTATTGTTCACTTCCCAATTTGGCTAAGCTAATGGGCATGAAGCGTTATCTCATTCTTTCAGTTTGAATGTCCCTGATTCCTAACAACTTTGTGCCTCTCTTCATATATTTGTTAGCCTGTCAGGTGTGAAATTGGGAGCTAAAGTTTTCAGCTGGCATTTAAGGTACATCTGTTCTCTATTATAGGGCATTCCACATTCAACAGAGCTTCACATATGAAAACATGAACCTATGCTTTACTGTGCTTGAATCTCTGGACCCAACTCAGGCAGAAGCTGAGAGATACAGCTTCCATTCCACAGTGTAGAGTTGGCTGCTTCTACACCTGCCAGTAGAGCAGGTACAAGACCATCTAGACTTGTTAATGCCGACAAGAAATGATTAATTTTGTGTATAGCATTTCTGAGGTAAGCTGTTTCTATCAGTTAATAAGAGAAGCTGCCTAGGCTAGGGAGATTTTTTGTTTTACCAAAAAGGTTAAGAAGTTTTTCTGGAGGGAATGAGTAATCCACAGCTTTTGGGCAGTCAGAAGGTCAATCCCACTTTGGCTACCAGTTTACTCAACACCTGAATCAGGGTGGGGTGTCAGACTAGGTCAACAGAGAGCCAGAAGCAGAGGTGATAAATTCTAGCCAAACCGAAAAAAGATTGAAGACGTTTTCTTTACTGAGAGGAGATGAAAGGATGGAAAGCTGTATATATGTAATTGGCTTTGAGTGTTGTTTGTCAGGATAATCAGGCTCTTAAATGGGTAGGGGGAAAAGGTCTGTCTGATTGAGACAGCCTTTAGCACAGTTAAACATTCATTCTTTTTCTTTATAGAGCAATGGTTCTCAAATTTTATTGTACATAAACATCATATAAATCACCTGGGGAGTTTGTTGTTGTTGTTGTTGTTGTTGTTGTTGGTTCTTTTTTTTTTTTCAGGTTCTAAAAAATATACAGAAAACTGGTAACAGTGGTTGCCTCACTGAAAAGAAACCGGTAGCTAGGAAACAGGGATAGGAGATTTTTTGACCTTTTAAATTTTGTACAATTAACGTACTTATCCCAGTCAAAAATAATTGACATTCCTATCTCCATTTGCATTATGTATGTCTAGAATAGGGCCTAAGAATCTGCATTTTACTAAGCATCCCATGTGATTCCAATAGAGCTGACTGTTGGCTCAGTCTTTGAGAAATAATGATATAAAACAAAGGTTCTTAATCTTTTTGCAGTGTGTGAGATTCTTTTTTGTGTGTGTGAGACAGAGTCTCACCCTGTCCTCCAGGCTGGAGTGCAGTGGCGCCATCTTGGCTCACTGCAACCTCCGCCTTCTGAGTTTAAGTGATTCTCCTGCCTCAGCCTCCTGAGTAGCTGGAATTACAGGTGTGTGCCACCATGCCCAGCTAATTTTTTGTATTTTTAGTAGAGATGGGGTTTCACCATGTTGACCAGGCTGATCTCGAACTCCTGACTTCAAGTGATCCACCTGCCTCGGCCTCCCAAATTTCTGGGATTAGAGGCGTGAGCCACCACACCTGGCCCTCCATGAGATTCTAATGAGAGCTATTGGCCTTTTCCCTAGAAAACTGCATATCTACTCAAGGATACAACAATGTTAATTTATTGTGAATACAATCACAGGGGTGCATGGGAACCCCAGTGTGCCATCGTGTCTGTGATCCCCATGTTAGGGATCCCTGATATAGACATTTTGTTCATGTCAAGGACTGTGTGTGTGTGTGTGTGTGTGTGTGTGTGTGTGTAAGAAAAGAGTAGAGACAAATTCTACTTTTGATGAATGGGCTCCTTCTCCATTTCTAGAACCAATACCTAACTAATAAAGGAACAGAAGATGAGTCCCTCAGCACTTCCCTTCTAGCTACATCCTGTCCACAAACATGTTAATGAAATTTTCAGATGACACTAAAAGAAGACATGTTGCAAACACCAGGAAAGTAAAATAAATTATATAAAACATTAACAATATGGCAGAGGGAATGACACTCAACTTGGAAAAATTTCAAGCAGAAGCATCTGGGGAAAAATAATTGGAAAGAAATTTTTTCATGAGGCGGGCAACACCTGGAAAACAGTAATAGCTGTAAGAGGCCCTAGGGTGATGCTAAATGGCAAATTAGATACATGTCTGCTGTATAATATTGTGAGAAAAATATGACATTGGTCTCTTGTCATAAAGCAGGGAGATAATAGCTCTTTCTGTTTGGCCCTAGTGAGATAGCACCTGGGATGCTGTTTTAAGTTTTGGACACTTCATTAGCAGAAAATTGTTGATTAGCATTTGGGAATTTGGAGGCAAGAAACAAGAACAATTAAAAGCATTTATTTGACATGACTCAACCATTTAAAACCAATGGCACAAAGGGAAAAAGAAATAATACAGCTCTGTACTTAGATTGTGTTGCTGAGAAGTCAAAGGTCTCTTCAACTTCAGCATCGAATCACTGATTATTAGAAGAGGAGGGACTTTGGAGATGAATTTTCATGAACTTTAAGTTCCTGGGCAGTGCTGAAATTTTGTTAGCTGAGCAGGTTGCTTGGGGCAATGCATTTCACAGAGATCTAGAAAGGGTCTTCTTAAAACATAGACCTGATAATATTATTTACCTGCTTAATACCCTTCAGTGTCTTCCCATGACATTGAAAATAAATCCAGCCTCTTAACAGGATACACATGGTTTTGCTGAATCAGGCCTTCACCTAAATGATGGCTTAGCTTCCGCCACTCTCCCCTGAGCTCACCAATCATCAGCCACACTGGCCTCTTGTTGTGAGAACTCTCCAAGCTCTTTCCATCCTTATGATGGTTCTTATGGTCTTCAAATTTGCTGCTTATTTCTCCAGCTCCTTGCATTGTTGATTCCTTCTCATTTTTCCTCTGTCCCTGACCATCTTACCTAAAGTCTCCATCCTCATTCCGTTATTCTCTTTATAAGATTATCATACTCTGCGGTTATCTTTATTTACTTGATTGTTTATTATATTCCCCCTCATTAGGATATAAAGTCCAGGAGAGCAAGGATCTTCCCTGTCTCACTCATTGCTATATTCCCAGTGCCCAGCATACAGTAATAGCCAACACTTATTGAGTTCTTAGAATATTCCTGACTCTGTTCAGTATTTTACATACATCAACTCATTTAACCCTCACAGTAACCCTATGAGACAGGACCATTATCTCTACCTTACAGATAGGGAAAGTGAAGTGAAAAGTGGCTAAGTATAACTTGCCTAAGGTCACACAGCAAGTAAGTGGTTGAGCCAGGATTTGCATCTCAGCAGTATGACTTGCCCAGGGTCTAGAGAACAGGCAATGAATTAATTACTTGGATAGTTATGGATGATTATCTTTTTTCCTATGAGAAATTCTGGTAAATAAGAATTTGCCTCCCTATTTGAGAATGTGTGATCTTGAGTCATTTCTTTTGGGGATAATGAGGAAAAGAGACAGTTTAGGGAGAGGAAAAGGGAAAAAAAAAACAGGAGAGAAAACACGTAAGAACAAGATTTGAGCTTTTTGCGATACAGTCTGGGAGAGGCAAAGGAAGCTAAGAGGAAGTAAAGCAAGGATTTGTTTTCTGGTCTATTAAGAGGCAGGGAATTGGGCTGGTGTAGGAAGAGTTGAGGGCATGTGCCTTGTCATGAACTTATGTATCATGAGCTGAAACAAGACCTATAACCCTGTATTCTGGTTAGAGGATTAAGAAATACCTCTTCAGCTAGGCATAACAGACTAAAGTGTGCCGAAGGCCTTTCTGTATTGAGTACACAAGTGACTCTGTCTCTGTGAACCTGTGGGATCAAGGATAATGGGAGTCAAAGACAACCCTGTGTTACAAAATCAGAAAGACATATTTGGATGGAGGAGCCAATAGGGACATCTTTTTAGTTTGCAGATTATCTGCAACGAAGCAAAACAAATTTCCAATCATCTTGTCAAAACTGGTAAGTTTTTGGCAAGCAAGGGATGATAAATTGAAATTATTTGGACACATTGCTATTATTCACGTAGGTGAATGTTAACATTGACAGCCTTCACTGTTTTATTAGTAAGAGTGAAAACATATCTATAAGGGATTTCATTGGTTCACTCATGGTGGCCTTGGCTTCTTCAAGCCTATTTTTCCTGACTCCCGTCTTGTTTTGTTTTTCTCCTCCGTTCTTTACAAGGCAGAGAGTAATCTTTATACAATATAAATCTAATTATGTTAATCCCCTGCTTAAAACCTTCCAGTGGTGCTCTATTGTTCTTAGGATATATCATATACCCCTTAATATGGCTTCCCAAAGTCCTTCACAAGCTGCCTTTTCCAATCTTTTAAAGATATTTAATTTTATTAACTTGATTTTTTAAATTGACAAATAATAATTGTATATATTCATGAGGTACATAGTGATGTTTTGATACATATACTGTATGGTGATCAGATCAGGGTAATTAGCATATCTATAATCTCAAACATTTATCATTTTTTTGTGTTGGGAAAATTCAGTATCCTCCTTCTAGCTATTTGAAACTATTATTATTGTTAACTATAGTCATCCTACAGTGGTATACAACACTAGAACTTATTCCTCCCATCTAGCTGTCATTTTGTATCCTTTAAAAAAATCTCTCCTCTATGCCTCCCTTCTTGCTTCTCAATAGTGGCAAGTGGGATTTGAACACAGATAGGCTACCTCCAGAACCAATAGTCATAACTACTCCCTGCACTGCCACCATTCAGCCATATTGAGTTTGTTTCAGTTTCTCCAATGAGCCATGCTTTCTCTTGTCTTCTCTTGCTACACGCTGTGGCTTTTGCCTGGAAATTTCTCTGTCCACTTTCCTTGGCTTAGAAAACTCCTCCTTATTTGTATTTTAGGTCTCAGCTTTGAAGTTTCTCTAAGCTTTCCATGATTCCCCAAGTGTGGGTCAAAAGCACCCCCATGTTGCCACAGATTCTTGTTCTTCTCCTGGCATTTATAATATAATTACTATATCCATTATAAAATAATTATATTATTTTACATATAATTATTTTATAATTAATTATAAATGTCAGGAGCACCCCCATGTTCCCACAGATTCTTGTTCTTCTCCTGGCGTTTAGAATATAATGGATAATAGCTTATTTTTATTTAATGGTAAGTAAACTGGCCAGTAATAGCCAGTTTTATTTATTGCCGGGAATTTGGATTCTGTCAAATTCTTGCCAATAAATGATGCATATGATGATTCCAGAGACTGGAATATTTCCAGTATCCACCACACAGTAAGAGCTGGGAATATATTGTTTGTATAAACAAACAGAAGATTTAAAAATCCATAGTAGGGGGTTCTCCCACTCTGGGAGTTTTCAGAAAGTACACGCTAGGTGGCCAGGAGAGGTGGCTCACGCCTGTAATCTCAGCTCTTTGGGAGGCGGAGGCGGGCGGATCACCTGAGGTCAGGTGTTGGAGACCAGCCTGGCCAACATGATGAAACCCTGTCTCTACTAAAAATACAAAAATTAGCCATGCGTGGTGGTCGGCACCTGTAATCCCAGCTACTGGAGCGGATGAAGCAGGAGAATCGCTTGAACCCCGGAGGCGGAGGTTGCAGTGAGCGGAGATGGCGCCACTGCACTCCAGCCTGGGCGGGTAGAGGGATACTCTGTCTCAGAACCACCAGCACCACCACCACCACCCAGGCTGGGTTTGGGAAAGGAATACAGTAGTTACTTTCTTGTTTGGCTCTGAGGGGGCGGGGGAAGATACTCTGGGACAAACGGAATCCGGTGCTGTTTTGCTCCGAGGGCTTCCTAGTCAATGGCCCTTCTCTGCTGGTGAATCAATATTTTGTCTGGGTGGGGCTGAGACTGCGAGGTGAGAGGCTGCCGCCACACAGTCCCCTGCATGAGCGCCAGGCAGGCTGCTCGCCCTCAGCCAGGCCCGCCATCGCGGAGCCTCCTCACAGGCCCGGAACTTTTGCCTTTGAAAGCGCTTCAAGGGTCATGGAAAGTTCGAGAGCTTCCTCATAGGCCATGACTCTGCAGCGACCCTTTAACACGTGTTCCGCCTCTGCCCTGACATTCTGTGGCTTGAATGCCTCAGAACAGCGGACTCGAGTCAACAGAGCCTGCGGAAGAATGGTGGTCTCTGGAGCTGAGCTCCTGAGAGGAAAAGGCGCCCGAGCGCACAAGAGCCCGCCTGAGCCCCCGCGGAATGGCAGCGAGAGCAGCCACCCGAGGCCTGGCGGGAGCCTGTGCCCTCCCAGGGGCAGACCGCGGAGGGTCCAAGAAAAGCGATGATTGATGACAGGGGTGAGAAGGCTCTACTTCCAAACAAGAGGGAGCCAGAGAAGATTATTTTCAGCGCCCCCGGGTGGGTGGACAGAAGAGGCTGATGACAGCGCGGAGCCGCCGGCACCCAACAGTGGGCTGAGGGACCCAGGGTTGAGGAACCGGGAGCTGAGGGACCTGGAGATGAGGAAGCCGGAGCTGTGGGACTTGGAGCTGAGGGTCCGAGAGCAGCAGGTGGCGGCTGAGAAGAGAGGTGAGCATCCCCCTCTTTGAGGACTCCTAGAGGGACTAATGGGGAGGGACTATCCCAAGAAAATATGGACTCCCTGTTAATTAAGGGCACAAGATTTGGAACGTGTCTGTGAAGATGCTGTTTGGGGAAGAGGGCTGAAAATCCTGGTTGTATTGGGACTTGCAGTTCTGCAGCCGGGTGACCCTGTTTATGGAACTGAGGAAGAGATTAGTGGGTAGGACTCAACTGAAGAACCTAGTTGTTATAAAATGTTGATATAAAATCGCCATAGAAATAACCACATCGCTGGCTGTGAATCTGCAAGCTTTTTGTGTAGCCCGAGCCCAGAGATTGAGATAGATTTCCTTCTTGCCTGTCTTCATTCCATTCCTTCTACCTGTCCGTCTCCTCCTTTCCTCGCTTCGCTTTTCACCTCTCCCCTGACTGCTTCGCTTCACCATCACTCCCTTCTTCCTTCCATTGTTAAACTAGGAGTTCTTAACCCTAGAATTCTGGTCGTCTGTGAACGACGGTGGAAAGAAAAGAACATCTTTGTTTTGTCTAATATCTGAGTAAATGTTAGCATCTTCTTCAATTATGAAAACAATCACAAAGCACAGTAATATTAGCAGTACCTGTGACTGTCACCAATAGAAATCACAGGAGTGTTAACAGTACCCGTACTCTTGTCACCATGGAAATCATGGAACTGTCATGCACCTTGTGGTATGTAGAAATATTTTTGCTCACGGCTGTGAAATTATGGGGTATTTGACCTGCTGCCTGATCTTTTACTTAATGCATTAACATTAAAGCATATTTAATACTATGTCCCTAGTTTTAAAAAATATCTTGATAACTATACTTAAATAAAATTAGTGTTCTTTGTGTACTTCTCATCCATTCCTACTCTTGCTAAGGTGCATGGAAGGAAAATTGGTGCTGGTCCTGAAGTGATTGACTCAAATCTTGGAGCAACAAATCTTTTTCAGTTTAGGTGGTTTCTTTCTTTCAACCAAATTGAAGAAAGACCTAATGTAGCTATTAACCAATAGATAATTAAACGTAATTTTAAATCATAGATCACCATGGGATGTTTGGTATGTAACTCTGAGGAGATCAAAAAATTTTGTGACATTGCCATTAAAGAAATGGTCACTTTTCCTATCTACTTATTTATGTAAGCAAGCTTTCTCAGAGCTTATATTTAAAAATAAAATAAAAAGGATTTATTTTGTACATTGACTAATACTATTATAAGTGCACAGATTTGTAAAATAAAATCCACATTAATCTCATTAAGAGATACAGCCATACCTCGGGGATACCGCGGGTTTTGTTCCAGACTAACACATTGCAGTAAGTCAAAGTTTTTGGTTTCCCAGTGCATATGAAAGTTATGTTTACACTATATTGTAGTCTATTAAGTGTGTAATAGCATTGTGTCTTAAAAAAACAGTGGACATACCTTAATTTAAAAATATTTAGGCCAGGCTCAGTGGCTTATGCCTTTAATCCCAGCACTTTGGGAGGCTGAGGTGGGAGGATCGCTTGAGTTCACGAGTTCAAGACCAGCCTGGGCAATATGGCGAAACCCTGTCTCTACAAAAAATACAAAAATCAGCCGGGCATGGTGGCCTGCACCTATAGTCCCAACTACCTGGGAAGCTGAGGTGGGAGAATGGCTTGAGGTCAGGAGGCGGAGGTTGCAGTGACCTGAGATGGTGGCACTGCATTCCAGCCTGGGCTGCAGAGACAAACCTTGTGTCAAAAAACCAAAACCAAAAACTTTATTGCTGAAAAATGCTAAAGCTCATCTGAGCCTTCAGTAAGTCATAATCTTTTTGCTGGTGGAGAGTCTTGCCTTGATGTTGGTGTTTGCTGACTGACGGGGTGGTGGCTGCTGAAGGTTGGGGTGGCTGTGAACATTTCTTAAAATGAGATAACAATAAAGTTTGCTTCTATTCACTTAAAAGATTTCTCTGTAGCACGTGATGCTATTTGATAGCATCTTACCTACAATAGAACACCTTTAAAAATTGGAGTCAATCAGCTGGGCGCGGTGACTCATGCCTGTAATCCAGCACTTTGGGAGGTCGAGGCCGGCAGATTATGAGGTCAAGAGATCGAGACCATCCTGGCCAACGTGGTGAAACCCTGTCTCTACTAAAAATAAAAAAAAAATAGCTGGGCATGCTGGTCGTCACCTGTAGTCCCAGCTACTCAGGAGGCTGAGGCAGGAGAATCACTTGAACCCGGGAGATGGAGGTTGCAGTGAGCTGAGATTGCACCACTGTATTCCGGCCTGGCGACAGAGTGAGACTCCGTCTCAAAAAAAAAAAAAAAAAAAAAAAAAATTGGAGTCAGTCATCTCAAACCCTGCTGCTGCTTTATAACTAAGTTTATGGAATATTCTAAATCTGTTGTTTTCATTTCAATAATATTCACAGCATCTTTACCAGGAGTAGATTTCATCTCAAGAAATAGCTTTCTTTGCTTATCCATTAGAAGCAACTCTTTATCCATTCAAATTTTATCCTGAGATTGCAGCACTTCTCTCACATCTTCAGTCTTCACTTCTAATTCCAGTTCTCTTGCTATTCCCACCACATATGCAGTGATGGGAACCTCCACTGAATTTTGGAACCCCTCAGAGTCATCCATGAGCATTGAAATCAGCTTCTAAATTCCTGTTTATGTGGATATGTAGTCCTCCCATGATTCACAAATGCTCTTAATGGCATCTTGTATTAGTCTGCTCTTGCATTGCTAGAAAGCAATACCTCAGGCTGGGTAATTTATAAAGAAACGAGGTTTACCAGATTTAAAGCCTGCACAGTTTTGCAGGCTTTACAGGAAGCACGATACTGGCATCTGCTCAGCTTCTGGGGAGGTCTCAGGAAGCTTACAATCATGGCAGAAGGTGAAGAGGGAACAGGATTGCCACATGATGGCATAAACGACTAGATCTCATGAGAATTCACTGACTATCATGAGAACAGCACCAAGGAGATGGTGCTGAGCCATTCATGAGAAGCCCATCTCCATTATCCAGTGACCTCCCACCTGGCCATACCTACAGTATTAGGGATTGCAATTCAACATGAGGTTTACATCTATAATAATGAATCTTTTGCAGAAGGTTTCCAATTGACTTTGCCCAGACCTGCCAGAGGAATTGCAGTCATAGCCTTATGAAATGTATTTCTTAAATCATAAGACTGAAAATTAGAAATTATTTCTTCATCCATAGGCTACAGAATGGATGACGTGTTGGCACATGTGAAAACAACATTAATTTCCTTGTACATCTGCATCAGAGCTCTTGGGTAACCAGGTACATTGTCAATGAGCAGTAATGTTATGAAAGGAATCTTTTTTTCTGAGCAGTAGTTCTCAACGATGGGTTTAAAATATTCAGTAAAGTTTGCTGTAAACAGATGTGTTGTCATCCAGGCTTTGTGACAACAAAATGGAATATTATTTATACAACACAGGCAAAGTAGATTTAACGTTCTTAAGGGCCCTAGGATTTTTGGAATGGTAAATGAGTGCTGGCTTTAGCCTAAAGTCGCCGGCTGTATTAACCCTTAACAAGAGAGTCAGCCTATCTTTTGAAGCTTCAAGGCCAGGTGTTGACATCTCTCTAGCTATGGAAGTCCTAGGTGACATCTGGTTCCAAGAGAAGGCTGTTTTGTCTACACTGAAAATCTGTCGATTAGTGTAGCCACCTTCATCAGTTATTTTAGCTTGATCTTCTGGATAACTGGCTGAGGCTTCTACATCCAGCACTTACTGCTTCATCTTGTAATTTTATGTTATGGAGATGGCTTTTTTTCTTAAACCTCGTGAACCACACTTTACTAGTCCCAACTTTTCCTGGGCAACTTCCTCACCTCTCTCAGCCTTCATAGAATTGAGGGGAGCTAGGGCCTTGCTCTGGATTAGGCTTTGGCTTAAGGGAATGTTATGACTGGGTTGATCTTCTATCTAGACCACTAAAACTTTCTCCATATCAGCAATAAGGCTATTTCAGTTTCTTATCATTTGTGTGTTCACTGGAGTAGCACTTTTAATTTCCTTCAATAACTTTTTCTTTGTATTGATAGCTTGGCTAACTTTGGCACAAGATGCCTAGCTTTCGGCCTATCTCAGCTTTTGACATACCTTCCTCACTAAGCTTAATTATTTCTAGCTTTTGATTCAAAGTGAAAGATGTGTTGCTCTTCCTTTCATTTGAACACTTAGAGGCCGTTGTAGGGTTATTATTAGGACTAATTTCAATATGGTTATTAATAGGACTAATTTCAATCAGGGAATAGGAGGTCTGAGATGAGGGAAAAGATGGGGGAATGGGCCAGTCAGAGGCGCAGTCAGAACACACACAACATTTATTGGTTAAGTTTGTCATCTTACATAGGCATGGCACCCCTAAACAACTACAATAGTGATACCAGAGATTACTGATTACAGATCACCATAACAAACATAATAATCATAATGAAAAAGCTTGAAATATTAACAAGAATTACAAAAAAGTGACATAGAAACATGAAGTGAGCACATGTTGTTGGAAAAATGGCATTAATGCAGGATTGCCACAAACCTTCAGTTTTGTAAGAAACACAGTGTCTGCAAAGTGCAATAAAGTGAAGCACAATAAAATGAGGTATGCCTACACATTGCCAATAAAATTTTTATGTTCAGTATCTATATACATTTTATGATGTTTATGTTATTTTGCTCAATTGGGTACTAATAGTAATTGTCATGACAATATGACTCAGAAGACTTTTTTATTTTTTAAATACTCAAAGCCTTATGGTCAAAAAAGTTAAAATATTAAGTTTATCATACTTTTTTGTATCAGAGAATTATGATAGGATGATTGATAGATCTCCAAATATAAAAGTATAATACACTCAGATTAAATGCAGTAGGGAAAGTGGAATGAAAAATTATGTTATAGGAGAAATAAAAATGATATGAATTTCTGAAGATCTCATTATTCTGTTTTTAAAATGGATGATGGGTGGCTCATGCCTGTAATCCCAGCACTTTGGGAGGCCGAGGCAGACAGATCACTTGAGGTCAGGAGTTTGAGACCAGCCTGGCCAACAAGGCATAACCTCATCGCTACTAAAAATACAAAAAAATTAGCTGGGCGTGGTGGCTCGTGCTTGTAGTTCCAGCTACTCGGGAGGCTGAGGTGGGAGAATTGCTTGAACCCCAGAGGCAGAGGTTGCAGTGAGTCGAGATCACACCACTGCACTCCAGCCTGAGCGACAGAGCGGGACCCTGTCTCAAAAACAAAAATAAAATGGATGATGCTGGGTGGGTATTAAATCATTCCAATATTTACATTCCACTGGGTAGATCTGAAGGGGTGATATAACAATTTTCTTTAAAAATATCTTTAAAAATTATGCTAAAATTCACTGTATATCCTTTCTAACTATTTACACTTTACAATGAAAAATTTTAGATGTTAATTAATGATGAGCAAAGAACACTGTAGGTTTTTCTTTTCTTTGAAGTATAACATGCACACAGGAAAAACTAATCAATTACAAGGTTACAACTCAATATGTTTTTATATATTTTAGTGGCTCTATATGCCCTGGAGTGGAATTGTTGGATAGGCTGATAATGGCTCCCAAAGATATGTCTATGTCCTCATACCAGGAGGCTGTAAATGTTACCTTATTTAGAAAAAAGATCTTTGCAGATGTAATTAAATTAAGGATTCTGAGATGAGGACATAATCCTGGATTTTCCAGGTGGGCCCTAAATGCTATCATAAGCGTTCTTATAAGAAGGAGCTGGTAGGAAGTTAGAAATACGCAGAGCAGAAGGCAATGTGAAGATGGAGTGATATAGCCACAAACTAAGAATGCTGGCAGCCACCAGAAACTGGAAGAGATAAAGAATTTTCCCCTAGGGCTTTTGGAGGGAGTGTGGTCCACTTGATACTTTGGTTTCAGACTTCTGGCTTCCCAAACTGTAAGAGAATAAATTGTGTTGTTTTAAGCCACTAAGGCTGTGGTAATTTGTTACAGCAGCCACAGGAAACTAATACACAAAATATATAGCATATACAAATGTTGAGTTACAGTAGATACTGCCATATAGTTTTCCAGAATGGTTGCACCAATTTATAGCCCCAGTAGCAGTGTATCAGAGTTCTGGTTGCTTCACATCAAGGGTGGTGGGCCAGATATTAATAAGCTATATAATAGATATTTTAGGCTTTGCAGGCCATATGGACTTGTGGCAGATACTCAGTTCTGTCTTTGTAGAATGGAAGCCATAGACAGTACATAAATGAATGAGCATGGCTGTGTTCAATAAAACTTCATTTAGAAAAGTAGGTGGTGCATAATCGTTTGCTGACCCTGCTCTGTGTCTTTATGAACTCTTAGAATTTTCTGTCCTTTTCATTTTAGCCATCTGGTTGGTGTGTAGTAGTATCTCATTATGGTTTTACTTCACATAACCCTGATGACAAATGAAGTTGAGTACCTTTTCACAAATTGACTGTTTAGTTGTACTCTTTTGTGAAGTGCCTGTTCAAATGTTTTGCTCATTTTTAAATAGTTTGAGATATATTCCACATAATATAAAACTAATCCTCTTAATGTATACAATTCACTGGTTATTAGTATATTTGCAGAGTTGTGGAACCATTATGACTACCTAATTTCACAGCATTTTCATCACCTGCCCCCCAAAAACCCACTTATACCCATTAACAGTTACTCTCCATTCTTTCTACACCCAGCCCCTGGCAACTACACATCTACTTTCTGTTTCTATGGATTTTCTAATTCAGGACATTTCATATAGATGGAGTCATACAATGTGTGGTCTTTTGTATCTGGCCTCTTTCACTTAACCCTTTTCTTGTTTAGAAAAAAAAAATACAGCTCTCTGCCAGCACTCATTTAATTTTACATAAACATACTCTTTGAGGCTGAAGCAAATCTGCCTGTTTCTCAATGTGAAAATAAAATACAAGAACTGTTCTTGGAGTTATTTCTAAACCGAACTAACATCAGCATCATCTGACTCATCAGAATCGCCTATTTTGGAAAAATTAGATTCATCAAATGAATCTTTGGCCAACAATTGTTCAAGAATGATGTTATCATCCCACGTAGGAATGCTGTGTTTTCTAGGATTTGACATTTTCAGTGATCAAGAATTACTGTATTTTGTAAATGGAAATGCCACTACTAAAAACAGAATTCTATGAATAGAATGATATATTTTGTCTCCAAAGTTGATATACTAAAGTGATGCAAAAATAATAATAAAAGTGAGATATTCTGTGGCAAAGTTATCTCTGGGTAACCCTTGCAGCCACAGGTGCTGCTGGCAAGTATTCCTGGGGCAAACAGAAAAAGGGTTAACGAATTTCGTATAATGTTTTCAAAGTTCTTTCATGTTGTAACATGCATCAGTACTTCTTTTCATGGCCAAATAATATTCCATTGTATGGATATGCCACAGTTTGCTTATTTCATTGGTTGATGGAGATTTTGATGGTTTCCTTTTTTTTTTTTTTTTTGAGACAGAGTCTTGCTCTGTCGGCCAGGCTGGAATGCAGAGGCACAATCTCGGCTCACTGCAACCTCCACCTCAAGCAGTTCTCCTGCCTCAGCCTCCCAAGTAGCTGGGATTTCAGGCGTGTGCCACCACACCCGGGTAATTTTTGTATTTTTAGTAGAGACAGGATTTCACCATGTTGGCCAGGCTAATCTTGAACTCCTGATCTCAGGGAATCTGCCTGCCTCGGCCTCCCAAAATGCTGGGATTACAGGCATGAGCCACCGCACCTGGCCGATTGTTTCCATTTTCTTGCTATTTTGAATAATGTTGCTTTGAACATTCATGTATAAGTTTTTGAATGGACATATGTTTTTAACTCTCTTGTGTGTATACATAGGAGTAGAATTGCTAGGACATATGATAACTTTAACATTTTGAGGAACTGCCAAAGTGGTTTCCAAAACAGATCTTATTTAGATCAAATTGTGAACCTCTGTTTCAGGTTTTTGTTTCTTCCCACTGTAGCCATTTGTGTGTGTGTGTGTGTGTGTGTGTGTGTGTGTGTGCGCATTTACTAGGTATAATTCAAGGGGACTCTTCTTTATTATGCTCATATTTATCATTTTTGCATTCAGAGATTCTCAAATTCATATAATCAGGGTCAAGGGCATACCCCATGGTAATGGTTGTTAAGGATTTAAGGATCCTGGGTTTAACATGAGCCTGAATTAACTCCTTGGCTGTGCCATGGGGGTGCCATAGATATTTTCCTCTATAACCATAAGGATCAGAATCTTCTTTTTTTGGAGCAGAGGCCTAGCCAGCAGAAGCAGAAGCAGAAGTGTTTAAGGCATAGGGTGTTGTTGAGCCATATGTTCCTGGAGGAGTGGACTTCAGCACGCCACTTGGTGTCTACTTCTCCTCCACATGAGTGATGGGCCATGTATCACACAGTGTATTGGTCTTCTCTCTGAGTGTTCTATAAAACAGGGGCTACCATCTGATTGAGGTGCACAATCAATAGTCACAGGGTAAGAGTCATTCCCCTAAGTCTAGTGTTATAGCTTATGCTGGAATTGAGACATACGATTTAATATAAAACACACAGATAAATCCTGGTCGAGACATATGACCCAGGGCCATTTTAAGGAGGGATCCACTCCAATACTCCTGTTTCTAAGTGCCAGCTATTGAAACTTCCAATGTAGGTCTGTTAAATTTCAAACAGGAGTCAGTAAATGGAGCACAAAGCAGCA
The DNA here is from genome assembly GCF_000001405.40 of Homo sapiens. Lineage (NCBI taxonomy): Eukaryota > Metazoa > Chordata > Mammalia > Primates > Hominidae > Homo > Homo sapiens. The sequence goes on along the minus strand of NC_000010.11, from coordinate 99,307,142 downwards.
CAGCTCCAACTGCAAACTCTCCAGCAGGCAGCAGCATAGCTCAAAGAGTTCACTTGCCAGCAGGCAGCAACTTAAAGTATATTCTTACTAGCAATCAGCAAAGCCAGTTAGCAGGCTAAAACAAGTAAAGAAAGGCCAGGCATGGTGGCTCACACCTGTAATCCCAGCACTTTGGGAGGCTGAGGCGGGCGGATCACCTGAGGTCGGGCGTTCGAGACCAGCCTGACCAACAGGGAGAAACCCCGTCTCTACTAAAAATACAAAATTAGCTGGGCATGGTGCCGCATGCCTGTAATCCCAGCTACTCGGGAAGGCTGAGGCAGGAGAATCACTTGAACCTGGGAGGTGGAGGTTGCAGTGAGCCGAGATCGCGCCATTGTACTCCAGCCTGGGCAACAAGAGCGAAACTCTGTCTTAAAAACAAAAAACAAACAAACAAAAAAACAAGTGAAGAAAGATCCCCATGGCGATGATCATTGTCTCAACATCTTGCTCACAGTACCAGTTGTCTTATGGTTGCCCTGTGGAGGTCAGGATCAACACACTCCACCCAACATTTCATTCATATGTTGGGACTAATGATGCCACACATACACCAAGAGGGCATAAAAAGATATATTATTCACATAATGAGGTTTTTTTGGGGGGTAACAGGGCAGGTTGCAAAGCAGACCCCCAAAATGGCTTGAGAGAGCAAGGAGGAGAGACTGGCTTTAGCTTTTATTGTGGATAGAGGGTGGAGCTGGAGTAAGTGCACATTGGCCAGGGCTTACGTGGTTTGAACTTCTTGCCAGTGCCAAAGGAGAGAGCATGCAGGCTGTCTTATTGGCTTGTCCAGATATGGGTCAAGAGGGTAAAATGGAGGAGGAGGGCTTGAAAGCTGCCAAAAAATGGAATCAAACAATTACAGTGGATCTTTCATCACTTTTAGAAAATCCTCCAACATATCTCCTCAAATACTGCTGGTGTTCCATTTCCTCTCTGCTCTTCTGGAATTCTAAATACATGTATATTAGATATTTTGCCCATGTCCCATAAGTCTCTAGCACTGTTTTCCCTCTCTGTCTGTGTCTTCTTCATTTTTTTTCTTCTCTCTTCCTTTGTTCTCTCCTACTCCCCAGCAGTCTGGTGTGTGTGTGTGTGTGTGTGTGTGTGTGTGTGTGCGCGCGCGCGCGCGCGCGTGTGTGTGAGTTTGGATATTTTCTATTGATTTCTTTTGAGTTTACTATCCTGTCTTCTGTTAGGTCAATCTATTTTTACACACATCCATTGAGTTATTAATGTCAGATATTTAGTTTGAGTCAGAATGTCCATTTGATTCTTTCTATAAATTCCATTTCTCTGTTGAAATTTTGTATCTTTTCATTTCTACTGTCTGTCTTTTCCTTTATTTGAATATATATTCATATATATAAGTCATAGGTATTTTAAAGTCCTGGTCTGCTAACTCCAATATCTGTATGACCTATGGGTCTGCTTTTATTGGTTATCAGCCATGTAAGATGTATTATGTTAAAATAATAACACCCCAACTCTCAAGGCTTCAGAAGATGGTTTCTTCCACCAGAGGTGATTTACCCATCAACCCTTCCTTCCTTTGTTTTTTCCTTCCTTCCTTTTAAACACTTATTTTTAAAATTAAGATTCACCCTTTCCTAGTCTAAGAAAATAGAATGGGGATCTGAACACCTTAATCCAGTTTATGCACTTATTTAGGTCAAGTCTGGTTTGCAATTTTGGTCAGACTAGTCCACTTTTGTTTCCCTGTTCCTAGGAAGTGGTACTTCATGGCTTTTCATTGAGAGCCTGGGGTCCTTTGTTTAGAACCAAGGCTCTGTGGAAATTTTCACTCCACTTTACAGAGGTTTTGGATTAGCTCTTTAGCCTTCCACCCCATGAAGCTTCAAAATATCACAGATTTATTGGGACTAGAGAGGCTGCTGGTTTAAAGTCTGTCAAGTCTCCAATTTTGGTACAACTGTACAACTGCCAAAACTCCACCAGTTTCTCTATTTTTCAGAAGCAGCCTTCTGACAAGTGTGGATTCTCAGCCTCTAGCTGTGCCCATATTGGCAAATGTGACAGCAGATGTTAGTATTAATCTCCAGGGCTTTCACCTGCCATGGCTGTATTCAAGGCTCTTTTCCCTAACCAGTCTTTGTTTCCTAAATAGTAAGTATTCATAGACTCTAGAAAATTCCATTCTGCTTTTCTAAAGTTTTGACTCATCTTAAAAATTCAGAAAATACCTTGAGGAGGAAGCTTGTGTTTGAGGCTTCTTAAATCTTCTATTTTGTCACTCCTGCCCATGTGTCTATAAAAAGTTTCATTCGTTTCTGTCTGTAAGCAGCATTCCTGTGCTTGGCCCAATTCCAGATCTCAGCCACTAGCCAAAGTCCTTGTCCCAGGAGTGAGCACATACCCCAAATATTTGCTCAGAAATGGCAAATGCCCTGAAAGCACTTTAGACCCTTACATCACCTATGAATGGTTCTCTGCTCTCTGGAATTTTGTTTCTGATACTCCTTATTGCCTTTGTAGCTCTTTGATACCTTTAAACGTATGATTTTTACAATGTATCTGATGCAGGGCAGGCAAGCCCCAAAGTGGAGCTTAGCCCACAAGCGTTCTTGGCTTTGCCCAGGAAAGAATTCAAGGGCAAGCCAGAGGTAGAAGAAAACAGCATTATTGAATAAGCAGTGTTACAGCTCTGTGAAGCTCCTGCAGAGCAGGGCTATCCTGTAGGCAGAGAGTAGCAGCTCAGGGCAGCTTTGCAGTCATATTTATACCCACTTTTAATTGCATGCAGATTAAGGGGCAGTTCATGCAGAAATTTCTAGGGAAGCAGTAGTAACTTTTGGCTCACTGGGTCATTGCCATGGAAAGGGGCAGTAACTCCTGGGTGTTGCCATGGCAGGCTGGTAGGCATGTCTGATTGAAAGTTGCTTTTGCTCTGGCCCTGTTTTAGTTAGTCCTCAATCTGGCCTGATGTCTAAGTCTCACCTCTGGAGCTGAGTCCTGCATCAGATTAGATACTCCTCCTTAATCTTAAACAGGCTTCAGAAGGGCAGAGGTCCATCTTCTGTTACTGCTTCCTGCTGAGCTTATGGGCATAGGCTCAAACCGTAGTAAAAAATCTCTGGATGCCTAATCTAAGGGGCCCAGAGGCAGAATGCTTTTATTCTCCAGGTCAGTAGATGGGATGGGTTGGAAGCCTTGTGCCAGCATTGTTTTACCTGGAACGGTTGTAATCTAGAATACATTAACTTTAAGAGGCTAAACAAGCAAGGGCAAAAAATTAGTGAAAAGATAGTGATCAAACATCCTAGGAGGGGTAAAAAACAGAGCAGGAAGAAGAGCAAAATTAAAGTGCCTTTTCCTACCCACAGCATCATGTTACCACTTCTGGCTGAGTGTTGATTCTTTTAAGCAAGTAGCAGAGATCCTCCAAAGGCTCATATATGTAGTTTGTGGTGTCCTCCTTTTGTGCCTGCGACTCATACAAAACATGTTTAATCCTGGACGGGTGTACCCAACTAGCTATTCCCTGAAGTTTAACAGTAGTGTGGGTACTCAATAACACCTGATAGGGGCCCTTCCATTTTGACTGTAAATGATCTTCAGGGGATCCTTCTTTCCAAGTTTTTAGCGGGACTAAGTTTCCTGGTCGAACAGGGAGGTTAATTATTTCCCTTTGGGGAGGGGGCAATATTTTATTTCCATATGCTTGGAGGGCCTTCAGAACCTGGCCTAAGTTGATAATATGGGTGCTCATTCTATGTGTCTCTTAATCAAGCAGGAGGTCTGAAGTTAAAAAGGGTCTCCATGAGTGAATTCAAATGGACTAAGTTTCAGAGTTCCCTTTGGAGCCATCTTTACACATGAAAGGGCTGTTGGTAAGAGAGAAACCCAGGCCTCTGAGATCTTCCGACAGAACTTTGCTAATATCCTTGTTAAAATATGAGCTTTTGCTGCGTTACCTGAGGATTGAGGTCTCCAGGAGGAGTGAAGTTGATAGGTAATACCTAAGGCTAAGGAAACCTGCTGGGTCACTTTAGCTGTGAAGGAGGATCTGTTATCACTCTGCAGACTTTTAGGTAATCCAAATCGTGGGATGATCTCTTTAAGTAAAAATCTGGACACTTTTAATGCCTTCTCTGTCCTTGTAGGGAAAGCTTCAGTCCACCTAATGAAAGTGTCTATAAATACTAGCAAATATGTTAGTCCCCTGAAAAGTGGCATCTGAGTAAAATCTAGTTGCCAGTCCTCCCCAGGGTATGTCCCTCGATATTGTACAGATTTGAGTAGAGGTGGGGCTATGGGGTGTCTTCCTGGGCCATTACAGGCACAAAGTTCATAGGCCTTGGTGACCCTCTTTACAGTCTGGAATAGTTTCTTTCCCCAAAAGATTTGAAAACCTAATTTGAACAGGGAGTCCCATCCCAAAGGTGAGGAGTCATGGAAATACTTAACTATCTTCCATTGCTCAGCCTTGGGAGGAAAAAGTTTGTTGCTTCCTAGTAACCATGCTGAGGGATCTTTTTGTAAGCCTTTCTGTTCTGCCCAATTAATTTCCTCATGGGTATAATATCGTGTGGCTGACATGGGTGGAGTACCTGGCATTAGTGCAGTGGCCTGTAATACTGGTGTTCTTTAGCTGTGGTCTTAGCTGCTCTGTCAGCCAGAGCATTTCCTTTGATAATAGAGATTTCTCCCTTTTGGCGTCCCCAGTAGTGAATAGTGTATAACTGCTACCTCCTTTGGGAGCTGGACAGCATCTAAAAGTTCCAGGATCTCAAAGTGATATTGTATGGGGGATCCCTTAGCTGTTAATAGTCACTTTTCTTTCCATTTAACAGCATGAGTATGGAGCACCAGAAACCCATATTTAGAGTCAGTATATATATTGACTCTTAAGTCTTTTCCTAATTGGAGGGCCCCGATTAATAAAGCAATTAGTTCTGCTTTTTGAGTGGAAGTCTGGGGAGACAATGTTTTTGCCTTAGTGACTGCTTGTTGGCTAACTGCTGCATAACCCACCCTTTTTACTCCCTCATGTGTAAAGCTACTCTTCTCTGTAAACCACTCAACATCAGGATTAGGCAGGGGCTCATCTTTGAGGTCAGGCCTGCTAGAGTAGATCTATTCCGTGGTTTCCACATAGGAATGAGTGAGTTGGGGATCTGTTTCCTGGGACATGAACTTTGGTAACAAGGTAGCAGGGTTTAAAATTTTACATACGTTAAGAGTTACATCTGGGGTGTCAAGCAGAAGGGCCTTGTATTTAAGTAAGTGAGCTCCTGTTAACCATTGGTGTCCTTTTGTTGCTAAGACCTCCTGTACTTGGTGGGGGCTCATGATATCTAATTGTTGTCCAAAGGTAAACTTTCTGGCTTCTTCTACCAGTAGAGTGGTGGCAGCCATGGCTCACAAGCAACCTGGCCACCCTGCTGCCATCTGGTCTAGCTGTTTAGAACAGTAAGCCACTGGTCTGGAGCTATTCCCTAACCTTTGAGTTAGGATGCTGTGTTAGTCCATTTTCACACTGCTGATAAAGGCATACCTGAGACTGGGCAATTTGCAAAGGAAAGAGGTTTAATTGGACTTACAGTTCCATGTGGCTGGGAAGCCTCACAATCATGGTGGAAGGCAAGGAGGAGCAAGTCCTTGGGACCAAAGTCCTTGTCCCAGGAGTAAGCACATACCCCCAATATTTAACCTTTTGCAAAGATCTGGGCTATATGGGGGGATACCTGATACCCTCACTTTCCCAGAAAATTAAAGAGCTGGATTGTGTCTCTGTCAGAGTCTTCCCTAGTAGAGCTAGAAACTAATAAGTCATCTACATATTGCAAGAGGGACCCATTAGTTTACTGTAGTTCCCTTAACTCTTTGTCCAAATCATTGCCACAGAGGTGGGAACTATCCCTAAAACCTTGGGGAAGAACTGTCTAGGTAAGCTGAGATGCAGCATGAGTGTTTGGATCAGTTCATTCAAAAGCAAAAATATACTAGGAATATAAAAAGAAAGCATCCTTTAAGTCTAACACTATGAACCAATAAGCATCTTCAGGGACTTGGGTCAATATTGTAAGGATTAAGAACTATTGAATGAACTGTGACTACTGCCTTATTAACTGCCCTTAGATCCTGAACAAATCTATACTCCCCATTTGGTTTTTTTACAGGTAAAATGGGGGTGTTACATGGAGACTGACAGCATTGTAATAATCCATACTTTGGGAACTTTGTTACTAGGGCCTGGATGCCACTCTGAGCCTCGGGTCTCAAAGGATACTGTTTTTTCCATGAATAATTAACATTGGGTTTTAAAACAACCTCAACTGGGGGTATATTAACAGCTCTGCTGGGAACTTCTGTGTCCCAAACAGAGGGGTCTACTTGAGAAACAATATGTGACGGAAGGGAGGTCTTCTTATCTGTGTTAAGAAAAGCACTTAAAGTTAGGAGAAGTGTCCCTTCCTGGCCTGTTGGCCTTCTCATGAGGCATCCCAAACTGAACTGTGGCCTGTAATTGGGAAAGTAAGTGTCTCCCCATGAGAGGGATAGAACACTCAGGCATGAGGAAGAACCTGTGGGAAAACATGGTACCCCATGGTACAACCAAGGGGGTGAGTGAATCTCCTAATTTTTGGATGGCCATCAATTCTCATTACTGTACAAGAGTAGGAAGACAGTGGCCCTAAGAAATGGGTTAAATCTGAGTAGGCTACTCCTATATCCAATAAGAACTCAGTATTTTTGCCTGTTCCATCAGGAGTTACCCGAGGTTCTTCCATGGAGATTGTAAGGTGTCCAGTGGGAGCCGTAGAGGACCTTGGGCCTCATCAGTCCTCTACCTTCTTGGCCATTATGGGTCTGGGTGTCTTAAACTCCCTCTTAAGCCTGTGGCAGTCTTTCTTTCAGTGGCGTTCTTGATTACAGAAGGCACACTGATTTTGACCTAGAGGCTGTTGAATGGGGGGCTCTTGTCTGAACATCCCAGATGCTGATCTCATGACATTTCCTTGACATGGGTAACCCTGAGGCAGTAGGGGGCCCACAGCAGCCTCTAACAATTGTGCTTTTTGGCCAATTCTTTTTTTTTTTTTTTGCCTCTCCCTCTGCCCTGTCCCTATTATTGTAAACCCCAAAAGCAATGTTTAAGAGTTGACTCATGGAGGTTTGGGGTCCCATTGTTCCCTTTTATAGCTTCCTCCTAATGTCAGAGGCAGACTAAGTAACGCAATGCACACCCAGGAGAGCTCACTCTTCTGGGGAGTCTGGGTCTGTAATAGTGTATTTCCTGAGTGCCTCAACTAAACAGCCCTGAAATAGAGCAGGATTTTAATCTTTCTTCTGAGTTATTTCTCTCACCTTTTCATAATTTACTGGCTTGACTGCACACTTCTTCATACTATCTATTAAACAAGTTAACATATGATTTCTGCATTCAAGATCTTGAGGTCCTCTCTGGTAATCCCACTGAGGGTCGAAATCTGGAGCTGCATCTCTTCCCACACGATACATGGCATGGCCTGGATTATGCACAGCCACTCCATCTGCATGTTCATGAGCAATACCTTGAATTCTTTGCTTTTCCTGTACAGTACAACAAGTGGATGATAATTTCTGCATGCCATGCCAAGTTAAAGCAAAAGACATGGTCAACTTAACAAACTCCTCTATAAACTTTCCTGGGTCCTCTGAAAACCAACCAACCAAATTTTTCCTTGCAGAAAGCCAAATCAAACATGGGAAAAGGCACATATTCTCTGATTGTTTCTCCGTCTCCATCAGCTGCCTCCTGCAGTAGACACAAGTTCAATTTAGGGGGCTGATCTGGGGCCCCACTCCTAGTAGTACTGGTCCGGCTTACTTCCTCAGGCAATGGGGAATAGGGACCAGGGCGTGTTGGATGAGGGGGAGGGGTTCCTGATGACTTTGGAGTAGAATTCTGCACTAGAGAACTAGTGGGGCCCCTCTCAGAACTAGGGGAGGGGGGAGGCTCCAAAGAGGGAGCACAGACCTCCTATGGGGAGCAACTAGGAGGGGTTCATCTAGGATAGCTGATGCAGCTTCTGGGTCTCTGGGAGTATCAGGAGCCAGAGACATTCTACAGCTAGCCCTTAAGTTAGCATTCTGGTAGAGAGCTATAAAAACCTGTATAGGCTGGGCACAGTGGCTCACACCTGTTATCCCAGCACTTTGGGAGGCCGAGGCAGGCAGATCACAAGGTCAAGAGATGGAGACCATCCTGGCCAACATGGTGAAACCCCATCTCTACTAAAAATACAAAAATTAGCTGGGCATGGTGGCACATGCCTGTAGTCCCAGCTACTCAGGAGGCTAAGGCAGGAGAATCTCTCGAACCCGGAAGGCAGAGGTTGCAGTGAGCCAAGATCATGCCACTGCACTCCAGCCTGGCGACAGAGCGAGACTCCGTCTCAAAAAAAAAAAAGAAAAAAAAAAAGCCTATACATAGGGAACTTCTTCCCATTTTCTTTACTTTTTACAAAACAAGTCTAATTGTACAGTATCATTATGACAAAGAACCATATCTAGGCCAGATTTGTTGATTTGCTAATTTTTATTGAACCCAAACTTTATTGCCATAGTAAATGAGTTTTTTCTTTTTCAATTTGGCTGATAATGTGAACTAACTCCAGTTGTCTAAAAGACACCTTAGTGGCAAGGCTTTTGGGTTGCTTGCTGTTGTCCCTATGTCTAGTAAGGGTCACTACAAGGGGTTTCAGTTAGCCTAAGTTTAGTAAATGCCTACTTACTTTTCTCTTTTCATTTCCCACTTTCTATTGATAGCAAGGTGTTACAAAAGTAGATTACAAGCTTCAAATGGGCAGTTAGGTGGCTGTTAAGCCAAAATTCCACAGAGAGTGAGGGTTGTGCAGAGAGATGGGCTAAACAGATAGTGACTGTGTAAGGGAGGAAGGGAAGGGTAGACAGCGTTGCCTAGGTGGAGACCTCAGAGGCTCTGACTTGCCAGAGAACCTACCCAGTAGCAGAGACACTGAAAAAGAATATTGGGTGGCCACTTGGCTAATGCTGTAGGTAGCTCTGTCAGGCCAGGGGCCTAGGAACTCCCCATTTCCTTTGACCAAGAGGGGCTTGAGCAAAGCAGTTATAAGACAGCACACAGGAAAGCACTTGGAATTGGCAATTAAGAAAATAATACTTCAAACTTTAGGGCAGAAAAAGGCAAGACCAACATTCGCCTGGGGGAGCGGCTATAACCCACAATACTATAGGGAATGTCAACACCAAATACCCCAAAGCATCTGGAGGGTGGTCAAAATTACCAATGCTGAAAATTCAGAGTGTCCAAATTGCAGCCAATAAGGGTCCCCTCGCCAAGTGTTGAAAACCCTGGGCCACCCAGGGGGTGGCCAGCAGTGAACCCAAGACCAAGTTGGGGTCACAGAACGACATGACTCTGGCATCCTAGAGTGAACAAAACAGGGGTCTCTCACAATCAAGTGTCTCGTTATAATTACCCACACACAATTAACAGAAAGTTAAAAGCAAACATAAGACTGCACCCATTTTAGGACTGAAAATAAAATGACTGATGGAACAATACAATGGAGTCAGAAGACAAAGGAGTGGGAGAAGGGGTGACAAGGACATGCTTTCTGGCATTCAAACAATGAGGGACTTCTAAGCAATTGCCTAGCCAAAGGCTGTTACTTTATTCCCTAGTTCTCCTGATACTATGGGAGTGTGGGCAGAAGGAACAGTCACCTCTTCACCAGAGTGGAAACGGCGCTGACTGATTTTTAGTGTGGGACCTTGGTGAAGATCTCTCCAGGATACCTCAACTTGCATGGGCTTGGTTCAACTGCAGCAGTGGGAAGGGCTTGCATGGGTGGTAACCCACCGGGCTGCCAGCAGGAGGGGCGGGTGTCACATGAGGCAGACTGCATTATGGCCACTCCACCAGTAGGCTCAACTGTGGCAGTGGGATGGGCCTGCACAGGTAACCCACCAGGCTGCGGTGGGGAGAAGCAGGCCCTACACGAGGTAGTGGAACTGTGGCTGCTTGCTCTTCTGATGGGCTCTGCTGCTTGCCGGGGAAAATGTAGCTCTGAAAAGAGCCCTTGGTTGGTGTTAGAGTATTACAGCTCTGCTTTGCTCCCTCTCTGCTCCTCATCTCGTCAATTGCCATCCACTGACTGCTGTCCTGCCTTCCTGCCCTCCCATCGATGATTGCCTTCCTGCCAACTGCTGTCCAGATGATTACTTTCCTGCTGACCATCACTCTGTGGATTGCCAGCAGGCAGATCTCTGACTGCCGCCTGGCCAGTCCTTGACTACTGCCCTACTGACTGTCACTGGCCGACTGCCACCTTACAGACTGTGGCTCCCAGATCTCCGACTGCCATATCTCATGAAGCCATCTTCTTTCTTCACCCTGCATTGGGTACCAAGCTGATGCAGGGCAGGCAAGCCCCAAAGTGGAGCTCAGCCCAGGAGGGTTCTTGGCTTTGCCCAAGAGAGAATTCAAGGGCAAGCCAGTGATAGAAGAAAACAGCATTATTAAAGAAACAGTGTTACAGCTCTGTGACTGCTCCTGCAGAGCAGGGATACCCTGTAGGCAAGAGAGTAGCAGCTCAGGGCAGTTTTGCAGTCATATTTATGCCCACTTTTAATTGCATGTAGATTAAGGGGTGGTTGATGCAGAAATTTGGGCTCATTGAGTCATTTCCGCAGAAAGGGGCAGTAACTCTGTGTTCATGGCAAACATAAATTGAAACGGCATGTTGGGGGGGCATCTGATTGAAAGCTGCTTCCACCCTGGCCCTGTTTTAGTTAGTCCTCAATCTGGTTCAGCATCTGAGCCCTGCCTCTGGAGTCCAGTCTCACCTCCTATCTCATATCCAGCCTTTCCAGTTATTGTAAGTGGTAATGTTTACATGCTTCAGACTACTGCATCCTACATGGAAAGCTAAATGTTCAGAGGCCTGTATTTAATAGAAGTCTTTTGGAAGGCTATATGAGCAAGCTTTTAAAGTTTGCTGTAAACTTCAAAATAGCTATTGAAGTTCCCCCAAATAGAAAGTGATTAAACAGACAATACTCAGTGTGATAAGTGATACGTCACATTTGGGGTGTAATTGCTCCTAAGCCAAGGCTAAAGAAGCTAGATTTAGGCAGTCAGGGGACACTTTTTGGAGGCAGTGTTGTCTAAGATGATAACCTAAAGGTTATGCTGGCCTGTACTTCAGACTGAGAAATAATACCAAATTTCTTTCCAATTTGTTTCCACCTGAACCATCTTATTTGATCTTTGCAGTGATTGTAGGGTTTGTTTATATCCCCATTCTACAGATGAGGATAAATCTTCCTTACAGGGTTTGGGTGGAGTGTTTCAGGTTTTTCAGCATAAGTTTTTTGATTCCAAAGGCATAATCTTTATCTGCCTAACCTTGCTATTTTTCGTAAATAAGTTTTTGAAAACAAAGTGTATCGTTGAGATCTATTCTCTCATCAGCAAAAGTATGGCTGTACTTTCCAGTTGCCTCTTGTATAAAAAAGTTAAATACAGTATTACAAAGATTTTAGAAAATATAGGGAAGAAAGAAAAAAACATCTTTAATTCAGTCTTGTTTTACTTAGTTGGAATAATAACTGTGAGTGTGTTTATGTATGATTTTATCTTGCTTTTTTTCACTTAACATTACAACATAAGCATTTCCAAAGTTTGAATACATAATTCATAAACCCAAATCAGTGGTTATTTAGTAGTCTATTGTGTGGACATACCATAATTCATTCTCCTGAGAGGCAGTATTTTATGGTTGTTGAGAACACAGACTTTGGATTATTTCCTGGTTCTACCACCTTTTATCTGTATGACTTTGGACATCTTAATTTGGGTACGTCAATTTCTCTATTTTAAAATTGAGAATATAGTACTCGTCTGTTGAAAGGATTAAATGAGTCAACACATGAAAACCTCTTAGAATATTGCCTGATACAAAGTAAATGCTATTTATGAAAGGCTATTATTACTGTTAATTTTCCACTGATAAGTATTTAGCTTAAATTCATTTCTCATCTAACAGATTATGCTATTATGAACATCTCTGTTTTTATAGATTTTTGCGAGGCTATAGTTACTTCAGACTTCAGAGAGTAGAACTACTGAGTGAAAATGTGTGTGTGTTTTGAGACTGAGTCTCACTCTGTTGCCCAGGCTGGAGTGCAGTGGCGCCATCTCGACTCACTGCAACCTCCACTTACCAGGTTCAAACAATGCCCCTGCCTCAGCCTCCTGAGTAGCTGGGATTACAGGCGTGGTGGTACACGCCTGATTTTTTGTATTTTTATTAGCTGATTTTTTTTGTATTTTTAGTAGAGACAGGGTTGCACTATGTTGGCCAGGCTGGTCTCAAACTCCTGACCTCAGATGATCTACCGGCCTCGGCCTCCCAAAGTGCTGAGATTACAGGTGTGAGTCATCACGCCCGGCCAAAGTGTACTTTTTTAAAGCTCTTGAAATATCTCTCCCAGTAGATTGCTAATTTACAACTTGCCAGTCCCACTTACAATGTCTTAGAATGAGTATTGCTCTGTCCTGTGAATGCTGTTGGTAAAGTATAATAAATATAGCGCAGCAACATATATATAATATGTATTTATATATAAATATATTATATATTATTATATATGTTAATATATTATATGTATATATTATATATTATATGTATATATTATATATTTATATATTATATATTATATATGTATGTATTATATACTATATAATATATAAAAATTTACATATAATATATAAATACATAAACATATAGCACAGCTCATCTCTCTCTCTGTCTCTATATATATATGTGTACATATAAATTAGAATATGTATCTTCATAAGAGTGGGGATTATCGAAACCCTGGTGGTCTAATGCTCAAGTCTGCACTCTTTACCACCATCCTATTTTGAGTGTTAAGATGTGTTAATTTAGGTGCAATCTTATTAGATATAAATTTTTAGAACATAATCCACTGGTCAGACACTACTGCCGCATTCACCTGAGATAAATATCTTGAGGAAGGGTCATTCATGCCCTAAGTAGGTTTAGTAGCAGGTGAAGACTGAGGAGGAAACCTGAATCTGGTTTGGAGTTTAAGATGTTAGCCTTGTCCATCAGTGCTGGACCTGGACAAGAATTTGTCCAGGCATTTGGACAAGGATTTTGTCTGATAGACTTGGGAAGTTATAGGAATAATTTGGGTTTGGACTGAGAGAATAAGACATTTATACCTTTCTCTGTAGGCCATGCCCTGCACATATTTTCCTCTATTTTCTGTCTCTTGTAATTGACTATAATCTGGGCTGAAATTTTGAAAACTCGTAATTGTTATATTATTGATTAAAGTATAATGTTCTGTTTTCTTGATTAATTTTTTAGTTACTCTTTTGTCACTATATACTTTTTAAAACTGTTTAAAGATTAAGAAAAGCTTCGCCAGTGTCTGTTTTCTTTTAAAACTGGCAGCTGTAAAAATCAGTTATGTTTCACTTGATCATGACCCTTAATCTACCAACCTATCCATTTTTATAGGAAGAACAAAATGTTCTTATCCCTTTCTGTAAAAGTTATCCTAGAACTGGGTACACAATCTTCTCAGAAATTTTTAAAAATGCATTTTAAGTGATGAATGGCCCAAGTTTTCAAATTCTTATTTTTATATGACAAAGGCAAAGTATTTTATGTTTTATTTCAATGTGCATTATTCATTTTTCAAGATACAGTTCAAATCCCATTCTCTCAATAAAGGCTTCCCTGACTGTTCTGGCCTATCCAATGTTTCTCAGTTCTAACTTATACCATTTGCTATATGATCAGGCACTACTTTTTGAATCAACTTATATAGCTTCCTTTTTTTTTCCTTTTTGCTGTTTACTTCCCATGTTACTATTTTATTTTATATTTGTGTGATGTTAAGATTTTATGACAATTTTCAGATAGATGTATGTGTGAGTGGTATGTGGGGTATGGGTAGCTAAGTATCAGATCTTACAGGTGAAGAGGGTCATTTATACCCTGGAAAACCATAGAACTTTTGGCCCCCTGCTTTAGCCAGCAAAGTAGAGATTATCAACTGGGTAGGAAGGGAGAGGCGAAAATAGAGAATTTCTGCTTGAACAAGGAAGGGTTTGGGGAGGCGGGAGCAGAGAAGGTGTATATCAAAAACTTCAGACAAATGTAATATTTATGTTTATCAAAAGAAGTTTGAGAAGTATTACTCTAGATCTGTACCATCCAATAAGGTAGCTCACATGTGGTTTGTGAGCACTGGAAATGTGGCTAGAGCAAATTGAGATGTGCAAATACACAGTGGATTTTAGACTTAGTACGAAAAAAAGAATGTAAAATGTAAAATATCTCATTTTTATATTAATTACATGTTGAAATAATATTTCAGATATGTTTGGTTAAATAAAATATATTATTAAAATTAACATATCCATTTATTTAACCTTTTAAAATATAGCTGTTAGTGAATTTTAAAATATATGTGTGGCTCATATTTGTGGTTCTCATTATTTTTCTGATGGACAACACTGCTCTAGAATGTGAGTTCCATGAGTGCAGAGGCTGTCTCATTCATGTCTATAATACCTAGCACCTACCACAGTGCCGAGCATGTGGTAAGCACTCCCTGAATGCTTGTTCAATCATATGTCCTCCCTCCAACTAAATTACAAACTTCTCATGACTCAGAGTGCATTTTAATGTTTTGAGTACTTCCTTCTGGGCTTAGAAGAGTGTTATACACTAGTAGACATTCAGAACATATTTATTTGATGAATGAATAAATAAGAATGCTTTCTGGTGCAAATTTCCAGCCAACTTCCCAACTATTTACTTACTCTGCTTTTAGCCAGTTCCCAGCCTGTTTTCAAACATTTTCCATGTGATGTGTCTGGCTACTTGCTCCTCTCCCCTTTCTTCCCCTCCCTTCATACTCTTCTACTTTTTGGACATTTTCAAACCAACAGGATATGTAGGCCCTTACAACCTTTTATTTATTTATTCAAAAGCCATTTATTTGGCCCCCTCTGGTTTCTAGTTTTTTGTTCATTCTTAAAAATTCATTTAAATTTAACTGGAGGGGAATGGAGCTTGCCAAAAACTGAATGGAAGAATCTGGCTTTTCTCTGTC
This sequence comes from Homo sapiens, assembly GCF_000001405.40. Taxonomy (NCBI): domain Eukaryota; kingdom Metazoa; phylum Chordata; class Mammalia; order Primates; family Hominidae; genus Homo; species Homo sapiens. The sequence continues at coordinate 99,291,947 of NC_000010.11, read as the reverse complement.
TCTGCCCAGACACCTGTGCAGGCCTTTCTCAGTGGGGCTCACTACAGTGTGATTTACTCGACAGTTTGGAACCCACTATAGGCCATTATCTTTTATAACTAAATAACTAAATGGGAGTGAGAACAAGAGAGAGAATGTGAGCCAAGGAAGAAAAAGTATGCAAACCTAGATCTGAAGATCTGAGTTTGTCTGGGTGATGGGCCTAGCCCTATCACTTACTAGGAATGTAGTTTTCGAAAATCTCTTCTCTCGAGGCTTCATGGATCTTCATCAGAAAGAAAAAACGAGATAGGATGCCAAAAGGTTGATTTCCATGGTCTCTTCTGGCACTAACATATGGTGATTCTTTTTTTTTTTTTTTTTTTCAGATGGAGTCTTGCTTTGTCACCAGGCTGGAGTGCAGTGGCGCGATCTCGGCTCACTGCAACCTCCACCTCCTGGATTCAAGTGATTCTCCTGCCTCAGTCTCCCAAGTAGATGGGACTACAGGCAAGTGCCACCATACCCAGCTAATTTTTGTATTTTTAGTAGAGATGGGGTTTCATCATGTTGGCCAGGATGGTCTTGATCTCTTAACCTCGTGATCTGCCCGCCTTGGCCTCCCAAAGTGCTGGGATTACAGGCGTGAGCCACCGCATCTGGCCCATGTGGTGATTCTTTAGCCACTAATCAGAGAGGGCAGAAGTGAGAAGCAAATGAAGACCAGACCCTTGTAAATTCAGGATGGGACCTCCATTGGTTTTGATCCATCCCCTGTGGCCTTGTGTGCTAATTCATGTTATTCTGACATCAACCTTGTAAACTCTTTTACCCTTTACTCCTACTTGTAATTGTTTCCTCCCCAGTATTCTTTCTGGGGACAGAATACTCATAAGAAGGGGGCTTCTTCATGGTTCACTTTAGCTCAAATTACTTTTCGTTGTTCAACAATTATTTTTACCCTTTTCACTTATATCAGACCAAAAAGTCTTTTTGAATGATTTCTAAATGTCAGTGACTATCCCTAGGACTTAATTTTCTTGATTAGAAATATTGATGACACCTCCAAATATCCTCAGAAATCTTCAGCTCTGTTGATCCAGCAGCTCAAGAAAGTTCTACACCTCACATTCCAATAATTTGTCTGGGTCACCTAAGGTCATAGAATGTTAAAGTTGAATTAGACCTTTGAGATTATTTGGTATAAGCTTCTGTTACCATTAAACTGAGGCTTGGAGAAATTGTTGTTCTCCACACAGCTAATTTGTGGGAGGTTCATAACTAGAAACCAGCTGTTTTATTCCTTACAACTCTGTGCCCCAACCCACTATGGGCCAATAGTCCATAAATGGAGCAGTGATCAGAGAGAAACATAAGAACCACCTGGTCTGAGGTGGAAAATTTCCTCAGGCTTTTCGCTCCACTGATAGCTGTTTCTTAGTAAATCACATGATCATCTCTCCAGTAAAGAGATGGATCCCTTAACAGTGAGTTGCTCTGTTGTCAGTTGGGCTCAGTGGCACCCTTTGCCCTCCTGGAAGGAATGTAGGAAGATATGACTGACATCATTAGGAAGCCTTACTTAGACCTTGTTCAATAATCCTTTTACAATTCTTACAAGGTATGAGGCATAGTGTTGGGTACTAGGGACACAGAGATGAATGAAATACTCAGGGTTCTGCCTTTTAGAAGCTCCAAGCTTTTTCACTCTGGCTTTTTCACTTCTCCATTATATCTGCCCTGAACCCAAATAAAGGCAAAGAAAACTTTAAGACGACTCTCTTCCCTGCCCCCTACTCTCTTTATCATTTTATGAAGATGTAAAGTTAAAAAAAATAATTTTAATCAAATATATTTTCATAATTTAAAATTTAAACAATCTATAGGTTTATAGATCTATAAGTGGGCGGGGAGGGGAAGCTGTTCTTGGCCCAACCCCTGCTTACCTCTGAGTCTTCTGTCAGAAGCAACCATTTTTAGTTTCTTCTTTAGCATATTAGATATTGGGTGCCTTCTGTGAAAGATGAGGTTTTAGTTCATTTATACTGCCCTGTCCTCCTCCTGCTCCCCTTGTCTTCTAGTTATAATATAACCTTTCGTTAGCTGGTATTTATTTATTTCAGCAGTACAGTTTTTAATGTAATTTTGTTTAACTGAAACCATAATTTAATTTGCCGTAAACTGAAGTGAAAGAACATTACAAATAAGCTTCTGACTTGAGTGTCGGTTAAAATAACCCTTTGCCAAGACGTCAGAATTTAAAGAAAATGGCATTTCATTGCAAGTAGGGCACCATAAGTTGAAGAAAAAGAAAATAACTACTTTAAAAAACTAGTCATCTGTGATTGGAAAACCTTAACTTTTATATGAAATAATATTTTTACTCCACTGATATTCCCCCTATGTTAAAATACTCTTGGCACTGAGTAAAAAATTAATTAACTTTCAAGAAGATGACTCAATCAGAATAATATAAACTGCATTCTAAAAAGAAAAATCATGGATAACAATTTTTTATTGCTAAAAATTGCCACCAGTAATTGTAGGATGTGAAAAGTAAAGGAATAGGACATTTACTACAACCAAACGAAGAAGAAAGTTCCAAAAAAAAAACAGATGATGTCTCCATTAACACACTCTTGGGTTCTAATATTAGAAATAATATTTTTTGCAGCCACGTAAATTGTTTCATCTTCTATTTATGATTTAGTTTAAGTACTACAGATTTTTTAGAGACTTTACCTTATTTACGCAACCTGAAATTTTGCAATCTGTTGCACTGTGGATGGTTTCAAACATCAGCTGCCTCTCAGTCCATCTTTAGGCACTCCTGATGCTTCTTAAATTGCCTCTCCTATGACCCAAGTCTCCATTTTTTGTCACTTCTTACAGGGACGCAGAATGTTACCATGTGAAAAAATCTTTTGGGGCTTGGTAAAACAGAAGACAGTGACCATGGCCCAATTTAATTATATTAGATTTTTAGCTGGTATTTTAATGATTACTAATACTATGAAAATATTCACAGCTAAACTATATAAGTATACCATAATTAAATTTCTTTCTTACACAAATTTTATTTTCCTTAGGGTTGAGAATTACCTGGCTGATTTTTAAATGCATCTATCATTATTTCATCCCAGATTCTCCATTATGTTTCCTCAATTCACTCAAACATATAATCTACCAGTTTTCATTCTTTTTTTTTTTTTTTTTTTTTGCTTGAGGCTGTCCCTCTTGCAGCTCTTTCATGTCTTTTTCCAATCTGGATTGATTGTTCTCTAGGCTGCTGTACAGCTGTATAGTTCCCAGTGTCCCCCTTCACCATTACCTTGGGTTCCCTTTGCTTTTCTCCTGTGTTGAATTCCCTGGTTCCTGGATCCCATGTATTTTTCCTCATTTCATTCCCTCATTTTGGTGGAAAGGAGATAAACTTTTCATCAGTTATATGTCTTATTTTAGCCATCCTTCTCCTCCTCCTTCTCTGCCTTTTACTCTTTTTCAGAATTTACACCTTCTTTTTATTCTGGGATAATTAAATTCTAAAAGCTTAGAACTTCAAGATACCTAGTTGCTTTTGTATTAAAGTGGCAGAAGTCTTTTGTATCATGTACATAAATATATACAACATAAAATCACACATGGAACTTATGTGTAAGCTATCGTGGTAGAGCTTAACAGAACCATCCACCGTGACCCTACCAGTTCAACATCATGTTCTAGATTTTCTTGCTCAGGGCTCCCTGGAACACAATTTAAAGAACACGATGTAATCTAGCCTATCCCTTAGATTTTAGGAATGGGGAAACTGAAGCCCTGAGAAAGGACTTACCTAGGGTCTTAACTTATTTCCTTCACTCTCACTCTCATCATGTTAAATTTCTCAACTTACTGTGAACCCTATTCTTACATTTTTTCAACTCAAATTATTACGTCAGTTCTACCTGTAAAATTCAAAATATGACATGACCTAACCCCTTTAGCTACAGCTTCTAGAAGAATCTAACCTCATGCTGTCTTAATCCAATGACTAGTGTTCCACAACATTTCTTTCTTTTTTGACTTGGGTTTAGGATCCCCTACCAGAAGCCATTTTTAGTATAAACTATTTTTACTCCTCAGTAACTAGCTTTCTTATTTACCAGTTATTAAAGATAAGCAACTTTGGCAAAGTAATGGCTGAATGAGCTTGAGACATCAAAATATACATCTCTACATTGAGATATGAATGCTATTGATTTTCAGACTCCCTTGTTTTAAAGTGAACCACCTAGGGAAAAATTTCCATTTTCTTAAGGTAAATGTTTGAAGTTGGTGTGATAATCCTGGAGGTGTACTGCTCAGATCTCCATTTAAGAGGATCTGCTGCAAGAAACATAGCTGGATGACTCCAGATGTTCACACCAGACCATATTCTCTTCACATTGTCTGTGATGTTCACTCCAAGCCACACACCCCTGCCACCCTCACACCCACTGCTGCTCCCAGCCAATGACTGAGCTCAGCTGGTTTACTAGGTTGGGCCATTTCTGCTCAACTGGGACTCCTCTGATGGCAGTCTTTGCTTGGACACTCCATGTTGGCCTGGTGAAGACTTTCTCTGAGCTGTGCTCTAGCTTGAGGTTCTTCCTGCCCAGTCCTCATTCCTTCTCTTCTTTCACAATTGTCATACCTAATCATAACTTGAAGGCTCTCCTCATTTATTCCTGCTGCTTCTCTCCTTGATCCTTCGTGGGCATTTCCCTAAGTAAATCTCTTGGATGTCTGATTCCTTCTTGGCATTTGCTTTTCAGAGGACCTGAACCAACACGTTTGATATTTGCAGGATTAGCTCTAAGATAATTCAACAAACATTTAATGAATTCTGCTCTAGGGAAGGTTCTGTACTAGATGCTGGAGATACAAAGATAAATGAAACAAATCTCTGCTATTATGTTGTTTGTGAGAGGTATTTAGCGATCCCCAAGTATAGGATAGTGATTAAGAGGGTGAATTTCAAGTTCAAATCTATGCATCACTGCTTACTGCAAGCTCTCTAAGCATCATTCTTCTTATTCAAAAAATGGGATGATAAAAGTATCTATCTTACAGTGTTACAGTGAGAATTAAATGAGAGACTATCCTATTAAGCAGTTTGCACAGTTCCAAGCATTTAACAGTACTCAAGGAATACTGGTTGGTATCAACATTAATGTAATGGGATAAGTCTTAAATATTTTGTTTTTTAACACATTAATTTTTTTCATTTATAAAGCTTTTTTATTGTGATGAAATATACATAACAGAAAATTTTCATTTTAACAATTTTTAAGTGTATAATTCAATGTCATTATATTCACAATGTCATACAGTCATCACCATTATTTCCAAAACTTTTTCATCACCCCATACTGAAAGTCTTTACCTATTAAGCACTAACCCTCATCGCCCACTTTCCCCAGCCCCTGGTGACCACTAATCTATTTTCTGTCTCTATGAATTTGCTCATTCTAGATATTTCATATAAGTGGAATCATACAATATTTGTCCTTTTATGTCTGGCTTGTTTTGCTTAGTGTGTTTTCAAGGTTCATTCATTTTTATGGCTGACTATTCCATTGTGTACATATATAAGATTTTATTTATCCATTCATCTGATGATAGACAACGTGGATCATATTCACCTTCTAGGTTATTGTGAATAATGCTGCTGTGGGCATTCATGTAGAAGTATTTGAGTCCATCTGTTCAATTATTTGGATATATAACAAGTGGAATTGTTGGGTCATATTGTTGGTAATTCCACGTTTAATTTTTTGAGGAACTGCCAAGCTGTTTCCACAGCAGCTGTGTAATTTCACGTTCCCATTAGCTATGTATGAGGATTCTGATTTCTCTACATCCTCAGCAATATTTCTTCTCTCTCTCTCTCACTTTTGTTATAGCCAACCTAGTGCATGTGAAGTGGTGTCTCATTGTGGTTTTGATTTGCATTTCCTAATGACTAATGATTGGAATACGTTTTCATGTGCCTGCTGATTGTGTGTGTATATATATATAATTTTGAGACAGGGTCTTGCTCTATTCCCCAGGCTGGAGTGCAGTGGTGCAAACTCAGCTCACTTCAACCTCTGCCTCCTGGGTTCACATGATCCTCCCACCTCAGTTTCCAGAGTAGCTGGGATTATAGGCATGTGCCACCATACCTGGCTAATTTTTGTATTTTTTGTAGAGACGGGATCTCACCATGTTGCCCAGGCTGATCTTGAACTCCTGGCTGCAATCCACCCACCTTGGCCTCCCAAAGTGCTGGGATTACAGGTGTGAGCCACTGCACACCCAGCCTCATTTATATATTTTCTTTGGAGAAGTGTCTATTCAAGTCCATCACCCATTTTATCCTTCCTTCCTCCATCCCTCACCTTTCCCTTCCCCTCCCTCCTCCCTTCCTCCCCTCCCTCCCTCCACCCTACTCCTTCCCTTTCCTTTCCCTCCCTCCCTCCCTCCCTCCCTTCCTTCCTTCCTTCCCTTTCTTTCATTTGCATTTCTTTTTTTTTATTGAGATAGCATCTCACTGTGTTACCCAGGCTGGAGTGCAGTGGCACACTCAGCTCACTGCAGCATCAATCTTCCAGGCTCAAGTGATCCTCCACCTTATCCTCTTGAGTAGCTGGGACTACAGGCATGTACCACTCTGCCCAGCTAATTTTTTTTTCCTTTTTTTGTAGAGACAGGGGTCTCACCATGTTGCCAGGCTGGTCTCAGACTCCTGGGCTCAAGTAGTACTCCCATTCAGCCTGCCAAAGTGTTGGGATTACAGGTATGAACCACTACCTCAGCCCATTGTCCATTTAAAAAATTTAAATGGGCCATTTAAAACCCATTTAAAAAATTGGGTTGTCCCTGCACATGTGCCCCTGATTCTAAAATAAAAGTTGAAATTATAAAATAAAAATAATTGAATTGTCTATTTGTCATTGAGTCAGAGTTCGTTATATATTCTGAATAGTAAACCCCAATTACTTAAGTGGTTTGCAGATATTTTCTCCCACTCTGTAGGGGTGTTTTTTCATACTCTTGACAGTGTGCTTTAATATACAAATGTTTTTAATTTTCCATGGTATATATGTATCACATTTTCTTTATCCAGTCTATCATTGATGGGCATTTAGGTTGATTCCATGTCTTTGCTATTGTGAATAGTGCTGCAATAATCTGTATAACAAACTCCCATGACACAAGTTTACCTATGTAACAAACCTACATTCGTACCCCTGAACTTAAAATGAAAGTTAAAAAACCCAAATATTTTTAATTTTAATGAATGCCATTTACCTATTTTTTCTTTTGTTGCTTGTGCTTTTGGGACCATATTTAAAAAGCTGTTGCCAAAAAAGAGAGAAACTATTGCCAAATACACAGTCATGAGAATTTGCCCATGTTTTCTTCTAAGATTAAGAAACTTTTATAGTTTTAGCTCTTAATTTTAGGTCTTTGATCAATTTTAAGTTAATTTTTGTATCTGGTGTAAGGTGAGGTCCAGCTTCATTCTTTTGCCATTGAGTATGATGTTAGATGTGAGTTTTTTTGTATATGGCCTTTATCACTGTGAGGAATTTTTCTTCTATTCCTAGTTCAAGTGGTTTTATCATGAGAAGGTATTGGACTTTGTCAAATGCTTTTACTCTATCAACTGAGGTCATTATATGTTTTTTTCTTTCATTCTGTTAATATGGCATATTACATTGATTAACTTTGTATGTTGAACCATCCTTGCATTCCTGGGGGTTAATCCTACTCACTTGATTGTGGTAAGTAATTCTTTTAATATTAAGCATTTAATATGCTTGCTGGTAGTTTGTTGAGGATTATTAACATCTATGTTCATAAGGGATATTGGTCTGTAGTTTTCTTTACTTGTGTGTTTGTCAGGCTTTGATAACAGGGTAATGGTGGCCTTGTAGAGTGAGTAAATGTTTCTTCCCTTTAAGTTTTTTGGAATAGTTTTAGAAGGATTGGTGTTAATTCCTTTTTAAATGGCAGAATTGGTAGAACTCATCAGTGAAGTCATCCAGTTCTGGACTTTTCTTTGTTGAAACATTTTTGATTACTGATTTAGTCTAGGTTTTTGATTACTGTTTCAATCTCCTTACTTGTTTTAGATCTATTCAGATGTTCTGTTTCTTCTTGAGTTAGTTTAGGAGTTTGTGTGTTTCTAGGAAATTATCCATTTCCTCTAGGTTATCCAATTTTTTGGTTTACAGTTATTCATAGTATTCTCTTTTAAGCCTTTTTATTCCTATAAAATCAGTAGTAATGTCCCCTTTTTCATTTCTGATTTGAGTAATTTGGGTCTTCTCTCTTTTTTTATCTTAGTTAATTTGCCTAAAGGTTTGTTAATTTTGTTAATCTTTTCAAAGAACTAATTTTTGATATTGTTGATTTTCCCTTTAAAAAAATTTTTTTTTAAATTTCTTTTTTTTGATTTTTTGTGAGGGTCTTGCTGTGTCACCCAGGCTGGAGTGCAGTGGTATGATCAGCTCACTGCAGCCTTGCCCTCCTGGCTCAAGCAATCCTCCCACCTCAGCCTCCCAAGCAGCTGAGATTACAGGTATGAGCCACTGCAGCCAGCCTGTTGATTTTCTCTTATTTTTTTCTCTATTTTATGTATCTCTAATATTTATTATTTTCTCCCTTCTGATAGCTTTGGGTTTGTTTTGCATTTTTTATTTGTAGTTCCTTAAGTTTAGGTTATTGATTTGAAATCCTTCTGTTTTTTTTTTTTTTTTTTTTTTTTTTAACCTGAGACGGAGTCTTACTCTGTCGCCCAGGCTGGAGTGCAGTGGCGTGATCTTGGCTCACTGCAAGCTCTGCCTTTTGGGTTCACACCATTCTCCTGCCTCAGACTCCCCAGTAGCTGGGACTACAGGCGCCTGCCACCATGCCCAGCTAATTTTTTTTGTATTTTTAGTAGAGTCGGGGTTTCACCATGTTAGCCAGGATGGTCTCGATCTCCTGACCTCGTGATCTGCCCACCTTGGCCTCCCAAAGTGCTGGGATTACAGGCATGAGCCACCACGCTCAGCCCCTTCTTTTTTTAACGTAGGCATTTATAGCTATAAATTTCCCTTTCACTTTTGCTGCATCTCGTAAGTTTTGGTATGTTATATTTTCATTTTTATTTGTCGCAGTGTATTTCCAAGTTTCCCTTGTGATTTCTTTTTGATCTGATTGTTTGTTTAAGCATGTGCTATTTAATTTCCAGATATTTGTGAATTTTCCAGTTTTCCTTTAGTTGTTTTCTTGGTTTCTTTCTATTGTGATTGGAAAACATATTTTGTATAATTTTAGTCTTTTAAAATTTGTTCTGTGGCTTAACTTACAGTCTGTCCAGGAAAATGTTTCTTGTGCACTTGAGAAGAATCCGTTCTGTTATTGTTGGGTAGAGGATTCCGTACATTTGTTAGGTGTTATTAGTTTGTAATGTTGTTGAAGTCCTCTATGTCCTCGGTGATCTTCTATTTGGTTGTTCTATTATTGAAAGTGAGTTATTGAAATCTTTAACTATGATTATAGAACTATATATTTTGCCCTTTAGTTCTGTCAATTTTTGCTTTATTTGTTTTGGGACTTTGTGCATATGTATATAATTGTTATATCTTGATGAGTTAAGCCTTTTTTCAACATACAATATCTTAATTTGTCTTTTGTAACTTTCTTTCCTTTTTTTTGAGACGGAGTCTTGTGCTGTTGCCCAGGCTGGAGTGCAGTGGCATGATCTTGGCTCACTGCAAGCTCCCCCTCCCAGGTTCACGCCATTCTCCTGCCTCGACCTCCTGAGTAGCTGGGACTACAGGCATCTGCCACCATGCCTGGCTAATTTTTTGTATGTTTAGTAGAGACAGGGTTTCACCTTGTTAGCCAGGATGGTCTCGATCTCCTGACCTTGTGATCTGCCTACCTCGGCCTCCCAAAGTGCTGGGATTACAGGCATGAGCCACCGCACCCGGCCTGTCTTTTGTAACTTTCTTTGGCTTAAATCTATTTTTTTTTCTGATAATAATATAGCCAACTCAGCTCTCTTTTGGTTACTGTTTGCATGGGATATAGTTTTCTATCCTCTTACTTTCAACCTGTTTGTGTCTTTGTATCTTCTTAAAACCCTGAAATGCCTTTCTGGTATATTTAGAATTAAATCTAAACTGTTTACCATGATCTACAGGGTCTTACACAATCTGTTCCTTGCTTAACAATCTTAATTTAAATGAGACAAACTCTTTTAATAAAGTAATCCAGTAGAGTCACAGGATTAATCACAACCTTTAATGATAAAGGGAAGATAAAGGAAATTTCAAAGCTCTTTCACTTACTTAACAAAGAAACTTCCCAAGTAGCATACTTTTCAGAAAATAGATAATAATTCAAATACTATTACGAGAGCAGTAAGTTATTAAATGAAATAATCAAGAATGGAGAATTTTAGGAGTTATAAGTTACTTTTGTAGGACAAAGCAACAATTACTGATTTCTTGTGTTTTTACAAATGACACTTTTATTATAACAGAAAACAGAATATATGTTTTCAGATGTTCTCAAATGAGGTAGCAGAGTAAGTTGGATATTTTGTGAATCTCTCGATATAACACTTTATTAAATATAGTAATTATAAAAATAGTACAATAATAAGTAACATATTACTTATACAATGTATAGTATATATAGTATATATTATTATATATTAATATAGGCACTATTCTGTTTTTAATATGTACTTAAAATTAATAAGATGTAATATAAAATTAATAAGATAATATTAATAAGTTATTGTTTAACAATAATAAATAACATACACAATGTACAGCATCTATGGTATATGTTGTTATATATTAATATAGGCACTATTCTAAGTTTTTAATACGTACTAACTCTTAATCCTTCTAATAACTCATGAGATAGGTACTATTATTATCATAATTTTACAATGAGATTTGAGGTACAGAAAGTTAAGTAATCTGCCCAAATCACACATTTAGTATGTAGCAGCTCAGAATTTGAATCCATGCAGTCTGGCTCCAGGATCTAGAGCTGTACCTCACACATAAAGGCACTTAATATTTGTTGAGTGAGTGAATAAAAAAAGTAGCTGAACCTCAGGGATTTAAGTGTCTAGTTCAAGGTCACAGAACAATTAAATGGAGGAGTCTGGATTTGAATCCAGAGCTGGAATTTTAATAACTGAGCTGTATGGCCTAGCTTGCAATGTGAGACAGACATACTCACAGTTAATCATAACACTAGGTGGCAGGAAGTGAGAGCTGTGTTACATATGCAAAGTAGGTAGGGAAGGTACTGAATAATTCCCGAATTTGGTCAGAGGTGCTTTTATACTTCAAACTGTGACTGTTCCATTGTCCTTAAGAGTCTAGGAAAGGGAAGGGGAAATTCTGTCGTTGTTAGCTTCTCTAATGAAAGGTGTGGAAGGGAAGTTGAAGTAATCATTAGGCAGTTGATATTTGGGAATGCATATGAATCTAAAATGCCCATTTTGTTCCGTTTTTATGTAACTGGGTACATTTGAGGCATTACTATACAGCAGATGTTAGATAAATGTAAGTGTGCTTTAAAAGTTGCAGTGGTATTCAAAACCCTTCATGGTCTGGCCAGACCTCTCTCTTCAACCTTTTCTCCTGTTATTACCCATACTGAATCCTTCTTTACATGATCAGGTTCATTCACTGACCCTCTAATAGACCTTTCACTCTCCTTTCCTTAGCTCTTGCCTCATGAGGCCTGTAACCTGCCTTGTGACAAATCTGTGATATTCACAAACTAATCATTTTGGATTTGGAAGGGACTTTGAAGAACTTCTGATTCAGAGAGCTGAAGAGACTTGTCCAAGGTCATACAACAGTTAATGGCAAAGCCAGTGAAGAACCCAGCTCTCCTGGACCTTATAGTCACAGGCTCTGTGCATAGCCCCACTCTATCTCATTTTTGGGTTGCTAGAAGGAGTCTCCAAAGGATTTGCTGAGAAGGCCTCTGGGTCTCCTCTGACATCAACTTAAAAATATGTGCCAGTGTGAATTTTCATATACAGAGTATGGGATTTTTCAGGAAAGTCACGTCTGTTTTATTTACTCAGTGTAGTCCCTGACAGCAATATGCAAATAGAGAATTTATTTAGTCTGCCTCCCCTGGTGACTTGCCAATCTCTGAGGGGGTGGAACACATTTTATGTTTCCCATGGGTTTTGTTTGTCATAGCTTGGTTTCCCATAGTAAAAAGAGCCCTGGGTAGCCCCATATGGGACAAAGCTGGAGATTATTAAATGCTTCTGTCTTATGTACACTAGGCATTCATATTTACTTATGGAGTTGTTCCATGCATTAAATTTAGAGCTTGTTAAAACCTACCACTCAAAAGTTAGTTTCACGGGTATTCTGATGAACCACAGTATTTGACAAAGGAAAGCTATTCTTTTAGTTATAGTGTAAGAAATTGGAACCTGGATTTTATTTACAATTTAGGAATCTCTCTTAGTAAAGCATACTCCCTTAGGTAAGTAATAAAAGCCTTGATTTTTATTGAGAACTATGAACTCTTTTACTTCTGTTTTTCCTGTGCCAACATGCTCTTTATCAGAGTGGATGTTCTTGGTCCAAAAATCCAGCATCATCCTGCCTTTCTGTATATAATTTGGGTATAGTACTCCTCTGAGATAGCTCATTTATGTGCTATCACTTTCCATGGTATCAGTAAAGAGCAATGGAATCCTTTCATGAAAAGAATCAATTTTCTTTCTTCTTCCTAACAGGTTCTGTCTTCTATCAAAAAGAACAACAATTGCAACCCTGTTGAAATTCTGAAATGATATTTCTTTTTTTTTTCTGATGATAAATGAAGATCCAGGGAATCCATATGAGCTCAACAACTAGGAGAGAAACATAGTTTTTGTAAATTGTGATTTTGATGACTTAGTTATCTTTGGTAGTTTGAAGTGTAGAATCTAAACAGGCATTTTTTGAAAGGGAAATACTTGCCTAGAACATAGTCTCCTTTAAACATTTCATGATTATTCTTATTCTCCATTGCAGAACACTCTTTTGGTACTTTCAGTAAAGGAATGACCTGAACCTTTCATTTACTGAACACCTACTGTGTGACAGCTACTTTTACATACTCTCCCTTCAATAAGTTTATGAAGTGGCTATTTTAATAGTAAATTAGAAGAAGAAATAGAAAGTCCAAATAATTTGCCTAAGATCACACAGTAAGTTTAGTGGAACTGGGATTTAAATCCAGATTTATTGATTTCTGTGGCCATGAATGCTAGTTGCCTACTCAGTATTCATCCTTTTTTCATCCTGATAAACAGAAGCCCACATTTTATTTGAGGCAGCAAAATTATGTATTTCTCAGCCTCCTTTTTAGCTAGGAGTGGCCATGAGATATAAGTGGAAATTTTTGGATGGGAAATCCAGGAATGACACAGCCATTCCTGTATAGAAATTAGGTATGATGACTGGAGTTCCAGCAGCTGTCTTCTGAATGTGAGAGAACCCTGAGAATGGAAGCTGCATGCCAATGATAGGGCAGAGTGTAAAAATAGGAATTTGAGACCCTGGTGATAGGGTCAAATTTTATTTTTTAAAAATTATTATTTTGTGAGGACATAAGTAATATGTATTTATTATAGAACATTTTGGAAATATAGAACACTATAAAGAATAACAGAAAATCACTTGTAAATCCAGAAACAGCCATGTCTATCTTCCAAACTTTTTTTTCACATGCATATTACTTTACAAATGTTCATTATCAAAATATTGTGAAGAGTCTTCTATCCCTAATTTATTAAGTTTGCAGTTTTGCATATCAGTTTTTTTTTTTTTTTTTTTTGAGAGGGAGTCTCGCTCCCAGACTGGAGTACAGTGGCGCGATCTTGGCTCACTGAAACCTCCGCCTCCTGGGTTCAAGCGATTCTCTCGCCTCAGCCTCCTGAGTAGCTGGGATTACAGGTGCGCACCACCACGCCAAGCTAATTTTTGTATTTTAGTAGAGACAGGGTTTCATCATGTTGTCCAGGCTGGTCTTGAACTCCTGACCCTAAGTGATCCACCTGCCTTGGCCTCCCAAAGTGCTGGGATTACAGGCGTGAGCCACCATGCCCGGCCGCATATCAGTTTTTTTAAAAGTGAGGTCCACACATGTTAAGCTGTATTATATGATATTTTTCCATCTTTTCTTAGGAATTTGTGGGTTTATATTTTACTGTATTGTGCATATGACATTTATACACAGAAAAACCACCATGATACACAAACGCTAAATGTTTTTATTAGAAATATTAAATAGAAATGCTACATATTTCTATTAGATGCCTGTAACATGGAGGGTCGGGAGGGGATCTTAAGTTCCCTCAGGGGTAGAAGGGCTCATGGAGCTCTCACTTGGTGAAAAACCAACACTCTTCCACTATTTCTGTCTTTTCATGGTTTCATCCAGTGACACTGAGCTCACTACCTCATAAGGGATTCATTTTATCTTTGTTGAACAGCTTTACTTGGCAGACTTTTCCTTAAACTGAGCCAAAAACCTTATTTTCGTTTACTTTTTACTTGTTGGTTCTAACTCTGCTGTCCACAGCAAAACAGAATAAAATGCTGATTTTCTCAAAGTGGTGTAAACATCCCAGGAGAATTAATGAGATTATCTATGGTTTTTAACTTATATTTTTGCATGCATGTGCACCTGTGTGCACAATTTTGACTTTATAAAGCCATAAGATGATATGATAGAGATGATTGTTTTTATGTTATTTATATCCCCACGGGATATCTTGATTTGAACGGGTGATAAATTAACTCCTAGCAATTTTCAAATGTCTGCCTTAAGTAGTTTCCCTGTAATTAGATAAAAACCCACAAGATGGCAGTCACTATCCATTGTCGCCTCTGTCCCATTCTTTCAGAATTGACCTGGTAATTTAGCTTATGACTGGGTAATATAGCACCATAATTTAATATTTCTATTCTAAGCGGGTGACAGAAGTATAAATGGTTTCAATCAGCAGTTTTGGCGTTATTTTAAATTTACAAATATGCTCAAATATTATTATAGTAGGATAATATTTTTATATTACAGTATTCTTTCCAGTACCTAAGTCACTCCACGGCATCTAATTTGACATACTAGGGTACTTCTGTAGAACTAAATGGCACCCCTGTGGCTTGAATAAAAAAGAATTTGCCTGTTTTTGTATTTGTGTCATTGTGCCTGATTTAACAACCTCTGCAGAGAACTCAATATTGTTTCTTGTCTGCTATTACTAATAGCAGCTTATCCTATTTATCAGTTATGGGGATTTCAAGACTCCAAGCGTAGATTAAAAAAAAGATGTAAAAAGAATTCTGGAATGCATAAAAGAACATTATAAATATAATTCGTATGAGGTTATGAATGTTCAGATGAGAGCACTAGAGAAAATAAGGGGCTAATAGGTTATTTGAGACATATATATGAAAGAGATTAATGTGTAGTGAAAAACCCTGGGCTGGAAGCAAAATTCTTTAAAAAGTGATGGCTAGACAACCATGCCACACAAACACCCAACTATGCAATTTTATTACTTTTCTATAGAGTTTTCTTTGCTAATGAAATAAAGACATTTAGTGATACAAAGAATAATTATTGGGTTGTAGTGTAAATAGGCATTAGTAGAGAAAATGTATATGAAGCACCGAGTATATAGTGTCTGGCTCACTGTAGTTGTTACTAAATGGAGTTGTTATGATTGTTGTTCCAACGAATATTGTATTTATATGTAATAATTCAAAAATTAGTTTTATTCATTTTTCAACATAATTATTGGGCATTTACTACAGGCGAAGCACTATGTGTGATAAAAGGAATAAGATCCTAATGTTTTGGGTATATATACTACCATTATTAAATATTACTAATAAAACCAAATTTTCAGTTATTTCTATTTGGCTGTTTTTTTCTTATCTATGTCCATGATACGATGTGCTTTTAATAAGTCATTAACATTACCAGGATTGCACATCACATACACACACCCACACCCACCCCTTCATGTAATAATCTCTTCCCTTCATTCCCAATAGAAGGGTTCTCTTACAGTCCCATGCCCTAGATGTTCTGGCCTGAAGGAGCCTGCTCTGAGCTGGTACCAGAGATGATGTTGCCTGCCTTAGGGGAAACACTACAATCATTTTGTTGGGGGCAAGGGTATGGAGAAGACCCAAGACGGATGTTACTGTTGGAAAGAGGGAGGATTCAAAGAGCATGGGCTTCACATATCCTTGGGATGGAGTTTAGGATTAGAAGAATGCCGTAAAATGGGTCAGGATTAAATTCAAAAGGAAAGAAGGGAGAGGAGCTGTTGCTGGGATGGTTTTTAGCCCAGACAACCAAAGCAGGTAATACTTAAGAAGGGTGACCATAACATGTTCCAGTTTGTCTAAGAAAGTCCACTTTATGTGTTGGTCATTGTTTACTTATTAGTAATATTCCCTTCAGTGCTCATAAATGTCCCAAGTTAAATAATACATTATGTGGTCACTGTACCCTTGGGGTACTAAGACGTACGAGTCAAGAAGGACTTCCTGCTTCATGCCATCTGCATGAGCACCTGCAAAGAAAACAGAGATGTACTAAAGAGGAATAATAAAAAGGGTTAACTGTAAACGGTAAAATAAACTTTAAAGATTTCACCTCAGTTTGTCTTTATCTTAATCGAAAAAATTAGAAGCTGAATGCAAAAGTACTTCAGTTCTCTAACAGCCATTACCTTTTTTCTCTTCCCAGATATTTTTGGAAGGAACTAATACTGGATTTGGGGGGAACTGTTTTCTAAATTTGAGTCACTCACTTGCTACAGTAACTTGTTCTCTGGCCCTGCAGGAGCCCAAATTTCTACATCTGTAAAATGAAGGGCTAGATTAAATTATTTCTTAGGTACCTTGCAGTTCTGATATTAAATAATAAAATTTTCATGAGAACTGGACTGGAAAAGGGTGCCCTTGAAGAATTTTATTCTAGTTTAAAACGTTACACCTATGTAAGTGAGACAGCTAAGTCTGCTTTGGCGAAGTATATTTCCCAGATGAATGTTGTATGGTTTGACTTTATGCTATATGAAAACTTCCTCCAGTTTACTCTGGAAATTTAAAAAGAAGTTATTTTTCAGACAGCTGCAGTACCATCCTTGTTAGAGAATTTCATTAGCTGCATTTAGCCTCCTAATAACTAATCTCAGACAGAATGGGAAGTTCTGAAAGCTTCCAGCTGCTCCTGGAAATGTTCTCTCTCTTTTTTGTGGTTGAATTTTTTTTTAACGTATATGACAGTCAAATTTATTTTTAAATGGTTAACACTTTAAATATTTGGACACAGACTACAGGCTTGACATATTTAAGTATAAAAATAATTTGAAGGAAAACCTTACTCCTCTATTAATGCTTTTTAATTTTTGTTAATTTTTATGAAAACTGAGTCTTAAAAATAATTATTTCTTTTCTGTTTGAAGGGTTTTTTTTAAATTTTACTTTATTTTATTTTAAGTTCCAAGATACATGTGCAGGACGTGCAGGTTTGTGGACTTCTTGCCTTACACTGTTTCTTTTTATTTTGAGACAGAGTCCCAGGCTGGAGCACAGTGGTAGGATCCTTTGCTCACTGCAACCTCCGTCTCCCAGGTTCAAACGATTCTCCTGCCTCAGCCTCCCGAGTAGCTGGGATTACAGGCGCAGGCCACCACGCCTGGCTAATTTTTTGTATTTTTAGTAGAGACAGGGTTTTGCCATGTTGGCCAGGTTGGTCTCAAACTCCTGGCCTCAAGCGATCTGCCTGCCTTGGCCTCCCAAAGTGCTGGGATTACAGGCGTGAGCCACCGCACCTGCCTGCTTTACACTGTTAATAGGCATGTAGCTATTCTTTACTTATACAAATGTTACCAGGGAAGTTATATGACTCCAGATTGATTAATGTTGGGTTTGCCTTTCTCTTCTGTAAAGGCTTGTTTCAGACTGGATCTTAGAAATTATGTCCCTGGCAGCAGAGATAGTGCACACATTCTCACTGGCCAAAGGATCATGGCTTCTTTTTGTCTCTGTCATGGTTAAAGGGCAATCCCTCCCACCTGTAGTACTCACTTTTAAAAGAGAGTTCTGTCAGTTACTGGATCATTTATTTGTCCCTCCCTGCATCTGTTTGTCTATCCATCTTTCCATCCATCATCCATCTGTCTGTCCTTCTGCCCATTTTATATGTGTTCTGCCTAAATATATGCATCAAGCAATTCCAGGAGAGAAGACTTATGTCCTCTGTTTCTCTTGGAAACTAGTCTCATATCTTTAGGGGTTGGTTTATGTCTTGGACCTGATTCTCCCAAATTTCAGTGCCTAGATTTAGAACCCAATTTTCTCAGATAACATTTTCCTTGTCTATCATTTGTAAATTATTGCATTTAGGCCAAAGGCAGAGGCAGAAGGAAAATTCTCAGACCATGATTTTTTTTCTTCAACTAAAAAAATTTTATTTATTTATTTATTTCAATAGGTTTTTGGGGAACAGGTAGTGTTTGGTTATGTGAATAAGTTCTTTAGTGGTGATTTTTGAGATTTTGATGCAACCATCACCTGAACAGTGTACACTGTAGCCATTGTGTAGTCTTTTATCCCTCATGCCCCTCACTCTTTTCCCTGATTCCCCAAAGTCCATTGTATCATTCTTATGCCTTTGCATCCTCACAACTTAGCTCCCACTTATGACTGAGAACATACAAAGTTTAGTTTTCTATTCCTGAGTTACTTCACTTAGAATAATCCTCTCCAATTTCATCCAGCTTGCTGCAAATGTCTTTATTTTGTTCCTTTTTATGGCTGAGTAGTATTCCATGGTAGATATATACCACAATTTCTTTATCCACTTGCTGATTGATGGGCATTTGGGCTGGTTCCATATTTTTGCAATTTTGAATTGTGCTGCTATAAACATGCATGTACAAGTATCTTTTTCAAGTAATGACTTCTTTTCCCCTGGATACCCAGTAGGGGGATTGCTGGATCACATGGCAGTTCTTCTTTTAGTTCTTTAAGGAATCTCCACAGTTTTCCATAGTGGTTGTACTAGTTTACTTTCCCACCAGCAGTGTAAAAGTGTTCCCTTTTCACCACATCCATGCCAACATCTATTATTTTTTTATTTTTTTTTATTATGCCCACACTTGCAGGAGTAAGGTGGTATCGCATTGTGGTTTTGATTTGCATTTCCCTGATAATTAGTGATGTTGAGCAATTTTTCATATGTTTGTTGAACATTTGTCTATCTTCTTTTAAGAATTGTCTATTCATGTCCTTAGTCTACTTTTTGATGGGATTTTTTTTTTCTTGCAATTTGTTTAAGTTCCTTATAGATTCCGGATATCAGTCCTTTGTCAGATGTATAGATTGTGAAGATTTTCTCCCACTCTGTGGGCTGTCTGTTTACTCTGCTGATTGTTTTGCTGTGCAGAAGCTTTTCAGTTAATTAATTCCCATGTATTTATCTTTGTTTTTGTTGTATTTGCTTTTGGGTTCTTGGTTGTGAAGTCTTTGCCAAAGCCAATGTCTAGAAGGGTTTTTCCAATGTTTCCTTCTAGAATTTTTATGGATTCAGGTTGTCTTTGTCCATCTTGAGTTGATTTTTTTTTTTTTTTGAGATGGAGTCTCACTCTGTTGCCCAGGCTGGAGTGCAGTGGTGCAATCTGGGCTCACTGCAACCTCTACCTCCCGGGTTCAAGCAATTCTCTGCCTTAGCCTCCTGAGTAGCTGGGATTACAGGCGTCTGCCACCATGCCTGGCTAATTTTTGTGTTTTTAGTAGAGACGGGGTTTCACCATGTTGGCCTGGCCGGTCTCGAACTCCTGACTTCGTGATCCACCTACCTCGGCCTCTCAAAGTGTTGGGATTACAGGCGTGAGCCACTGCACCCAGGTGTGTTGATCTTTGTATAATGTGAGAGAAGAGGATCCAGTTTCATTCTTCTACATGTGGCTTGCCAGTTATCCCAGCACCATTTGTTGAATAGGGTGTCCTTTCCCCACCTTATGTTTTTGTTTGCTTTGTTGAAGGTCAGGTGGCTTTTTGGCTTTATTTCTGGGTTCTCTATTCTGTTCCATTGGTCTGTGTCCCTGTTTTTATACCAGAACCATGCAGTTTTGGTGGCTATGGCCTTATTGTATAGTTTGAAGTTGGGTAATGTAATATCTCCAGATTTGTTCTTTTTGCTTAGCCTTGCTTTGGCTATGTGGTCTCTTTTTTGGCTCCATATGAATTATAGGTTTGTTTTCTCTAGTTCTGTGAAGAATGATGGTGGTACTTTGATAGGAATTGCATTGAATTTGTAGATTGCTTTTGGCGGTATGATGATTTTCACAATATTGATTCTACCCATCCATGAGCATGGGATGTGTTTCCATTTGTTTGTGTCATCTGTGATCTCTTTCAGCAGTGTTTAGTAGTTTTCCTTGTAGAGGTCTTTCATTTCCTTGGTTAGGTATATTCCCAAATTTTGTTTTGTTTTGTTTTGTTTCACAGCTATTGTAAAAGGGGTTGAGTTCTTGATTTGATTCTCAGCTTGGTTGCTGCTGGTGTATAGCAGAGCTACTGATTTCTGTATATTAATTTCGTATCCTGAAACTTTGCTGAATTCCTTTACTAGCTCTAGGAGCTTTTTGGATGAGTCTTTTGGGTTTTCTATGTATACAGTCATGTCATCAGCAAACATTGACAGTCTGATGTCCTGTTTACTGATTTGGATGTCCTTTATTTCTTCCTCTTGTCTGATTGCTCTGGCTAGGGCTTCCAGTATTATGTTGAATAGAAGTGGTGAGAGTGGGCATCCTTGTCTTGTTCCAGTTCTCAGGGGGAGTACTTTCTGCTTTTCCCCATTCGGTATTATGTTGGTTGTGGGCCTGTCATAGATGACTTTTATTATATTAAGGTATGTCCCTTCTATGCCAATTTTGTTGAGGGTTTTAATCATAAAGAGATGCTGGATTTTCTCAAATGCTTTTTCTGCATCTATTGAGATGATAATGTGATTTTTGTTTTTAATTCTATTTATGTGGTGTATCACATTTATTGTCTTGCATGTATTAAACCATCCCTGAATTCCTGGAATGAAACCCCCTTGGTCATGGTGGATTATCTTTTTGATACACTGTTGGATTCAGTTAGCTAGTGTTTTGATAAGGATTTTTGCATCTGTGTTCATCAGGGATATTGGTCTGTAGTTTTTCTTTTTTTGTTATATCCTTTCCTGTTTTGGTATTAGGGTGATACTGGCTTCATAGAATAATTTAGGGAGGATTCTCTCTTTATCTTGTGGAATAGTGTCAGTAGGATTGGTACAAATTCTTCTTTGAATGTCTGATAGACTTCAGCTGTGCATCTGTCTGGTCCTGGACTTTTTTTTGTTGACAATTATTAAATTACCATTTCAATCTCACTGCTTGTTATTGGTCTGCTCAGAGTATCTATTTCTTCCTAGTTTAACCTAGGAGGATTGCATATTTCCAGGAATTTATCCATCTCCTCTAGGTTTTCTAGTTTATGCACGTAAAGGTGTTCATAGTATGATCTTTTTGTATTTGAATAATTTTTTGTATTTCTGTGGTATTGGTTCTGTGGTATCTCCCATTTCATTTCTAATCGAGCTTATTTGGATTTTCTCTCTTCTTGTCTTGGTTAACCTTGCTAATGTTCTATCAATTTTATTTATATTTTCAAAGAACCAGCTTTCTGTTTCATTTATCTTTTGTACTTTTTTGTTTCAACTTAATTTAGTTCTCTGATCTTGTTATTTCTTTTCTTCTGCTGGGTTTGGGTTTGGTTTATTCTTGTTTCTTTACTTCCTTGAGATGTGACCTTAAGATTGTCTATTTGTGCTCTTTCAGACTTTTTCACGTAGGCATTTAAGGCTGCTATGACCTTTCCTCTTAGCACTGCCTGTGCAGTATCCCAGAGGTTTTGCTAGGTTATGTCACTATTATTGTTCAGTTCAAAGAATTTTTAAATTTCCATGTTGATTTCATTGTTGACCCAATGATCGTTTAGGAGCAGGTTATTTAATTTCCACATATTTGCATGGTTTTGAGGGTTCCTTTCGGAGTTGATTTCCAATTTTATTCTGCTGTGGTCTGAGAGAGTACTTGATATAATTTTAGTTTTCTTAAATTTATTGAGGCTTGTTTTGTGGCCTATGATATGGTGTATCTTGGATTATGTTCCATGTGATGATGAAAAGAATGTGTATTCTGCAGTTGTTGGGTAGAATGTTCTGAAACATTAAGTTCATTAAGTTCTAGCGTAACATTAAGTTCATTTGCTCGAGGGTATAGTTTAAATCCATTGTTTCTTTGTTGACTTTCTGTCTTGATGACCTGTCTAGTGCTGTTAGTGGAGTATTGAAGTCCCCTGCTATTATTGTGTTGCTATCTATTTCATTTCTTAGGTCTAGTATTAATTGCTGTATAAATTTGGGAGCTCCAGTGTTAGTTACATATATATATTTAGGACTGATATTTTTGTGTTGGACAAGTTATTTTTATCATTATATAATGTCCCTCTTTGTCTTTTTTAACTGCTGTTGCTTTAAAGTTTGTTTTGTCTGATATGAGAATAGTCACTTCTGCTTACTTTCAGTGTCCATTTGTATGGAATATCTTTTTTCACTCCTTTACCTTAATTTTATATGGGTCTATGTGTTGTTAGGTGAGTCTCTTGAAGACAGCAGATACTCGATTGGTGAATTCTTTTTTTTTTTTTGACGAAGTCTCGCTCTTGTCCCCCAGGCCGGAGTGCAGTGGCATGATCTTGGCTCACTGCAACCTCTGCCTCCCAGGTTCAAGTGATTCTCCTGCCTTGGACCCTCAAGTAACTGGGATTGCAGGTACCTGCCACCATGCCCAGCTAATTTTTGTATTTTTTTTAGTTGAGATGGGGTTTCATCATGTTGGCCAGGCTGGTCTCGAACTCCTGACCTCAGGTGATCCACCCGCCTCGGCCTCCCAAAAGTACTGGGATTACAGGCGTGAGCCACCATGCCTGGCCCGTGAATTCTTATCCATTCTGCCATTCTTTATCTTTTAAGTGGAGCATTTAGGCCATTTACCTTCAATGTTAGTATTGAGATGTGAGGTACTATTCTCTTCATCATGCTATTTGTTGCCTGAATACCTTGTTATTTATTTATTATTTATTTAATTAATTAATCAATTTATTTATTGTGTTTCTGTTTTGTAGGTCCTGAGAGATTTATGCCTTTTTTTTTTTTTTTTGAGACAGAGTCTTTCTCTGTTGCCAATGCTGGAGTGCAGAGGCCCGATCTCGGCTCACTGCAACCTCTGTCTCCCAGGTTCAAGTGATTCTTCTGCCTCAGCCTCCCAGGTAGCTGGGATTATAGGTGCACACCACCACACCCGGCTAATTTTTGTATATTTTTTTAGTTGAGACGGGGTTTCACCATGTTGGCCAGGCTGTTCTCGAACTCCTGACCTCATGATCCACCCAGCTCAGCCTCCCAAAGTGCTGGGATTACAGGCGTGAGCCACTGCACCTGGCCGAGATTTATGCTTTAAGGAGGTTCTGTTTTGGTTTATTTGGAGGATTTGTTTCAAGATTTAGTGCTCCTTTTGGCAGTTCTTGTAGTGTTGGGTTGGTAGTGGCAAATTCTCTCATCATTTGTTTGTTGAAACAGGCTGTATCTTTCATTTTTATGAAGGCTTCTTTGCTGGATACAAACTTCTTGGCTGATAATTGTTTCATTTAAGGAGGCTAAAGATAGGGCCCCAATCCCTTCTAGCTTTTAGGGTTTCTGCTGAGAAATCTCTGTTACTCTGATAGATTTTCCTTTATAGGTTACCTGGTACTCTTGCCTCAGAGCTCTTAAGATTCTTTCCTTCATCTTGACTTTAGATAACCTAATGACTATGTGCCTAGGCGATGATCTTTTTGCAATACATTTCCCAGGTGTTTTTTGAGCTTCTTGTATTTGGGTGTTTAGGTCTCTAGCAAGGCCAGGGAAGTTTTCCTCCATTATTCCCTCAAATACATTTTCCAAACTTTTAGATTTCTCTTCTTCCTCAGGAACACCAATTATTCTTACATTTAGTGTTTTTTTTTGTTTGTTTTTTGTTTTTTTTTTTTGATGGAGTCTCGCTCTGTTGCCCAGGCTGGAATGCAGTGGCATGATTTTGGCTCACTGCAACCTCCGCCTCCCAGGTTCAAGCTGTTCTCTTGCCTCAGCCTCCCGAGTAGCTGGGACTACAGGCCCCACCACCACGCTGGCTAATTTTTGTATTTTTAGTAGAGATGGGGTTTCACCATATTGGCCAGGCTGGTCTTGAACTCCTGACCTTGTGATTCACCTGACTCAGCCTCCAAAAGTGTTGGGATTACAGGCGTGAGCCACCATGCCCGGCAGGTTTGGTCGTTTAACATAATCACAAACTGCTTGGAGGCTTTGTTCATTTAAAAAAAATTTTTTTTCTTTGTGTTTGTTGGATTGGGTTAATTTGAAAACCTTATCTTTGAGCTCTGAAGTTCTTTCTTCTGCTTGTTTGATTCTATTGCTGAGACTTTCCAGTATATTTGTATTTCTGTAAGTGTGTCCTTCATTTCCAGAAGTTGTGATTGTTTTTTATTTATGCTATTTCACTGAGGATTTTTCCCCTTGTATCTTGTATCATTTGTTTGTTACCTTTCTCTGGTGTCTCCTTGATTAGCTTAATAATCGACCTTCTGAATTCTTCTGGTAATTCAGGGATTTCGTCTTGGTTTGGATCCATTGCTGGTGAGGTGAGCTAGTGTGATCTTTTGGGGGGTGTTAAAGAACCTTGTTTTGTTATATTACCAGAATTGTTATTCTGGTTCCTTTTCATTTGAGTAGACCATGTCAGAGGGAAGATCTGGGGCTCAAGGGCCGCTGTTCAGATTCTTTTGTCCCATGGGGTGCTACCTTGATGTAGTATTCTCCCCCTTCCCCTAGGGATGTGGCTTCCTGAGAGCTGAACTGTAGTGATTGTTATTTGTCTTCTGGATCTAGTCTCCCAGCAGAGCTGCCGGGCTTCAGGCTGGTACTGGGGAGTGTCTGCACAGAGTCGTGTGATGTGAACAATCTTCAGGTCTCTCAGCCATGGGTAGTAGCACCTGCTTTGTTAGAGGTGGCAGGGAAGTAAAATGGACTCTGTCAGGGTTTTTAGTTGTAGTTTTGTTTATTGTACTCGTTTTGTGTTGATTGGCTTCCTGCCAGGAGATGGTGCTTTCAAGAGAGCATCAGCTGTGGTAGTATAGGGAGGATTAGGCAGTGGGTGGGTCCCTAGAGCTCCCAAGAGATTATGTCCTTTGTCTTCAGCTACAAGGGTGAGTAGAGAAAGACCATCACGTGGGGGCAGGGTTAGGCGTGTCTGAGCTGAGACTCTCCTTGGGTAGGGCTTGTGGTGGCTGCTGTGGGGGATGGGTGTGTTGTTCTCAGGCCAATGGAGTTATATTCTCAGGGGGATTATGGCTGCCTCTGCCGTGCCATGCAGGTCACCAGAGAAGTGTGAGAAAGCCAGCATTATAGGCCTTATTCAGCTCCCATACAGCCCAAAACGTTGGTCTCATTCCCACCATGCCGCCACAACAGCACCCAGTTTATTTCCAGGCAGCAGGTAAGCAGGGCTGAGAACTTGCCTCAGGCAACCAGCCTCCTGGCTGAGAAAGCAAAGCAGGGCATTCAGATTTTGCATCTCCCGACCTGCTGTGGCTTCTGTGCTGTGTCTGCGCTGGCGATTCACTCCCTCCCCCAAGTTCTGTCCGGGAAACTTCGTGTTAGGTTGAAATTGTTACAAAGTTCAACTGCAAGTTTCCTTCTCCCTGTGGTCTTTTCCCAGTTCCTCTGGTAGCCCTCCCCAAGAACCTCTGTGAGACAAAGTCAGAAATGGCTTCTCTGGGGACTGAGAGAGCCCACAGGCTCTTCTTGCTGCTTCTTCTACCCCTGTATTTCACTTGGCTCTTTAAATTTGTCTCTGCTCCAGGTAAGGTCAAATCCTTCTCCTGTGATCTAGACCTTCAGGTTCCCCTGTGAGGGTGTGTGTTTGGGCGTGGACAATCCCCCTTTCACACTTTGGGCACTCACAGTTTTTTGTCTGTCTCCCAGGGCCTGCAGGAGCAATCCACTTCCTTCAAAGGGTCTGTGGACTCTCTCAGCTTTCCTGGTATGTTCCTGTGGTAGTTCTTGGAGCAGAGGTTCATTATGTGAGTTTCTACACACTGCTCTGTCTTTCTGAGTGGGAGCTGCAATTTAGTCCTGCCTCATATCCACCATTTTTCGCTTTCACTCCTTTCTTCAACTTTTAAGTTCAGGGGTACATGTGCAAGATGTGCAGGTTTGCTACATAGGTAAACGTGTGCCATGGTGGTTTGCTGCACTGATCATCCCGTCACCTAGGTATTAAGCCCAGTGTCCACTAGCTATTCTTCCTTTTGCTCTCCCCGCCCCAAGCCACCCGACAGGCCCCAATGTGTGTCATTTCCCTCCATGTGTACGTGCATTCTCATTGTCATGCATGTCCACGTGAAGAGACCACCAACAGGCTTTGTGTGAGCAACAAGGCTGTATATTTCACCTGGGTGCAGGTGGACTGAGTCCGAAAAGAGAGTCAGCAAAGGGTGGTGGGATTATCATTAGTTCTTATAGGTTTGGGTTAGGCGTACAAAGGACCTTCTTAAGGGCAGGGGAGAATATTACAAAGTACCTTCTTAAGGGCGAGGGAGAATATATCGTGTCAGTTAGGGTGCGGCAGGAACAAATCACAATGGTGGAATGTCATCAGTTAAGGCTATTTTCACTTCTTTTATGGATCTTCAGTTGCTTCAGGCCATTTGGATGTATATGTGCAGGTCACAGGGGATATGATGGCTTAGCTTGAGCTCAGAGGCCTGACATTCCTGTCTTCTTATATTAATAAGAAAAAACAAAATGGTGAAGTGTTGGGGAGGTGAAAATTTTGGGGGGTGGTATGGAGAGATAACGGGCGATGTTTCTCAGGGTTGCTTCTAGTGGGATTAGGGGTGGTGTGGGAACCTACAGTGGGAGAGATTAAACTGAGGAAAGATTTTGGGGTGAGGGGTGATACTGTGGGGTTGTTAGAAGGAGCATTTGTCATATAGAATTAGTGGTGATGACCTGGAGGCAGTTTTGTATGAATTGAGAAACTAAACGGAAGACACAAGGTCCAAATAAAAGAAGGAGAAAAATAGGTATTAAAGGACTAAGAATTGGGAGTAACCAGGACATCTAATTAGACAGTGCCCAAGGGGGTTCAATGTAATTATTTGCTTGGTTAGCGAGTTTTTGGGCTCCACCCTTGAGTTTTTTTATGTTGTCATATGCCAGGCCAGATTCATTTAGGTAAAAACAACACTATTCATTTAAAAATATAGAGTCCCCCTTTTTTTTAGCAGTGAGTAAGTCAGGGCCTTGGTGATTTTGGAGGAAAGAGAAATGCAAAGCCAGCAATTGTTCGTTAAAGATGGATTAGAAACTGCTAGGAGAGGCTGGGTGCAGTGCCTCACGCCTGTAATCCCAGCACTTTGGGAGGCTGAGGCGGGCGGATCACAAGGTCAGGAGATCAAAACCATCCAGGCTAACACAGTGAAATGCTGTCTCTACTAAAAATACAAAAAATTAGCCGGGCATGGTGGTGGGCACCTGTAGTCACAGCTACTTGGGAGTCTGAGGCAGGAGAATGGTGTGAATCCGGGAGGCAGAGCTTGCAGTGAACCGAGATAGCGCCACCACACTCCAGCCTGGGCGACAGAGTGAGACTCCATCTCAAAAAAAAAAGAAAAAGAAAAAGAAAAGAAAAGAAACTGCCAGGAGAGAGTGAGTGAGATTGATAGCGTGGTTGAGATAGCTGGGGAGAGGTAGAGGGTGGCATAAGAATGGGAACGAGAATAAGAGTGAGTATAAAAGTAAAGAATAGGACTTCATCAGGGTGAAAGTACTGGAGTGTGTCCTGTCAGCAAAGATCATCTCTCCACTCCAAGAGGGAGTCAAGAGTGGTGGACTGGGGATGGATTTTCACGATGGAAAGGAAATGAGAGGTTTTAAGAGGTGGGCTAACAGCTTGTAACCTACATGCAAGAGGTTATGAAACGACGACAGAATAGAATGAGCCTGTGAGGCTGGAAGGAGATTTTTTTTTTTTGGTCTAAGAACCATCTGCGTTGAGTGTAGAGGGATTGATAGGTGGAAACTTCAGTGGGAGAGTAAATAGGAGTGACCAATGAGAAGGAGAAAAACTGGCCATGAGGGACAGAAGTTGGAACACTAGCTGCCTCTTTGGCTACCTTACCAGCGTAAGTGTTCCCCTGAGTGATGGAATCTGATGCCTTTTGATGGCCCTTGCAGTGAATGACTCCAGCTTCCTTCGGAAGTAAAGCAGTCTTGAGAAGAGTTTTTATTAAAGAGGCATTAATGATGGAGGACCCTTGCGTAGCGAGGAAACCTCTTTCAGCCCATATAACAGCATGGTGGTGCAGGATATGGAAGGCATATTTAGAGTCAGCATAAATATTGACATGTAGTCCTTTTGCAAGAGTGAGGGCTTGAGTTAAGGCAATGAGTTTGGCTTGCTGAGAGGTAGTGGAGAGGGGCAGAGCAGTAGCCTCAATGATAGATGTGGAAGATACTATAGCATAGCCTACCTTTGCTGGTGAGTGGCGATTAGGCCTGGTGGAACTGCCATCAATAAACCAAGTGTGATCAGGGTGAGGAATAGGAAAGAAGGAAATATGGGGAAATGGAGTGAATGTCAGGTGGGTCAGAGAGATACAGTCATGGGGGTCAGGTGTGGTATCCGGAATAATGTGGGAGCCAGCTTAAAACAGTAAGGTCAAGTTGTTTGGACAGAAAGGCTACAGGGCACGGTCCTGGCTCTTGTGTAAGAATTCCGACCACACAGCCCCACACTTCGGCTGTGTGTAACAAAGAAGGTTGGGATGACTCAAGGAGAGCTAGTGTGGGAGCAGCTTTTAGGGCTGTTTTTTAAGGAATGGCAAGGGGAGTGGGGAAAGGATTTAGGATTTATGGGGTCAGCTAGGTTTATCTAGAACAGCATAATGGGTTGTGGAGGGAGGTATTGAGGATAGGAGAGTATATGGATTTGGCACCATGGGGTGGATAGGCAAGACAACTTGGTTGATAAGGCACAGATCCTGAACCAACCTATAAGACTTGTCTGGTTTTTGAACAGGTAAAATGGGGCAATTGTAAGGAGAGTTTATAGGCTTTAAAAGGCCATGCTGTAACAGGCGAGTGATAACAGGCTTTAATCCTTTTAAAGCATGCTGTGGGATGGGATATTGGCATTAAGCAGGGTAAGGGTGATGAGGTTTTAATGGGATAGTAAGGGGTGCATGATCAGTTGCCAAGGAGGGAGTGAAGGTGTCTCATACTTGTGGATTAAGGTAGGGAGAAACAAGGGGAGGATGCAAAGGAGGCTTTGAACTGGGGAAAAGGGCAGCAGTGAGGTGTGGCTGTAGTCCAGGAATAGTCAGGAAAGCAGATAATTTAGTTAAAATGTCTCAACGTAACAAGGGAGCTGGGCAGGTAGGGATAACTAAAAAGGAGTGCATAAAAGAATATTGTCCAAGTTGGCACCAGAGTTGGGGAGTTTTAAGAGGTTTAGAAACCTGGCCATCAATACCCACAACAGTTATGGAGGCAAGGGAAACACGCCCTTGAAAAGAAGGTAATGTGGAGTGGGTAGCCTCCATATTGATTTAGAAGGGGACAGGCTTACCCTCCACTATAAGAGTTATCCAAAGCATCTGTGATGGTCCTGTAGGCTTCCGAGGCGATCGGGCAGTGTGAGTCTTCAGCCACTAAGCCGAGAAGATCTGGGAAGGAGTCAGTCAGAGAGCCTCGGGCCAGAGTTCCAGGGGCTCTGGGAGTGGCTGCCAGGCGAGTTGGACAGTCCGATTTCCAGTGGGGTCCTGCAAAGATGGGACACAGCTGAGGAGAAATCCCGGGCTTTGTGCATTTTTGGCACAGTGGCCAGATTTTTGGCACTTGAAGCAAGATCCTGGGGGAGGAGGTCCTGAAGGAATGCCTGACTGCTGTGGTTCAGGCGTTTTGAAGTTCTTTTGTGCTGGAGATGTGGCTGGGGTTTTTCTCACAGTGGAGGCAAGTAATTGCAACTCTTCTCTATTATTGTACATCTTGAAGGTGAGGTTAATTAAGTCCTGTTGTGGGGTTTGAGGGCCGGAATCTAATTTTTGGAGCTTTCTCTAATGTCAGGAGCGGATTGGGTAATAAAATGCATATTGAGAATAAGACGGCCTTCTGGCCCTTCTGGGTCTAGGACAGTAAAGTGTCTAAGGGTTGTTGCCAAATGGGCCATGAACTGGGCTGGGTTTTTATATTTGGTGAAAAAGAGCCTAAACGCTAACTGATTTGGGAGAGGTTAGATAAAGAAAAAAGGAGCATTAACCTTGACTATGCCTTTAGTTCCAGCCACCTCTTTAAGAGGCAATTGTTGGGTAGGTTGGGGAGGGCTATTCGAGGAACGAAACTGTAAGCCGGACCGGGTGTGAGGAGGGGAGGTGATAGAAGGATTATAGGGTGGCGGAGCAGAGGCTGAGGAACAATTGGGACCTGGCTCGGCCTGGCAAGGAGCAGCCTGGGGAGGAGGGGAGAGGTCAGATGGGTCTGTAGAAAAGGAGGATTCACAGAACTCAGAGCTTTGGGTGGAGACTGAAGGAACAGACAAGAGAGAAAGAAGAAAGATGTGGGATGAATTGCATTGGGAGCAGAGACTAGGGAGGGACCAATGTGTAAAAGAATGCCTGGACAGCAGGCGCACCTCAGACCCATTTGACCATTTTTTGACAAAAATCATCCAGCTCTTGTAAAATGGAGAAATTAAAAGTGCCATTTTCTGGCTATTTGGAACCACTGTCGAGTTTGTACTGGAGCCAAGTGGTATTGCAGAAGAAAATAAGACGTTTCAGTTTTAGGTCAGGTGTGAGTTGAAGAGGTTTTAAGTTCTTGAGAACATAGGCTAAGGGAGAAGAAGGAGGAATGGAGGTCGCAAGGTTGCCCATAGTGAAGGAGGTAAGTTTAAAGAGAAAGGCAGAGACACGGAGAAGGGGATGGTGAGCAGCCCTGGGCTGCAATGTGGGTGAGCAGCCAAACCAGGTGTCCCCAAAGTTGACTTGCCACCAAGGGAATGTGGGTGAATGACCAAGGCAGGCATCCCCACAGTGATTAAACACCAAGGGAAGACTGTCTTCCCGAGTCCGGGACTGCGCCAGAGTTTTGGGTCCACGGATAAAATGTGTCCTCTTGTCTCTACTAGAGAGGAAAAACAACTGGAATTGGAAGGGCAGGGAGATTGAAGGGTAGTGAGAGAGGAAGATTGAAGGGTAGTGAGAAAGGCTGGAGAAGAGTGAAAAGACTGCTTACCTGATTTGAAATTGGTGAGATGTTCCTTGGGCTGGTGGTCTGAGGACCTGATGTTGTAGGTGGATCTCCTCATGAATCGAGGGCGAGGACAGGGGACCAGTCTCCCGAAAGAGTCCTCCTATCCCGGGTTTTGGCACCAAATGTCACGCGCATCTGTGTGAAGAGACCACCAACAGGCTTTGTGTGGGCAACAAGGCTGTATATTTCAGCAACAGGGTTTTTTTTTTTTTGTAGGAGCTCATGGCTGTTGCTATATTTGAGATTGCTGTTTCATCTATCATTATTCTCACAAAGATGCATAGGCACATCTGTGGGCTTTAACTTTAACAATATTTCTGATTGATCTATTCCATATTTTAGAATTGTTTACTTACCATCAGTAACAAAAATCTTGAAATTCTGGGTTTCTGCTACTGATGGTGAATAAGCAATTCCTAGAGCAGCAGTCCCCTACCTTTTTGGCACCAGGAACCAGGTTAGTGGAAGACAGTTTTTCTACGGGGGAAGGGTTGAGGGTGGGGATGATTTCGGGTTGAAACTGTACCACCTCAGATCATGAGGCATTAGATTCTCATAAGGAGTACACAGCCTAGATCCTGCACATGCACAGTTCACAATAGGGTTTAGGGTCCTATGAGAATCTAATGCCACCTCTGATCTGACAGAGGCAGAGCTCAGGTGGTAATGCTTGCTCACCTGTTGCTCACCTCCTGCTGTGTGGTCCCCCTTCCTAACAGGCCACAGACCCATACTGATACCAGTCTGTGGCCTGGGAGTTGGGGACCCCTGCCTTAGAGTGTTTACCTAGTCCATTTCTGTTGTCTTTGATGTTGGAATATTGTTTTATTCATGACATCTTGGTATTGCATATTCCTTTCTTCCCACATTTCATTGTGGCTTTAATTTGCAACTCTCTTAATGACTAATGATGTTGAGCATCTTTTCGTGCAATTTTTTGTGATTCATGTATCTTCTTTGGCAAAGTATCTGTTTAAATATTTTGCCCACTTTATTATTAGGTTGCTTGTTTCTTATTACTTTTGGAATGTTCTTTATGTATCCTGTATACAAGTCTTTTATGGTATATGTGCTTTGCAAATATTTTTTTCCCAGTCAGTAGCTTGTCTTTTCAGCCTCCTAACAGTGTCTTTTTTTTTTTTTTTGGTGGGGGGGGTTTTGCTCTTGTTGCCCAGGCTGGAGTGCAATGGAGCAATCTTGGCTCACTGCAACCTCCACCTCCCAGGTTCAAGCAATTCTCCCGCCTCAGCCTCCCAAGTAGCTGGGATTACAGGCATGTGCCATCATGCCTGGTTAATTTTTGCATTTTTAGTAGAGATGGGGTTTTGCCATGTTGGTCGGGCTGGTCTTGAACTCCTGACCTCAGGTGATCCACCCACATCAGCCTCCCAAAGTGCCTAACAGTGTCTTTTGAAGAGCAAATGTTTTATTTTTCACAAAGTCTTTTATTACATTTTTTCTTTCATGTGTTTTGCTTATTGTGTTGCATCTAAGAGAATATTCCTTAACCAAAAGTCATAAAGAACTTCTATGTTTTCTTCAAAAAGCTCTATAGTTTTAGGTTTATAGTTAGGTCTGTGACCCATTCTGAGTTAATTATTTGTATGTATGGTGCTAAGTTTTGTTTGTTTTACATATGGATAGCCACTTGTTTCAGCAGCATTTGTTAAAAAGGCAACCCTTTCTTTATTGAACTACCTTTGCATCTTTGTCAAAAATCAATTGTCCATGTATGTGGGTCCATTCTTGGACTCTATTCTGCTCTACTGATCTATTTGTCTTGATGCCAATAATACATTGCCTTGATTACTGTAGCTTTATAATAAGATTTGAAATCAGGCAACGTTGGCCCCAAATTTGTCCTTTTTCAGACTGGTTTTGCCTGTTCTAGGTCCTTTGTATTTTCATCTGCATTTTAGAACCAACTTGTCATTTTCCCTTAAGAACAAACTGGGATTTTAATTGAGATTGTGTTGAATCTACAGAACTATTTTGGGAGAATTGACCTCTTAACAAGATTGAGTATTTCAACATAGGGTCAAAGTATATATATATATATATATTACTCCATTTAGTTAGATTTTCTTTCATTTATCTCTCAATGTTTTATAGTTTTCAGGTCTTGCACATCTTTTGTTGGCTTTAATTCTAAGTATTTATCTCTAAGTATTTCCCAGGTGTTTTAAAATTCCTGAGTTCTATTATAAATGACATTGTTTATGAAATTTCAATTCTTTATTATTTGTCGCTAATACATAAAAATACAATTAACTTTTGTATATTGATCTTATAACCCACAATCTTTTTTTTTTTGAGATGCAGTCTGGCTCCAGTCACCAGGCTGGAGTGCAGTGGCATGATCTCAGCTCACTGCAACCTCCGCCTTCTGGGTTCAAGTGATTCTCCTGCCTCAGCCTCCCAAGTAGCTGGGACTACAGTCACACGCCACCACGCCCAGCTAATTTTTGTATTTTTAGTAGAGACAGGTATCGGGAGAACCTGTCCCCGATAGTCACGTAGGTTCTTTTCTATTTTCCCTAAGTGTCGGCTGGTCTGAGAAATAAAAGGACAGAGTACAAAATAGAGAAATTTTAAAGCTGGGTATCCAGGGGCAACATCACATGTCGGCAGGTTCCGTGATGCCCCACAAGCCGCAAAACCAGCAAGTTTTTATTAGTGATTTCAAAAGGGGAGGGAGTGTATGAATAGGGTGTGGGTCACAGAGATCACATACTTCACAAGGTAATAGAATATCACAAGGCAAATGGAGGCAGGGCAAGATCACAGGACCACAGGACCAGGGCTAAATTAAAATTGCTAATGAAGTTTCGGGCACGCATTGTCATTGATAACATCTTATCAGGAGACAGGGTTTGAGAGCAGACAACCGGTCTGACCAAAATTTATTAGGCGGGGATTTCCTCGTCCTAATAAGCCTGGGAGTGCTACCGGAGACTGGGGCTTATTTCATCCCTACAGCTTCGACCATAAAAGACAGCTGCCCCCCGAAGCGGCCATTTTAGAGGCCTACCCTCAGGGATGCATTCTCTTTCTCAGGGATGTTCCTTGCTGAGAAAAAGAATTCAGTGATATTTCTCCCATTTGCTTTTGAAAGAAGAGAAATATGGCTCTGTTCTGCCCGGCTCACCAGCGGTCAGAGTTTAAGGTTATCTCTCTTGTTCCCTGAACATTGCTGTTATCCTGTTCTTTTTTCAAGGTGCCCAGATTTCATATTGTTCAAACACACATGCTCTACAAACAATTTGTGCAGTTAACGCAATCATCACAGTGTCCTGAGGCGACATACATCCTCCTTAGCTTATGAAGATGACAGGATTAAGAGATTAAAGACAGGCGTAGGAAATCACAAGGGTATTGATTGGGGAAGTGATAAATGTCCATGAAATCTTCACAATTTATGTTCAGAGATTGCAGTAAAGACAGGCGTAAGAAATTATAAAAATATTGATTTGGGGAACTAATAAATGTCCATGAAATCTTCACAATCCACGTTATTCTGCCATGGCTTCAGCCAATCCCTTGATTTGGGGTCCCTGACTTCCCACAACAGACAGGGTATCACCATGTTGGCCAGGATGGTCTTGATCTCTTGACCTCGTGATCTGCTCGCCTCAGCCTCCCAAAGTGCTGGGATTACAGGCGTGAGCCACCAAGCCCAGCCATAACCTACAATCTTGATAAATTCATGTATTAGTTCTAGTAGCTTCTTAGTAGTGTCCATCAGATTTTCTATAAAGACATTCATGTTGTTTGAGAATAAAGATAGTTTTACCTTTTCCTGTCAAATATAAATGCTTTTTATTTATTTTTCTTGCTGATTGCACTGTCCAGAACTTCTAGTAGAATATTGAATAAAAGTGGTAACAGTGGACATTCTTGTGTTATTGCAGGTCTTAGTGTCATAGTCCATTTTGTGCTAACGGAATATCAGACTGGGTAATTTATAATGAACAGAAGTGTGTTGGCTCAAGGTTCGAGACGCTGGGAAGTCTAAGATTGAAGGGCTGGCATATCATAAGGACCTGTTTGGTGAGTCATCTTGTAGGGGTGGGTTGCCCCTACACATCTCATGGCAGAAGGGCAAAGAGAGGGCAAGAAAGAGCAAGAGATCAAACTTGCAGGCTCAAGCCTTTTTATAAATGGCATTAATCCATTCATGAGGGTGGAGCCTGCATGACCTAAATACCTCCCATTAGGCTGCACATCCCAACACTATTGTATTGGTAATATGGTTTGGCTCTGTGTCCCCACACAAATCTCATGTTGAGTTATGATCTTCAGTGGTGGAGGAAGGGCCTGTTGGGAGGTGATTGGATCATGGGGGCAGATCTCCCCCTTGCTGTTCTCACGATGCTGAGTTATCATGAGATCTGGTTGTTTAAAAGTGTGTAGCACTTCCCCCTTCACTGTCTCTCTTTCCTGCCAGTCATGAGAAGATGTGCTGGCCTCTGCTTCGCCTTCTGCCATGATTGTAAGTTTCCTGAGGCCTCCCCAGCCATGACTCCTTCACAGCCTGTGGAACTGTGAGTCAGTGAAACCTGTTTTCTTTATAACTTACCCAGTCTCAGGCAGTTCTTTATACTGGTGTGAAAATGGACTAATGCAACTGGGGATTAAGTTTCCAACATATGCTTTTGTGAAGGTGGAGGCATGTTCAAACCATAGCAGGGTGAAATCATTCAGTCTTTTGCCATTAAATATGATGCTACCTATATATTTTTCATAGTTGCTCTTTATTAAATGAACAAAGTTTCCTTTAATTCTCATTTTGTTGAGAGTTTTTATGAGGAATGGATTTTGGATTTTATCAAATGACTTTACTGCATCTATTGTAGTCGTGTGTGTGTGTGTGTGTGTGTGTGTGTGTGTATGTGTGCATGCGTGCATGTGTGTGTACTAATTTGTTAGTATGTTGAGTTATATTTATGCTTTTGAATGTTAAAACAACCTTATATTCCTGGATAAGCCCAACTTTGTTGTGATGTAGTATCCTTATTTGTCAGTAGTTTTATTTTTTTCTAATATCTTTTTCTGGTTTTGGTATCAAAGCCATGCTGGCATCATAGAATAAATTGGGGACAGGTATCTCCTCTCCTACTTCCTCGAAGAGTTTGTATAAAACTAATACTATTTCTCCCTTAAATGTTTGTTAGAATTCACCAGTAATCACGTTTTCATACACAAATTTAAAATAAACAAATATAAGAAACACATTAAACCCTTTTAGTGATTTGATAGACGTCTAAATATTGCTGTAACTTTTCTAATGTCTGTCCTTTGGGATCATTAGTTTTCAATGTGTTCAACTAGGCTGAAAGAAAATTTTCCTTATATATTTT
Organism: Homo sapiens; assembly: GCF_000001405.40. Taxonomy (NCBI): domain Eukaryota; kingdom Metazoa; phylum Chordata; class Mammalia; order Primates; family Hominidae; genus Homo; species Homo sapiens. Next base: position 99,255,093 of record NC_000010.11, on the reverse strand, counting down.
TAAGAGCCTTATTGAGATAAAATATATATAGCACAAAATTTACTGATTTAATATATAAAATTCAGTGTTTTGTAGTATATTCATGGATTTTTATGGTCATCTCCATAATTGGATTTTTAAACATTTTCATCACCTTCAGAAGAAACTCTTTACCTGTTATCAGTCATTCCTCATTAACTTCTTCCCAATTCCTGACAACCACTTATTTATTTTTTGTTTCTATATGTTTGCCTGCTCTGGATATTTCATATAAACAAATTTTGTATTATGTGGTCTTTTGTGACTGACATCTTTCACTTAGCATAATGTTTTCAAAGCTCATCCACACTGTAGTTTATATTAGTACTCCATTTCTTATAATTGTCAGATAGTATTCCATTGTAAGGATCTCATACATTTTAAGAAAGACACTTTCAACTTATATTAGATATGCTATAGGAAAAACTAAACTTTTAGTTAAACAATTAGCTATTTTCAGTCAAGATTAAATTACACCTAATCACATTAATAATGGTGAATAACATTTATTCTTTTTAAAATTTTTTTTCAACTTTTAGATTTGGGAGGTACATGTATAAATTTATTACTTGGTTATATTGCACGATGCTGAGGTTTGGGGTACAAATGATCCCATCACTCAGGTACTGAGAATAGTAACCAATAGTTAGTTTTTCAACCTTCCTTCTCTCCCTCACTCCTCTAGTAGTCCCCAGTGTCTATTGTTGTCATCTTTCTGTCCATGAGTACCCAATGTTTATCTCCCACTTAGAAGTGAGAACATGCATTATTTGGTTATCTGTTCCTGTGTTAATTCACAGCTGCATCTATGTTGTTTCAATGGATGTGATTTTGTTTTCTTTATGGCTGCATTGTATTCCGAGGTGTATCTGTACCACATTTTCTTTATCCAGTCTACTGTTAATGAGCACCTAGGTTGATTCCATGTGTTTGCTGTTGTGAATTGTGCTGCCATGAACATGCGAGTGCATATGTCTTTTTGGTAGAATGATTTGTTTTCTCTGGATGTATACCCAGTAACGAGATTGCTGGATTGAATGGTAGTTCTAAGTTATTTGAGAAATCTCCAAATAGCTTTCCATAGTGGCTGAGCTAATTTACATTCTCACCAACAGTGTACAGGCATTCCTTTTTTAAATAATAGCTATTCTGACTGCTGTGAGATGGCAACTCATTGTGGTTTTATTTGCATTTCTCTGATGATTAGTTATGTGGAACACTCTTAAATGCTTGTTGGCTGCCTGTATATCTTCTTTTGAGAAGTGTCTGTTCATGTCTTTTTCCCATTTTTTTAATGAGGTTATTTAGTTTTTGCTTGTTCAGTTGTTTAAGTTCCTTATAGATTCTGGATATTAAGCCTTTGTTGGGTGAGTAGTTTGTGAATATTTTCTCCCATTCTCTAGGTCATCTGTTTACTCTGTTGATAGTTTCTTTTGCTGTGCAGAAGCCATTTAATTTACTTAGATCCCACTTGTCAATTTTTGTTTTTGTTGTAGTTGCTTTTCAGGGCTTAAGTATAAATTATTTCCAAAGGTTGATGTCCAGAATGGTGTTTCCTAGGTTTTCTTCTAGGATTCTTATAAATTGAATTAATTTTTTCATATGGTGAAAGGTAGGGGTCCAGTTTCATTCTTCTGCTTATGACTAGCCAGCTATGCCAGCACCATTTATTGAATAAGGAATCCTTTCCCCATTGCTTTTTTTGTTGTTGTTAACTTTGTCAAAGATCAGATGGCTGTAGGTGTGCAGCTTTGTTTCTGGGTTCTCTATTCTGTTCCATTGGTCTGTGTTTTTATACCAGTACTATGAGTGGTACAGTTTTGGTTGCCATAGCCTTATTAGTATGGTTTGAAGTTAGTTAATGTGATACCACTGGCTTTGTTCTTTTTCCTTAGGATTGCCTTGGCTTTTCAGGTGTTTTTAGGTTCCATATGAATTTTAGTATAGTTTTTTTCTAGTTCTGTGAAAAATGACATTGGTAGTTTGATAGGAATAGCATTGAATTTATAGATTGCTTTGGGCAATATGGCCATTTTTATAATATTGATTCTTCCAATCCATGAACATGGAATGTTTTTCTATTTGTTTGTGTCATCTGTGATTGCTTTTAGCAGTGTTTTGTAGTTCTCCTTGTAGAGATCTTTCACCTCCTTGGTCAGATATGTTTCTAGGTATTTCATTTTTTTTTTTTTTTTTTTTGAGACGGAGTCTCGCTCTGTCGCCCAGGCTGGAGTACAGTGGTGCTATCTTGGCTCACTGCAAGCTCTGCCTCCCAGGTTCATGCCATTCTCCTGCCTCAGCCTCTCGAGTAGCTGGGACTACAGGCGCCCGCCACCACGCCCAGCTAATTTTTTGTATTTTTTAGTAGAGATGGGGTTTCACCGTGTTAGCCAGGATGGTCTCGATCTCCTGACTTCATGATCTACCCACCTCAGCCTCCCAAAGTGCTGGGATTACAGGCGTGAGCCACTGCGCCTGGCCGGTATTTCATTTTTTTGTGGCTATTGTAAAGGGATTGTGTTCTTGATTTGGCTCTTAGATTGAACATTATTGGTGTATAAAAATACTACTGATTTTTGTACATTGATTTTGTATCCTGAAACATTGCCAAAGTCATTTATCCATTCTAGGAGCCTTTTGGTGGAGTCTTTAGGGTTTTCTATGAATAGAATCATATCATCCATAAAGAGAGATAGTTTGACTTCTTTTTTTTCCCCTATTTGGATGACTTTTATTTCTTTCTCTTGGATGATTGCTCTGGGTAACACTTCTTTCTAGTACTATGAAGAATGAGTGCTGAGAATAGGCATCCTTATCTTGTTCCAGTTCTCAAGGGGAATGTTTCCAGTTTTGCCCATTCAGTATGATGTTGGCTGTGGGTTTATCACAGATAGCTCTCATTATTTTGAGGTATGTTCCTTTGATGTCTAGTTTCTTGGGGGTTTCTATCATGAGGGGATGTAAGATTTTATCAAAAGCTTTTTCTGCATCTATTGAGATGATCATATGTTTTTTGTTTGTATGTATGTATGTATGTGTTTCAAGACAAAGTCTCACTCTGTTTCCCAGGCTGGAGTGGTATGATCATGGCCAACTGCAGCCTTGGCCTACTGGGCTTAAGCAGTTCTCCTACCTCAGCCCACTGAGTAGCTGCGACTACAGGCACGTGCCACCATACCTAGCTAATTTTTTTTTTTTTTTTTTTTTTTTTTTGGTAGAGAGAGTATCTCACTATGTTTCCCAGGCTGGTCTCAAACTCTTCGTCTCATGTGATCCTCCTGCCTTGGCTGCTTAAAGTGCTGGAATTACAGATGTGAACCACCATGCCTAGCCAATTGTTTTTAATTCTGCTTGTGTGGTGAATCACATATATTGATTTGCTTATGTTGAACCAAACTTTCATCCTAGAAATCAAGCCTATAAGCCTATGTGATCATGGTGAATTAGCTTATTGAATTAGCTGCTGGATTCGGTTTGCTAGTATTTTGTTGAGGATTTTTGCATCTATGTTCATTAGGGATATTGTCCTGTAGTCTTTTTCGGTTGTGTCTTTGCCAAGTTTTGGTATCAGGTGATGCTGGCTCCATAGAATTAGGGAGGAGTCCCTCCTCCTCGATTTTTTGGAATAGTTTCACTAGAATTGGTACCAGCTGTTCTTTGTATGTCTGGTAGAATTCGGCTGTTAATCTTTCTGGTCTGGGACTTCTTTGTTTTTTGGTAGGTGCTTTATTACTAATTACATTTCTGAACTTGATATTGGTCTGTTCAGGGTTTCAATTTCTTGCTGATTCAATTTTGAGAGATTGTATGATTCCAGGAATTTATTCATTTCCTCTAGGTTTTGTAGTTTGTGGCATAGAAGCATTCATAATAGTCTCTGAGGATCTTTTGTATTTCTGTGAGATTGGTTGTCACTTCTGTCATTTCTGATTTTGCTTATTTGGATATTCTCTATTTTTTCTTTGTTAATCTAGCTAGCAGTCTATTGATCTTGATCCTTTCAAAGAACAAACTTTTGTTTCTGTTGATTCTTTGTCTGGATTTTTGTGTCTCAATTTAGCTCAATTCTGCTCTGATTTTAGTTATTTCTTTTCTTCTGCTAGCTTTGGAGTTCTTGTTTTTCTAGTTCCTTTAGGTGGAATGTCAAATTGTTAATTTAAGATCTTTCTAATTTTTTTGTGGTAGCTATTTAGTGCTATAAACTTTTCTCTTAATATTGCTTTTGATACAACTCAGGGATTTTGCTATGTTGTGTCTTTGTTTTCATTTTTTACTTCAAAGAATTTTTTAAATTCTGTCTTAATTTTGTTGTTCACCCAAAAGTCATTTAGGAGAAAATTGTTTAATTTTTGTGTAATTGTGTGGTTTTGAGAGATCTTCTTGGTATTGATTTCTATTTTTATTCCACTGTGGTCCAGGAGTATGGTTGGTAGGATTTTGAGTTTTTTGAATTTATTGAGACTTGCTTTATGGCCTAGCACGTGGTCGACCTTGCAGTATGTTATGTGTGCAGATGAGAAGAATGTATATTCTGTGGTTGATGAGCAGAGTATTTTGTAGATGTCTACTAGGTATAATTGGTCAAGTGTCATGTTTAAGTCCAGATTCTTTGTTATATTTGTGCCTCAATGATCTAATAGTGACAGGGTGGTGTTGAAGTCCCTCACTATTATTGTGCTGCTAAATCTTTTTGTAGGTCTATTTATTAGTCTATTCTTTTGTTGCTATTAAGAAATATCTGAAACTGGGTAATTTATAAAGAAAAGAGGTTTAGCTGGCTCACAGTTCCATAGACTGTACAGGAAGCATGGTTGGGGAGGCCTCAGGAAATTTTCAATTATGGCAGAAGGGGAAGCAGGCACATCTTACATGGCTGGAGCAGGAGGAAGAGAAATAAAAGGGGAGGTGCTACCCACTTTTTTTTTTTTTTTTTGAGATGGAGTTTTGCTCTTTTGCCCAGGCTAGAGTGCAGTGGCATGATCTCAGCTCACTGTGACCTCCACCTTCCGGTTTCAAGTGATTCTCCTGCCTCAGCCTCCTGAGTAGCTGGGATTACAGGCACCCGCCACCATGCCTGGCTAATTTTTGTATTTTTTAGTAGAGACAGGGTTTCACCATGTTGGCCAGGCTAGTCTCGAACTCCTGACCTCATGATCTGCCTGCCTCAGCTTCCCAAAATGCTAGGATTACAGGCATGAGTCACCACACCTGGCCACTACACACTTTTAAACAACCAGATTTCATGAGAACTCACCCACTATCACAAGAACAGCAAGGGGCAAATCCACCCCCATGATCCAATCATCTCTCACCAGGCCTTTCATCCAAAATTGGGGATTACAATTCAAATTGAGATTTGGGCAGGGACACAAATCCAAATCATATCATTCTGCCCACAATCCCTCCCAAATTTCATGTCCTTCTCACATTGCAAAATATAGTCATCCCTTCTTAACAGTCTCCCAAGTCTTAACTCATTTCAGCATTAATTCAAAAGTCCACAGTCCAAAGTCTCATCTGAGACAAGGCAAGTCTCTTCTGCCTATGAGCCTGTAAAATCAAAAACAAGTTAGTTACTTCCAGTATACAATGGAGGTGCAGACACTGGGTAAATACACCCATTCCAAAAGGGAGAAATCAGCCAAAGAGAGGGGCTGCAGGCCCTATGCAAATCCAAAACACAGAAGGGCAGTCATTAAATCTTAAAGCTCCAAAATAATCTCCTTTGACTCCATGTCTCATATTCAGGGCACACTGATGCAAGGGTTGGGCTCCCAAGGCCTTGAGGAGCTCCACTGCTTTAGCTCTGCAGGGCTCAGCTCCCATGGCTGGTCTCAAGGGCTGGTGTTGAGTGCCTGCAGCTTTCCCAGGCACACTGTACAAGCTGTTGGCGCATCTACCATTCTGGGGTCTGAAGAACAGTGGCCCTCTTTTCACAGTTCCACTAGGAAGTGCCCTAGTGGGGACTCTGTGTGTGGGATCCAACCCCACATTTCCCCTCCACACTATCCTGGTAGAGGTTCTCCATGAGGGCTTCACCCCTGCAGCAGACTTCTGCCTGGACATCCAGGCATTTCCATACATCCTCTGAAATCTAGCTCAAGGTTTCCAAGCCTCAGCTCTTGCCCTCTGAGCATCCGGAGGCTTAACACCACATGAAAACTGCCAAGGCTTATGGTTTGCACCCTCTGGAATAGGAGTCTGAGACCTATCTGGGGCTCTTTTAGCCATGGCTTGAGCTGGAGGGCTGGGATGCAGGGAGCAGCGTCCTGAGGTTGCACAGGGCATTGGGGTCCTGGGTCTGGCCCACAAAACCATTCTTCCCTCCTAGGCCTTGGGGCCTGTGAGGGGAGGGGCTGCCACAAAGGTCTCTGAAATGCCTTTGAGGCATTTTCCCCATTGTCTTTGCTATTAACATTTAGTCCTTTTTACTTAGGCAAATTTCTGTAGCTGGTTTGAATTCTTCCCCTGAAAATGGTTTTTCTTTTGTACCACATGGCCAGGCTGCAAAATTTCCAAACTTTTACACCTCCCTTTTAAATATAAGTTCCAGTTTTACATCATTTTTTTGCTCATGAGTGTGCATAGGCTACTAGAAACAGCCAGGCTACATCTTGAATGCTTTGCTGCTTAGAAACTTCTTCCACTGGATACCCTAAATCATCACTTTCAAGTTTAAAGTTCCACAGATCCCTAGGGCAGTTGCCCAATGCCTCCAACCTCTTTGCTAAAGCATAGAAAAGTGGCCTTTTCTCTAGTTCCCAATAAGTTCCTCCTCTCCATCTGAGACCATCTCAGCCTGGACTTCATTGTCCATATCACTATCAGCATTTTGGTCACAACATTTTAACAAGGCTCTAGGAGGTTTCAAACTTTCCCTCATCTTCCTGTCTGCTTCTGAGCCCTTCAAACTGTTCCAACCTCTGCCCATTATCCAGTTCCAAAGTCACTTCCACATTTTCAGATATCTTTATAGCAGTACCCTGCTCCTGGTACCAATTTTCTGTATTAGTCATTTTCACACTGCTATAAAGAAATACCCCAAACTGGGTAATTTATAAATAAAAGAGGTTTAGTTGGCTCATGGTTCTACAGGCTGTACAGTAAGTATGGCTGAGAAACCTTAGGAAACTTACAATCATGGCAGAAGTGGAAGTAGGCATGTCTTACATGGCTGGAGCCTGGGATAGAGAGAGAAGGGGTAGGTGCTACACACTTAAACAACCCAATCTCATGAGAACTCACTGAGTGTCATGAGAACAGAAAAGGGGAAATCCACCCCCATGGTCCAATCACCTCTCACCAGGCTCTTCCTCCAACATTGGGGATTAGAATTCCACATGAGATTTGGGTGGGGACACAAATCCAAACCATATCACCAACTCTTTACTTTAAGCCTATGGGTGTCATTATGTGTGAGATGTGTGTCTTGAAGAAAGCAGATGGATTGGTCTCATTTTTTAAAAAAATCAAATCACCACTCTGTGTCTTTTAAGTGGGGCATTTAGACCATTTATATTCAAGGTTAATATTGATATGTGAGGTGTTGATCCTATCATGACATTGTTAGCTAGTTGCTTTGTAGTTTCTATTGTGTGGTTGCTTTATAGGATCTATGGGTTATATACTTAAGTGTGTTTTTGCGGTAGCGGGTATCATGTTTTCATTTCCATGTTCAGAACTTCCTTACTTTTAAAAATACATAGTAAAGCTGGAATGAACTTAGGTTTGACAGCAGAACTAATTCTTTTCATGTTGCAGTAAACTGCCTTACTAAGATTGTTTTCCTGGGAAGTGATCTTTACCAAAAGGTTTAAAAATGTCTTATGGAAGTCTTTAAAGGAGATTATATGTTTATCTAATTGGGGAAATTAAGATAGTTTATCTTTGTGAGTCTTAACTGTATAGCATTCTGTGACATTTACAGTGGCGATGGAAGGGTATGTGTGTATGCTTGTGTGTTCTTGATTTTCTTAAATGACATGAAATCTTGTAAGAAAGATACTTCCTACTCTCTAAAACTAGGGTCCTGAACTATATGATTTCTAAGATTTCTTCAAGCCCAAATATACGATTATGGGTATGATTATTTTTGTTTTTGAGAACAGATTGTGAGGTAGTTGGGGGAATTTCAAACATTTCCACCAGCAGATGGCACTCTAGCATTTCTACAGCAGGCAACCCTTAGCTATTACTAAAGTAGAAGCTAGGCAAAACTGGACACATAAAAAGAAAAACAGTATGAAATATTTTAGTAATTATTGTGATGCAAAATTACATATGTATCAAGTAATAGGCTTCTATATATACAAATTGATTTTTTTTTTTTTGAGATGGAGTCTTGCTCTGTTGCCAGGCTGGAGTGCAGTGGTGTGATCTCGGCTCACTGCAACCTCTGCCTCCCTGGTTTGAGCAATCCCCCTGCCTCAGCCTCCTGAGTAGTTGGGACTAAAGGTACGCTCCACCACACCTGGCTAATTTTTTGTATTTTAGTAGAGACGGGGTTTCACCATGTTGGCCAGGATGGTCTCGATCTCCTGACCTCAGGTGACCCGCTTGCCTTGGCCTCCCAAAGTGCTGGGATTACGGGCATGAGCCATCACGCACGGCCACAAATTGATTTTAAGTCATAATCCCTTATTGTGCTCCACAGCACCTTTCACCACATTTTTATTATAGCACTTATCAAATGGATTTGTTAGCCTGTTCATTCTTCCAGGTACACTGTGAGGTTTCCAAGGGCAAGGATATTCTTATTCCTCTTTGGATCTCAAGGTGGCAGGAGGACACAATACCCGGTCCATTGTCAGACCTCAATAAATATTTCTTGTATTTTCCCCCCCATAATTGGTTAAGTATTGCCTTGAATGTAAGAGACTGTTTACGAACATTGGTCCATGAAAAGTCTTTTTGTTTTATTTTCTTTTTCTTTCAACAACTATCTTATAGGCATCAACTCTAATGCATTTGATGTATGTCCTTTGATGTTTTTGTATCCTTGTAAAATATATTGTTTAACATATGTGTTTAATTTGCACTAACATTTTGCTATAGGTATCATTCTGGTTTTGCGTGTTTCTCACCTATCATTGTATTTAAAACCTATTTTATGTACATATGTATGTGTGTACATTTAGTTCATTGCTTCTAACAGTTGTCCTCATTTTACCTATCTATTTCCTTTATGATGGACATCTAGGTGTCTCCAATTCCTCACTATTAAACTCAGCGCTTTACTGACCATCTTCATTCAAATGTTTTAATGGCCTTTTTGCAAATTTTACTACTGGAGTTTATGCCCAGCAGTGGGATTACTGGCTCTTAGGGAATATACATATTTAATTTCACTAAGTATTGCCAGATCAGTCTCCAGAGTGGCCCAATTACTTTATACTTCCATCAGCATGCAAGAAGTTTCCCATTTTTCTACATTCACAATTAGCGTTATTCAGTATTTCAAATTTCCTAATCAGATGGTATAAAGTGAAAATATTTATTGAATGAAAGAATGATCAGTTTGAGAATCTGTTAAAGCTAGTAGGATGTATGGTATTTACTTGCATAATTTTCCCCCTTAGGGGATGGTCCCTCTCTATCTGAACTTTCACTTTCTAAATTAGGTGTAGAATAGATTCCAATAATTTTTTTGAGATATCCCTTAGAATCTGACCTATTTCTCCTCATTACCTGAAACCTAGGAATCAAATAGATTAAATAATGTGGTATCCTTTGTCATCTAAATTTGCTCTCTGAAATTAGAAACCAAATAGAATTGTGTAGTGAGGGATCTGGAATATTCTCAGGCCCTACTCCAAATAAATTATTAAAAAGCTCCTCAGATGATTTTAATGTGCAGCCAGGGGTGAGAATCCCTGACCTAGGCTTGCACGTTATTTTCATTTCTACTTGAAAGGGGAAAAGACTATTTTTAAGTATTTCAGCACAGGAAATACTATTTTATTGTGTGGTCCAGGCTTCAGAAAATCAAAAGAAGAATTTAAAATTTAAGTGTCTGATCAAAATTAAATATACTTCCCAAGAGTCATCAGCATGTCAATATCTCTAGATAATGAAAAGGACTAGAAGTATTAGAAAATTTGGTGACAGGGCTGATAAGGTTTAATATAACTAGTATTGAATTAAGGAAGTTCTTGGATCTGCTTATGTGGGGACAAAACTACTCCAAAGAATTAGGGGTCTAGATGTTAATTCAAGCAGAAGTAAAATATTCTATTGAGTAAGTATGTACTACTAAAGTCTGTCAGCTGATTTTGATTATTGAGTAGTGGAATGAATCAGTGGTAAGCCTTCTGTTATAAACATTTGCTTAACTCTCCTTATAATGAACTAAACATATTAGAGTATTTAAAAAGGTCAAAGTCTCATGCCTGTAGTCACAGCATTTGGGAGGCTAAGGTGGGAGGATTGCTCTAGCCCAAGAGTTTGAGACCAGCCTGGGCAACATGGTGAGACCCTGCCTCTACAAAAAAAAAAAAAAAAAAAAAAATCCAGGCATAGTTCACACCTGTGGTCTCAGCTACACAAGGCTGCTGAAGTGAGAGGGTTGCTTGAGTTTAGGAAGTAGAGACTGCAGTGAGCCATGATCACACCATTGCGCTCCAGCCTGGGTGACAGAGTGAGACCGTGTCTCAAATAATAATAATAATAATAATAATAATAATAATAATAATAAAAGAAATAAAAATAAAAAGGTCAAAGTATGCCATTAGCCTAGAGAACAAAAGAAAATACCGTTGTAGGCCGGGCGTGGTGGCTCACGCTTGTAATCCCAGTACTTTGGGAGGCTGAGGTGGGCGGATCACGAGGTCAGGAGATTGAGACCATCCTGGCTAACATGGTGAAACCCTCTCTCTACTAAAAATACAAAAAATTAGCCGGGCACGGTGGCGGGCGCTTGTAGTCCCAGCTACTCTGGAGGCTGAGGCAGGAAAATGAGCCGAGATAGCACCACTGCAGTCCCGCCTGGGTGACAGAGCGAGACTCTGTCTCAGAAAAAGAGAAAATACAGTCGTAGCTAGTCAGTTTTTTGGAGTTGACAAACACAATTGTATTACAGGCAAATGTTTTATTACAGGTCCATTAATCTCAATGTTTGAGATTAATATTTTATTTTATTTTCGAGACTGAGTCTCTCTCTGTTGCCCAAGCTGGAGTGCAGTGGGGCAATCTCTACTCACTGCAACCTCCACCTCCCAGGTTCAAGCAATTCTCCTGCGTCAGCCTCCTGAGTAGCTGGGATTACAGGTGCTTGCCACCATGCCCAGCTAAGTTTTGTACTTTTAGTAGAGATGGGGTTTTGCCTTGTTGGCCAGGCTGGTCTCAAACTCCCAGCCTCAGGTGATCTGCCTGCCTCAACCTCCCAAAATGCTGGGATTACAGGGAGATTAATATTTTAAATGTATTGAGATAAATATACATGATTTATATACATTGCTTTCTCAGAAATTATCTTTAAGATTGATTAATATGTAATAACTGTGTAAGAAAACAGTACATATAAAAACAACTTATACATACATACATAGTTAATGAAGCTATAGAACATGTGAAAGGCAATCTGATTTTTTACCCCTAGGATATTAAAAGTTCTTGGTATTTTCAATAAGAAACATACTCGAAGTGTAGTCAGTAGAGCTGGCATTAGTTTCAAATTCTTCAAGAAACAACTTGAAAATTTTAACTCTATAATTTTTTTTTTTTTTGAGACAGAGTCTTGCTCTGTCACTGAGGCTGGAGTGCAGTGGTGCAATCTCAGCTCACTGCAACCTCCGCCTCCTGGGTTCAAGCAATTCTCCTGCCTCAGCCTCCCGAGTAGCTGGGACTATAGGCATGTGCCACCACACCCAGCTAATTTTTTTTATTTTTAGTAGAGACAGGGTTTCATGGAGTTAGCCAGGATGGTCTCAATTCCCTGACCTCGTGATCCGCCTGCCTCAGCCTCCTAAAGTGCTGGGATTATAGGCGTGAGCCACTGTGCCCGGACTTAACTCTAATTTTTTACCCAAATTATGAAGATAAAGTCTGTGCTTTTTTATGCTATGAGCATAAAATTAAATAGTATATATGTAAATTATATTTCAAAACCTTAGGTTGTAGGTATATAATTTCCTTGTAACCCATCTGTGCAAATTACACTCATTTCCACAGTGAAACCCAACCAGGAGAAGGACAATGAGTAGCAACTATATGCCAGGTACTAAAGATATTATCTCATTTAATTCTCACAACACATTTGGAGGGAAGTAATCTTATGCCTGTTTTATAGATGGGGAAATTGGGACTCAGCAAGGATAAATAACTTGTTCAACAAAGGTCACATTAGCAGATATTAAATTGGGAATTAGATTTTAATCAGTCTATCAGACTCCAAAGTCCACACTTTTTTCAATATAATATGATGCTTTTCAGGACTTACCTGAATGTATAAATGGCAAAATTGGCAGGGATGGTAAAAGATAGGTTCTTCACTGGGTGTAACTAAGACATGAGTAATTTTAATCTGCTTTTCTGTTAGTTTTCTATCTCTAGCAGTCCCTCAAGTAACTGTCATCCCTACCTCCAAACATGCTAAGGGGTTTCAAACTGAACTTATTAGAGTCAATCACATTTATTATGGTTATGATCTTCCCCAAATAAATGTACTGCTTGATGGCAGTAGTAAGGACAAAGACCAGAGTTTTCTTAATATGATGAGGTGGAGCAATCACAGTTATAAATTATGAAGCCATTGAACACATGAAAGGCAATCTGATTTTTTTCCCAGGGATATTACACATAAAAATTCTCAGGTATTTTCAATAACAAACATCCCCAAAGTGTAGTCAGTAGAGCTGCCAATTATTTTCTCCTTCAGCATTCCATATGGAGAAAGTGTTGTCATCCCTTGCTTCTCCTGGCAGGACAGAGACAGTCCTTGATGGCAAAATAACATACTTTGTAACCAGGGTTCTCTTGTACTGTCCTTTGCCTATTCCTGTTTTCCCTTTCCTAGTAGAAAATCAAAGACATATAAAACCTACTCTAATTTCTTCCTTAAAAGATGCTAATCACAGGCAGAAGAGCCTACATGATTAAAATATGTGGTATAGACTTGTTTGACCACGTTTATTAACACCATATTATATTAGATAGAGTTCACCTTTTGTTTCAGGTTTACCACTAAGTCATTCATGTATAACTTAATTCTTACCATAGTCATTAGTTAAGGGGATGTATTTGTGGCACGTGTGGGAGACAGGAAATAAGAATGAATAAGAAAGCGATAGCACAATTGTATAATTTTTTTTATTTTTTTGAGATAAGGTCTCGTTCTGTTACCCAGGCTAGAGTGCAGTGGCATGATCTCATAGCTCACTGTAGCCTTGAACTCCCGGGCTTTAGTGATTCTTCCCACCTCAATCTCCTGAGTAGGTTGGACTACAGGCATGTGCCACCATACCCGGATAATGTTTTAAACATTTTGTAGAGACAGAGTCTCACTGTGTTGCTCAGGTTGGTCTCAAACTCCTGGGCTCGAGCAATCCTCCCGTCTTAGCCTTCCAAAGTGCTGGGATTAGCATGAGCCACTGTGCCTGATTGATTGTATATTTTAGAATTTATAAAGTACTTTCCCCGTACATAAACTTACTAATTATTGCTTTACTCTTGGATATTATATCAGTTTGACAGATAAGGCAGCTGAGGCTTAGAACCATTAAAAATTTTATCCAAGTTTACAAGACTAGATCTGGTAAAGTCAGGACTTAAACCTAGAGCCTCCAACTCCTGCTCTAAGGTTTTTTTTGTTGTTGTTTTTGTTTTCCCACTATACATTGATAGGTTCTGGAGGGTTATACAATACTTTAGCCACTTGTGTTGACTAAGAACACAAACCTAGGCTTTAGAGTCAGATGGCCCTTGGTTTAATTCTGTGTTGGTACTTATTAATCTGTGTACCATGAGAAAGTTAATATCTAAGTCTCAATTTTTTCATATGTAAACTAGGTATAAGAAGAAGTTTATACAAAACTCTTCTTAGGGTTTTTTTGAGAGCACCATGCTTGAACCATGAGATCTCAATAAATATTAGTCATCATAGTTGGGTATACAGGCAGTAAGTGAGGACACAGTGGACTGGCTGTTATATCTTCATGCTTCCCAGTCCTAGTTACAGTGTAAAGCATTTTTTAAAATTTCTATTAGACAGCTAGGCATAATTCTTACAGAAGGGGAAAATGGGAATAGTGAAAACTAAGCTTTGAATGTTTAGTAGAAGGAAAGGGCAGGCGGCATATAGAATTAATGAGTTTGTGACAGGCTGAAAGTGAGAAAAAGGCATAGGAAAAGTCAAAAGAAATCATTGTAGGCTGGGCGTGGTGGCTCACGCCTGTAATCTCAGCACTTTTGGAAGCCGAGGCGGGCAGATCGCGAGGTCAGGAGGTCAAGACCATCCTGGCTAACACGGTGAAACCCTGTCTCCACTAAAAAATACAAAAAAATTAGCCGGGCATGGTGGCAGGTGCCTGTAGTCCCAGCTACTTGGGAGGCTGAGGCAGGAGAATGGCGTGAACCTGGGAGGCAGAGCTTGCAGTGAGCTGAGATCGCACCACTGCACTCCAGCCTGGGTGACAGAGTGAGACTCTGTCTCGAAAAAAAAAAAAAAAAAAGAAAATCATTGTACTCAAGATGACCATTAGCTGTACATCTTGCAATACTATATGCTACAAAGTAGAATTTGGACATAAACACAGAATAATATCCCAGTAGTCCCATTCACCAGTCCTAGTACCCATGTTGGTTACTGGTATATATTTCCACTTGTCTGAGATGAAATGATAATAATATAGGGATTTTTCTTTTCTTTTTTTCCTTTTCTTTTCTTTTTTTGAGATGGAGTTTTGCTCTTGTCGCCCAGACTGGAGTGCAATGGCATGATCTCGGCTCACTGTAACCTCCACCTCCTGAGTTCAAGTGATTTTCCTGCCTCAGCCTTCTGAGTAGTTGGGATTACAGGCACCCACCACCATGCCCAGCTAAGTTTTGTATTTTTAGTAGAGACTGGGTTTCACTATGTTGGTCAGGCTGGTCTCGAACTCCTGACCTCAGGTGATCCACCCACCTCGACCTCTCAAAGTGCTGGAATTACAGGCGTGAGCCACTGCACCTGGCCGGGATTTTTCATAAAGCTAAATTTACTCAGTTTAAACAACTGCTCTTTATTTTGACATGTCATTTTAGCTTTTGTTCAGATGTTAAAATTTTCCTTTCTTTTGGAAAGTAATAGAGATAAGTAGTTGACAGTTTTTATTAAGGTCCTTACTAGATAATATAAAAAGTTGACAAACGGGGCTGGGCGTGGTGGCTCATGCCTGTAATTCCATCACTTTGGGAGACTGAGGTGGGTGGATTGCCTGAGCTCAAGAGTTTGAGACCAGCCTAGGCAACACGGTGAAGCCCCGTCTCTACTAAAATACAAAAAATTAGCTGCGCGTGGCGATGTGCGCCTGTAGTCCCAGCTACTTGGGAGGCTGAGGCAGGAGAATTGCTTGAACCCCGGAGGTGGAGGTTGCAGTGAGCCGAGATCGTGCCACTGCACTCCAACCTGGGCGACAGAGCGAGACTCTGTCTCAAAAAAAAAAAAAAAAAAAAAAAAAAAAACCTTGACAAACATTATGTCCACTCCTCCCCATTAACTAATATTTATTTTGAAAAAACAAAGTCTAGAAATCACTGAATCAGTTAATCTTCACGTTTTCTTACAGTTCTGGGAACCTGGGCTCTTAGATATCAAAGCAATTTATCTATGAAGACCATTCAGTAGACACTAAGCAGAGCGTTTCCAAGGAGACATCAGTGCATCTAGTTCCTGAGAGTTCATATTTTATTTTTTAATTTTAATTTTACTTTTTATTTTTTTGAGACAGAGTCTTGCTCTTGTCACCCAGGCTGGAGTGCAATGGCTCCATCTTGGCTCACTGCAACCTCCTCCTCCCAGGTTCAAGCAATTCTTCTGTCTCAGCTTCCTGAGTAGCTGGGATTACAAGTGCCCACCACCATGCCCAGCTAATTTTTATATTTTTAGTAGAGACGGGGTTTCACCATGTTGCCAGGTTGGTCTCGAACTCCTTACCTCAGGTGATCCGCCTGCCTTGGCTCCCAAAGTGCTGGGATTACAGATGTGAGCCACTGTGCCTGGCCTGACAGTTCATATTTTATACAGAGGCCCAATACTTGTCTTCTAGGAAGTTACAATCTAAGACAAAACAGAGATGCAGATTGCTGTCACCTAGCACACAGAAGATAGGATAGAAACATCAATCTAATATACTGATTACTAATGAACTACTTACAGCATATTAATAGATAAGAGGCAAGACAAAAACCATGATATGGTATATGTGTGGCAGCTATTTGCAGAGTATCTCTGGAGATCTAAACCCAAACTAAACCAAAGCACCAAACAATCAAATCATCTTAGAGACCAACGAGGGCTAACCTCTTAAATATCAGTTATTTCTTTCCCCTGATGTCCTCTATAGAATGACTTAGAATTTCAATGGCTAGACTAGAGAAATGGTTTTCATCAGGAATTAAGAAAACAAGCACTTTGTTTTGTTGGTTTTGATTTTAATACCACATACAGATTCTGATGAAAACATTAAATACTACTTAGTTAGGCCAATAAACCATTATAGAGTAGTTAGGTCAGTAAGCAAAAATGGTGAAAATTCATAATTATGTGCATTCTCATTATACTCAAGTTCATTCTTGGTCACAAGAATAGGTATTTTTGAAAGGTATTAATTATAGACATCTAGTGGATATACGTATTCAAATTGTCTTCCATTGGTCCCAATTAACATGGCTTCTAAAAGTGCATTCACTTGTAAGCCAAGGGTATTTTAGGCCCTTGGAAAATCTGGCTCATTGTTAAAAATATATAATTTTAAAAATTCTTAGTATAGCAAATGAACTAATGGCTTTACACGTTAAGTATTTTTTGAAGGAGATGGCCAGGAAAATGTTAATAACTGGGAAAACAAATTATTGAACAGAGACCCAAAACATAATTTACTATGACAAATAAAAGTATTTATTTTTCACATTGTTCTGGAGAGGGGCATATTATTTCAGTGTGTTGAGCATGATTGGATTTACCATTAATTTACTTCACAGAATTTATTGAGTGCCTACTAAGTGCTCCAGTCTGGGAACACAAAGGCAAAAGTGTTTGCCCGCCAGGCTGTTGCCATCTCTAAGAGGTGCTCAATACATACTTAAAAATTACAAGAATTTCGACTGAAATTTATGTCACACCACACACCCATACACAGACACACACACACAGTTTAAAGGATCTAGATGTCTTAGAAATGTTCAGGAACTGAAGGAAACAGGCCTTAGGGCTGGAGCCAACATCCAATACTTCACTATGTAACAGCTTGATTTAAAAAAATCATCTTTAAATAATATGACTTGCATTTGCTTTCTCCCATATCCTCATCTTATGCAGTCCTATTTCTAGAAGGTCGTCATGGCGCTTCACAGATGAATGCAACATAATCTCGATTTCCTGGGTGCTTAGGTTGGTAGAGGCTTTTCAGGGAACTTCAGTTGAAGGTCATCTATTCCAGCTGTTTTCAGATTTGTTAATCCTGGTCTGGGTGGAGGTAAGAGGATACAGGTTGCTATTACAGCGTTTGCTGGGCTTTAAGACTAACCCTTGTCCATCCACTTCTGGGGAAAACCCTTGCTCTGCATTTTAGGGTTTTGCTTGTTTGATACCAAGGAGGGCCCTGGACGCTTCTGCGTTTCTGACTGCCCGCACTACATAAAGTAGTTCCCTTCATCTGCCAAGTAGAAGTCCCATTTTGTCTCAGAAAGAAGCCGAAAGTGGGGCCCAGCAATGTGACTGCAGCAAACTGTGCCTGATCCCTTTCCCGCGCTTCAGGATAGGACCTAGAGTTCAATTTGCAAGCTGTTGTGGGGTGGAAGCTCAATGAGCAGCGGCGGGTCGTGCATCACAGCGGCTTCCGGCTGTTATTCCCCATCCAGGGCTATGTGACTCTGGTTTTGACTGGGGGCCGAGATGGAAACCCGAAAGTGTCACTATGGTCCCATCTGGCACTGTAAAGGCGCACTTCCCTGCAGGAGGGCTAAGTATAGGATTGACCTCCAGGAGGGTCTGGAGGGGGGACTCTACCTGTGCAGCAGAATAGAGTGGCCAAGAAGTGGCACAGTTGGACGCAGAGCCGCCCTGACTATCCAAGCACAGCTCAGGTAGCTTCGACTTGGCCAAAGCCAGCATGTATTGACGCTCCCAAGACGCTTATTCCTCGGTTGCGGGAAGAGCAGAGCAGAGCGAGGGCGCATGTCCCTTTTGGCCCTCGGATCGGAAAAGCTGCTTGACCAGGTCACTATGTTTTTCCTTCTTGCTACTCTTTGCCCTATGGAGGTCAGAGGATGCTTCGGTGTGGCTATCCAACGCGTCACAGAGATCAGGGCTCCTCTTCGGGGAATGTCCTTCAGGGCTCTATGCTTTGACAGGAATCACCGCCTCAAGACCCCTCTGCAACTTAACCGCCCTTGGTATTGCTGCTTCAACCAGAAAAGGGCCCTGAGCGGACGAAGTGCCTGACGCTGTCAGGAGAAACAAGCGTGCTGTCGGTGGGAACTCTATCCCAGCGCGTCCCGGGTTGGCGCTGGGGCTTTCGGGTCGGAGTCGGAGCTTGAACCGCCCTCCAGAGCCTCTCAGGGAAGGACGTAAAAACGAGACCCTTTGCTCTGTACCCAGACGGTACAACGGCATGGTTTGGATTCCTCCCTCTGCTTCCTGACCCTAGAGGGTTAAATTAGGAGGGTACAACGCCACCCTTTTCTCCTCCTTCCCGCCTGCTCCCCTCCCCTTACCTTTAAAAAGTTAAAAAATGTCTGCAGTAGAAATCTCTTAAAGGGGCGGTGCCGGTGTACGAGTTCTCTTGGCAAGAGTCACGGGGAAGGCTGGCTAGGGGCGTGAGTTCGCTCCACCAGCACCAAAACACTGAAAAAAAAAATTAAAAAAAATTAAAAAAAAAAAAGAAAAAAACAAAACGAGCGAGCGAGCGAGCGAGAGAGAGAGAGAGCGGGAGAGAGAGAGAGTGTGTGTGTGTTGGGGGGGTGGTGGGAGGAAGGGAAAAAAAGGGGGGAAAAAGGCGGACAGACACACACTTTAGATAAGGACAATTAGTCACTAGCGAGACCCAGTAGGAAGAGAGGTTTAAATCAGAGGGATTGAATGAGGGTGCTTTGTGCCTTCCCTGAAGCCATGCCCTCCAGCAACTCCCGCCCCCCCGCGTGCCTAGCCCCGGGGGCTCTCTACTTGGCTCTGTTGCTCCATCTCTCCCTTTCCTCCCAGGCTGGAGACAGGAGACCCTTGCCTGTAGACAGAGCTGCAGGTTTGAAGGAAAAGACCCTGATTCTACTTGATGTGAGCACCAAGAACCCAGTCAGGACAGTCAATGAGAACTTCCTCTCTCTGCAGCTGGATCCGTCCATCATTCATGATGGCTGGCTCGATTTCCTAAGGTAAGGCAGGGGTTTCGATGGATCATTTAAAATTTTTTAGTAACACCCCCTCAAGCCCTTCCTATCCCCCATTCCAAAGGGGAAAGAAGAAAATAAGCCAAGCAGATCTCTCAAAGAGAAGAAAAGAGGTTTTCCTTCTCCTGGATTGTGTGCTGTGAGGCTGTAACTAGTGATTGAGAAAAGCAATGTTTTCTATTAAGATGCACATGTTTGCAATGCAGAAGGCATTTCAGAAACTTATCAGTTATGACTGAAAAAATGTTGTGCTTACATATATCCACAATTAGCCTTCCCGTCTACTTCTGAAAAAGAAACAAGAGGTTCAGAGCAGTTACAAAAGCGAAGAAAAGGTCTCAAACAACAAAGAGCTGAAAGGAATGGGTATGTGTGTGTGTGTGTGTGTGTGTGTGTATGTGAGACAGGAGAGTGTGTGTGTGTGAGTGTTCAAGCGGGATTGCACGAAACTGGAATTTTCCACGGAAAGATCGTTTCGTCAGTTCTCTCCCACTCTCAGAAAACGAATTTAAGCAGAGGCTTGAGTGGTGGGCAAGTTGGATCGGAGTTAAAATTTTTTATTTTATATCCTCCGCTGTCATTTCCAGACTTCAGGACTTTGTAAGGCGCTTTTTATAGACGGAATGCCCCCCTCCCCCCGCCAGTTCCTCCTCCTTAAATCTCCTGCGGTAACTGCACAGTTTAGCTTTTCTTTAAAGGAAAAAAAAAATCCTCGCTGGGGTCACAGCGTTATAAGGGAAGCGGTAAGAGTCCTAGAAATACTCCAGGGAGGCTTCGGAGATCTGAACTCCGCACCAGCAGATTAGCAAACCCGGAGGTTTGTGATCCCCTTTGCTCTAGGGCTTGTAATCTAATTGGGCTCACACTCTTCCCGGGTTGTTGCAGTTTGGCAGTTAGGCAACTGCGATCCCTTCCCATCAGGGACAGAGTTGCAGTGTAAAATAAGAAATAAATCCTCTGCAATGTCGAATCCAAGTGTTGAGTTTTTAAAAATTCCCTACAAGTTGGAGCCTCAGCTGTGGGTTCCCCTCGAAGAGCCCTCAGCGCTCTCAGTCCCACTTTGCCCCGAGGCCAGGTCCGTTGTGCGTCCTTCGTATTTTTCACTCCTTGCGAAATTCGAGTTTTGCTTCTTGAGGTGCGCCCGCCTCTCAGCTCTTGGGGTTGTCCCCCTGGCCCGGGTCGGGTCTGCGGACGCGGCAGGTAGCGGGAGGCGCCACGTGGAGCGCTCCTTCCACGTGGAGGAAAGGTAGCCGGAGGACTGAGAGGCTGTAGCTGCCCTTGCCGAGGCCGTTTCGGTTCCTGTTGGTGCGGTTGCCGCGAGGGCGGAACAGCCAGCTCCGCGCGGCCCAGCTTCCTCTTCGAAAGCTCTTTCGTGCAGCAGAGCGCGTCTATGAGCTCGTCCGAATGTAGGGTGCAACGGAGTTTTCCGCAACGCTTGTCCCACTTTCATTGAACTCCTTCAGCTGCGCAGACCCCCTTTCCCCCACCAGCTTTCTTTCTTTTTTTAAAAAATCTGCCTGTTCGCCTAATGCTTTCCTGCCTCAGAAAAGAGTCTGGAAGGCAGATTTTCGGGGAAGAAGTCCTGGCGGGGCGCATTCGCATTGGCTGTGCAGGCTTCTGGATGAAAGGTTGTTGGAACTGCCCTTTCCCCAGGACCGGATTCGCGCGGACGTCTCCTTTGCCACAGTAGGCCCACGCGACGCCCTGACTGTGCCTGTCCTGGAGTGCGGTCCCGGAGACTTCTGCCAAACGACCATTCTGGTTACAAGACCCTGGGGTAGCCACGTCTCTTCTCAAAAAACTCTCCAAAAGCAGAGTCTGTTTTTTCTTTCTCGTATCCACCTCCTTTATGATGCTCTTTAACGTCACCATGTGGATTTGGGTTTTCAGAATCTGAAACAGTAAAGCGTTAAAAAATAATTTACAGACCCGGAACTCAACAGCTGATCCCCTCTGCATTATCAGTATCTGCATTGCTCCTTTTCTACTCCTTCCCAAAGCAGCAGCCTTTGGCTTTTAAAAAACCTATTGATGGAAATCCTGACCTTAAATAGATGCAAATGCTATTGTTTTGTGCTCATTTAGTATCCCATAACGCGCAGGTTCCACATTTCGGCAAGCTTCATTTTCCCTAGCGGTTCCAAACGGCCCCAAGTGGGAAAGAAGAAAGATGGAGCCTAACTCGGGGGTGGGGTGGGGAGGAGGATGTTACCTTTCCTGAGATCAGGCGGAATTATTTCAGGGGCCAAAGAGACTTTGCCTTTACTGTGTGTGTGTGTGGTGGTGGTGGTGGTGGTGCGGGAGTGGAGAAGTGTTCTTGGAAAGGCGAGGGTTTACCCTGGGGATCTCTCCGTCCGGGGATTTGGGAAACAATGCAGTTTTTACAATATAGTGAAAAAGGAAAATCAACTCGGACATTAAAAGAAAGAAAGTAGGAATCCACTTAAGCTCAGGCGCCGGGCCTGGTCTGAGAGAAACAAGGCAGGTTTCACCTCCTGCACGGAGGTTTGTGGGGCCCCTGGGGCTGCGGAGGCAATGCCGGCTTTCAGCATACAAGTTTTTGGCAACGGTCGGAAGCCAGAGGTAGGCGCGCCTAGCGCGTCTCCGCCCGGAGCGCTTTCCTGGCAGTGGCAGAAGCCGGGCAACTGCGCTTTAGCGCCGTGCTCGTAGCACGTACACCCACCCCATACAAACACTCTATGAACAAACACTATCTGTAGCCTTTAGGAGATCAGGATCTGGGTGTCTGCGGGAGGGGGCCGCTGCGGGCGTCTGGAAGCGGGAGGCACAGCCCCCAGAGCCGGGCGGTGAGGGCGGGCTGGGGCGCAGGGCAGCGGCCAAGGGCCAGCGTGGACTGCCGGCTGGGGCAGGCACAGAGCCTCTAGCCCCGGCCAGGTCGCCCTCAGGGAGTAGGAAGAGGGCCCTTCTCCGTGCCCCACGCGCTCTCGTCCTGTCCTGGGAACCTTTCCTCTCTTATTCTCTTCCTCTGCAGCTCCAAGCGCTTGGTGACCCTGGCCCGGGGACTTTCGCCCGCCTTTCTGCGCTTCGGGGGCAAAAGGACCGACTTCCTGCAGTTCCAGAACCTGAGGAACCCGGCGAAAAGCCGCGGGGGCCCGGGCCCGGATTACTATCTCAAAAACTATGAGGATGGTGAGAAACTTGATTACCATTCTTTATTTGGGGAGCGGAAGCAAGCACCCGCTGTGTTTGTGTATCTGTGTGTTCGTGTGTCTGTGTGTTCGTGTGTGTGTGTGTGTGTGTGTGTGTGTGTGTGTGTGTGTGTATGCGCGCGCGCGCGTTGGGGCAGATTTGGAGAGCCTGGTTGCACCTCGCCTGAAAATGAAAAGTTGGAAGCTTCAGATGAGGAGACACTGCAGTGTGGAACTCCTGACCTCATTGCGCAAAGGGGGTTCTCCAGGTTGTTCTCACCCAGCTGCCGGCCTTTTGCTGGGCGGCTGTCTTGGAGGCTGAGAGCTGGTAGCCCAAACTGCTTAACAGGCTGTTCCTGCGGGGTGTAGATGCAGCAGGTTTTTTGAGAAAATTCAGCCAGGTTCATAGATTATTAAAGGTCAGAGTCATATTTCATTGCTAAAATTCTAGGCAAAGTGCCTTTCTGTTTTTCTTATTTCTTGCCTTCCTGTGATTAGGGTACAGAAGGAATTCAGCCGTTTTTGAAACCCACTCTAAAGTTTTCTGGAATAATCCCTTTTAAATTGGTCCCTTGTTGAGGAAGGTTTGGAAATCTCCACAGTTAGTTCTTCTTCAGATTGCCTAATCTCAGAGTTGCATTTTTTTTTTTCTGTTTTAAAATGGGATTACAAATGCCAGCTTTCTTTCCTGACGGGATTAGATAAGTGTTGGAAGGGCTTTGAAAACTTGAAATCTTATTTCAATCTGAGAGGCCAATCTTTTTTGGTTTGAACGGTCTCATTTTTACTAGGGATAAAAAATGAAAATGCTATTGAAAATTTTTTGTTTAGAAGGTTAGGTGTTAACATCTATGAACTTCCTGTTTAAGTGGAGGGATGTACTTTCAAAGAGGCACGATGGAGGGTATTGGCGTTTCTTGAGCTATTGACACTGTTAAGATTGGATAGAAGAGGCATTAGTGTCCATTCTTGGAGGGCTATCATCCCCGTTGCTGTTCCTTCTTATAAGTAAACTAGTTTTATATGTAAAGGGCTCAGGGACAGATTTTCAGAGCCTTCTGAATTTTGTTATATCTTGTCCTTACAAATCAGCTAAAGGAGCAAATGCCCTTGTATTTTCTTGGGCCTTCATTGAAAAGTACTTCTGGAGAGGTATTGGAATGTATTTCAAGGGTGGCAGAGGAACATTTTTTTTTAAGTGCCAGAATAGAGAAAGAGGGCAAGGCTAAGGCTTCTTGAGTTTGGAGCATGACTAGGACTTACTCTTTTATAACATTTGCCAAAGCATGTAGGTGTTTAAGGCTATATCTTTTCAAAGATAAAAGTCATTGCTATGAAAGTATGGATTGCAAGTAGACTTTTGCTGTCACTCAGCATAAATGCTGAAAGGTAAAAGATAGTCTTTAACAGCACCTCCTATGGTAATTTGACCCAGAACCTTATAGCTCCCAGGGTCACTGTCAGCTCTGTGATCAGACATAAGAAGGGAGAATATTAATGGTTTTTCTGATATTAATGGTTTTTCTTCTTCCAATCCATTTGAACTACTTCCTCTTTAGTTTGTGGGAAAACTTGTAAGAGCCCCAGGAATTGCTGGGGGTGAGGGAGGGAGGAAAGGACCATTATAAGTTTAGAAATTGGTCTGTTTCTCCCAACTTTGTACCTAGGATTATGTTACACTGAGAACAATGAGATCTGTTTAAAATGAAGGCTACAATTTGTTTCCCTTTGTGAAAGGAGAAAGTGGGCATCATGGGGAGAAAAGAAATTGGCAGAAGGCAGTGCCCTGTAAAACTATATAAAATTAAAAAAAAAACATAAACGGAAAAGATCTAAGAGGTTACCTTCAGTCCTCTATCACGTTAGGGGCCAGTATAGGATCATTCCATATGGAATCCTTTTCTTGTTTTGTCCAACCTGGCATTAAATATCTCTAGGAATGTAGTTTTTCACCACTCATAGGGGAGAGAGTTCTTCTGTCCCATAAGCTTTTGCTGGGAAATTTCTCCTGAATTTTCCCTTTATAAGGATTTACAATTATTCCTGTTTGCATTTTTTAGACATCTATCTTCAAAATAATTTCTGCCTTTGGTGTGAGTGTTAGCTTAAAAAAAAATGTTTCCTCATAGCTGTTTTTTATCTAGACTACCTGGATCTAATTCTTTTAAAACTTTCTTTAAAGTCAGTCCTTCCAGACACTAATCTGTTTTATTGCTCCTAGCCGAACTCCTTTTGATTTATGTTTTCCTAGTAATAAGATGCTCTGAACTATATCAGTATTTGAGGCTTTAGCAGAGTTAAAGAGAATGAGAATGTCCTATTTCTGCCCTTTGAAGCTCACATATCCTTAAATTACCCATACTGTCTTTGTTGTTGCATGTTGCATTGCAGAATTCAAGGCAAAATGTTCTTGGTATAGTCTCAGCAATTTTGAAAACATTATGCTTCTGTTGTCCCTTTTCATCTAGTGATAACTGTTATCATCATGAGCATCTTAAAGTAATTAAGCCTTCTTAGGAAATGGTCCTGTAGTAAGCACTTGGGCATAAAGGCATCTTATTAAAAAATGTATTTACTTAGACGTAGTACAGAATAACAACATACATTTTGAGTAATAAGATATACCTACTGGCACATTATGAAACTGAATGATACAGTGAAGAGAAAATGGAATTTGGACTTAGGAAGGTTGCACTGCATGCCTGGCCCTATGACTTATGAATGTGTGGCCCAGGGCTTACTGTTTATAGCATGTGGATGATGATGATTACCTGCTGTACCTTGCTTCTCTGAAGGTTCTAAGAGGTAATGTTTGTAAGTTATTTTTTTGACTGCACAACACTATAAGAAAGGTAAGGATTCTTACATTCATTAAAGGCAACTTCAGCAAATTTCTAATATATATTTAATGTTTTAAAGTGGGATTAAGGAGTGAGTAAGATTTAATGAGACTGAAGCTTTTACAGAAGGCAGAAGGTAGATTTATGGAATTACCTGAGAGGATTGAGAGAATGTAAGGAGAATTATCTTTAAGGAACAGAGTTGAGAACCAAAGGTGGCTTTTGTTATGTACTAATGTTAAAATGAATGGATAGTTGTAGCATTGAGCAAAAAGCTTCCACTTTTCTGGTTAATCCGTTTATATTGCTACCCTGATAAGTTTTTTTTTTTTTTTCGATATGGAGTCTCCTCTTTTGCCCAGGCTAGAGGGCAGTGGCATTATCTTGATTTACTGCAATCTCTACCTCCCAGGTAGAGTGATTTTCGTGCCTCAGCCTCTTCAGTAGCTGGGATTACAGGTGTGCGTCACCATGCCTCGCTAATTTTTGTATTTTTAGTAGAGATGGGATTTCACCATGTTGGCCAGGCTGGTCTTGAACTCCTGACCTCAACTGATCTGCCCAGTTCAGCCTCCCCAAAGTGCTGGGATTACAGACATGAGCCACTGTGCCTGGCCCCGATGTGATTTTGTTGTTCCCCTTGTTTTCCCATGAATTAATAATGCAATTAACAACTCATGTGTCTTCTGTTTTCCAGATACTTTCTGAGCACATTAATGCAACTGTATTTTCTCTAACTTTGTAAAACCACTGTTTATGTATCACTTTGGGAGCTTCACTGGTTACTCCTTTAATGCAGTTAACTATTCTACTCTATGCTTAGGCACCTTGAATTATATACACAAATAGTGATGATGGAAGAAGTAAAAATAGAGTTGTTCTTTATACCCAAGGAATCTT
The DNA here is from genome assembly GCF_000001405.40 of Homo sapiens. Classification (NCBI taxonomy): domain Eukaryota; kingdom Metazoa; phylum Chordata; class Mammalia; order Primates; family Hominidae; genus Homo; species Homo sapiens. The sequence continues at coordinate 99,228,608 of NC_000010.11, read as the reverse complement.
ACTGTTGCCTAACTTCCTTTTTGTTCTATGTAATGTTATGCTTTACCTGCTCTCAACAAGGAAATCTTGGGTTATTCTTCTGTTCTTAAGTTTATTTTTTTCCAGTCTTCCCCTCTTTGTATTGTATTCAATGTGATTTATTTGTATGCATGTTTTTTTAAGACCATAACTGCATCTTTAATGAAGATGTACACCATTTTTTAAATGTACATCAAAAGCCAGCTTAATATTTCTAAAATGTCATATTCATCATGTTGCTCTTTTGCTAAAAAACTATGGTTATTTTTGGATTGCTTACATAATATGTTCAAACTCCTCAACCTGACATTCAAAACCTTTCACATTTCAGTCTCAGCTTACTTTCACTACCCTGTGTTTCCATATACCTTTTATTACAGCCCAACTTACTTGATTGTTCACTGTCTTCTTAAAGCACCTTTATTATCTCAACCCCGTACCTTTGTTCAGTTACTATATGAATATGCATTGAATGTATTTCTCTTGGCTTAAGTCAGAGCTTATTCCATCTCACCTAGTTTTTGAAGGCCCATTGCAAATGTTCCTTATTTGCACAAAACTGTTCTTGAACAGGTCATTCCACAGTGATCTCTTCTTTCTTTAGACTGCTGTAGCTTTTACTCTTTATGCTTTTCTTTTGGCTCCTTCTGCCTTGTTTTGCCATTTAATTTTATGTATATATATATATATGTATATACACACACACACACACACACACACATATATACACATTCAACTTTATATATATATATAGACATTCAACTTTATATATATACATATATATATATATTTTACCTTTCCATCTAGAATGCAAATTCTTTATAGGAAGACACCGTATCTAATTATTGTATATCCACAATGTCTAGCCTTTATGACACATGGTAGATCTTCAGCAAATTTTCTTGGGTGTATGCTAGGTTAAAAGCACTGTGAAAGGCCCTGGGAAAATGGAGGTGACCAGTGGAGAAATGACTGAAGGTATACATGAAGATTCCATTCATTTTACACTTTCAACACATATTCCCATGCAGTCCATTCTTGATGCTTATTTTTTAATGGCATTCTTCATGATTTTAACCATGTGCTCTTTATCTGTGGTTGTCTAAGTTGTCTTTATTTTATGCTATGTGTTAAATTAACTTTATTACCCAGTTTAAAGCCTTGCACTAGAACTACATTTTAAAAAATTGTATCTGTTTCTACCTTGCCTTTACTTTTGCTTTTCTTTGTTAGTCTAATGTAATTTCTATTCCTGATTTTTCAATTCCTGGTGTAACAGTGCCTTTTCACAACTTTCAAATATCTTTTATCTTTATCTCCTGAAGATTTTTCTCTTCAGAGAGCTTCTGAATTCTAAATGATGAATGTGTGTATACTTTGTAAACTCTAAGACACTGTATAACTATTATTATTCTCTTTTCTCTAGGAAGCTTTTCCACAGATGAAGTAATTAATTCTTTTTCTTTTTAATCCCATTCTATCAATCAAGACTTATGGTGTAAGAACAGCACAACTGCCAAAATACATATTTGCCTTGAACTTATCCACTTTCTATTATCTCATTTTATTTCACATAATGGTTTTGAAATTCTGTTACATTTAATAAGTATGTACTGATTATCTACTCTCTGTTTAGTTTCATGCTAGACAAAGAATGGCAGAATATAAAATAAATAAAAGATGCTATCCCAAATCACCATTAGAACACAACAGTAATAATTGCTTTAGGCGAGATACCTTAATCAAGTGTTGGACTTAGCGGGTGGAACTTTAAAAGAGGATATTTGCATAGCCTTAAAGCATCTCCCTCATAATATTTATTAACTAATTATTGTGGTGGTTTTAATATATGTCCACAAATTCTCCACCTCTGGGAGGTGGAGCTTAATTCTTCTTCCCTTGAGTGTGACTTGGATTTAAAGAAGAGAGTCTCCAAAGGGGAAAATAGTAACTTTTCACTGAAGAAATTGACAGATATCATTTTATCAATGACTAAGGTTAACATCAGCAGATAAGTCATATTGATATCATGTATTATTCTCTGATATGATATAATGAGAAGGGCACTTCACCATGTAATATTCTTTCCCCAAATCTGTAACTCTCAGTAAACATGAGAAAACATTAGTCAAACCCAAACTGAAGGATACTCTACAAGATACCTGACTTGTATTCTTCAAAAGATACTGCATCTGCTGTCAATGAACCAATAGTGTAGTTGGTGAGACAACATTAACACTGACAAAACTGAAGAATAACAGAAAGACAATTTAGAATGAAGTGCTAAGTGGAATATAATAGTTTGCCAGGGTATAACAAGAAAAGTAGAGTTGAATGCTGGTGAGACTTAGGTGGGAGTTAGATAGGTAGGTAGACCTTAGAGAGAGAGAGACAAGAAGAGAGGATATGCAACTCAAGAGAGAGAGCATGAGGCAAATCCTCGTATATATTTGGGCAGGAAGGAGACCACCCTGGCTACATAGAAAGTATGTTAGAATTATCTTCATGTGGTAAAACCATGTCAAAATCTCTTTTATAGAAGCCTATTTACACATTTTTGTTAAATAGAAATGTTTATAATTAAAGAAAAATGTATAAAATAAAGTACATTAGAAATTATCCCAAGCAAAGTTCATATTGCTAGAATTATGTTTAAATTGAGTTTTAATACATTCTAATCTATTTTTCTTAACTTCAAAATATGTAATTGAAGAAGAAGAAGAAAAAGAAAGTACATGTGTGAGAGAAAATGTTGGTTGGGTAAATCCAGATCAGATTATGGGAATCTTGAAATTTAGGCATAGTAAAATGGAATTGGCCATAGAGGAAAAAAGAGGCTATTTTATTTTACTTCATTGGAGAAGGGAAGGACACATTTCAACAGGGGCCTTCCATGACACTTGCTCTCTCCCATCTTCCCTTTCCAAATCACTAGACACATTCATCCCCTCCCTCTAACTAAACTGTGTTATAATAACTGCATTTGTCAAGGTTTGAGTTACAAAGCATGCTTAAAAGACAGATCCTAAAATTGAATTATTAATTAGATCCTTACATTGCAAGTTTTATAAAGTAAAAGGTCTTAAAATTTGCTTGTTATTTTATGTTATTCTTCCTTCTTTTGTAGAGTAAATGTAGGCTAGTATTTTATAATCATTTATTTACTCATTGAGTAGGCATCTAGTTTCAGGCCTCTGTTTGACACTGAAGCTGGGAAGATTAATGGGGCCCAGGTGTGATTGTCAAATTACTTACTATTGACTTCTTGTTACTTCAGCAGCAGCAGCTAAAAGCAGTTTGTAGAGAATTTTAGGCCCAAGAAAAGACCTCATTCTAACTTCATCCTTGGCATTTCACAATTTGTCTGCCAATAACTTTAGAAGGATTTGATATAATTTAATATTGTATTAAAAAGTGTCAGTAATCACCTGAAATTTTATGTATGTTTATTTATGAAGTTTTATTTATGTTTATTTTATTCTGCCTTTTGAAATCAAAATGGATGCATTTCTGTAATACCTTTGAAATTTTGTACGCAGGCCCTGAGTGTGAGCTGCAGTTCACTATATCCCAGTAAATCTGAATTTGTATCTTACAAAGATTTAGTCACCATGTCTAGTCACAGTGTAGTCATTGTGGCCACGTGCCTACTGCTAGAAGTGGTAGAGACCAAGAAATACTGGTCCATTACTTGTGGAGGTGGCTTAATTAATTTCAGCGAATCAGAAAAGCCAGTAAATAAACCTTTTAATGCTGACCCACATTTGTATAATTTACCACCTTGGGGAAAAAGGTAATTCATCAATTTTTTTTGTACAATGCAACTGTACTACTGTTGCCAATACCAAATTATTATTTCATCTGCCAAATTCATTTAAATTATCTCTCCTGGTCTCGCAATCCCTACTGATGGGATGGGGACCTCATGGAAGAAAAGCAGTTTCTTTCAAAAAGTTTTCTGGTTTTGCTTAGTCTGCTGGTCATGTGATCTGGACTCCTGTAGTCAGAAGTCTTGTCTGAGAATCCTTCATCAAAATGGATTAGATGTTAAGAATCTTGATTTGGGTACTTCTTAGTTCCTTAATCATGCTTTCAGCTATCTCAGTCTGTAAGACAGTAGATTGAAACTCTGAGCTATGTGTGTGTGTGTGTGTGTGTGTGTGTGTGTGTCAGAGAGAAAGAGAGTGAGAATGAATATGAGAATGAGAGAATTTTGTGTTTCATTCCCTGAACTTGTCTATCAGTGGTAATTTAGGCAAAGTGAAGACATATTTCTTGACTAGTGGTTAGTGCTGTTCAAGGTTTACATACCTTGTACAAGTTTGTTGAATTATTTTATCCATTGGCTTTCATGATCTAATTGAGTTGAGTTCAGTTCCATTCAGTTTTCTTCACTTTGATATGGTGAAAGACAGTGTAATTTTGCTCAATTCAATAAATGTTTTTTGATTATCAGTTGTATATAAGCCAGACTTAGTGCTAGATATTGGGGCAACCAAGAGGAATAAACATGAACTGTACTCTCAAGAGTGCTGTGATCTTATATATTAAACATAAATTTTGTAGTAGTCTCCAGTGTCCTCTCTTTAGTTAGACCAATCTTTGCTTAGTTCCTCTACTTCTCCACTTACATATATTATACTTTCCATGTTGAACACACATCTCCCTCTCCCCTGAAATTGAAAATTTTACCTGTTCTTGAAAGCTCTGCTCAAATTCCATCTTTCATTAAACCTTCTGCTAAGTCAGTACCCATTAATTTCCCTCTTTCTCTAATTTTTCTAAAATTCTTTTCTGAATATGCACTCCAATTTAGTCCAAGTACCCAGACTGACTTAAGCAAGTCATTTTTGTCCTTAGGAATTTACAATAAAAATACACTGCTATTGTTACACATACAAAAACCAATATAGATATAACCACCATCATACTGCATGGAACAGACACATTAAGTCAAACAAAGTATTTATGTTATTTACAAACCTAAATATATGTGTTTTGGTTTTTGTGTAGCAGATAATGAAGAGTGAAATGTATATGCTGTATATTTAGAAAAGATGGGTGCATGCATGTATCTATATGTTTGTGTTGAAGGAATTAGGGGTTAAACCAGTACCTTATTTTCACTTGGTTTGGAATGCGAAGTTAGAAAGCTGGGAAAAGGTAAACTGCCCAGATTTGGGACATTATCTCTTAAATACTATGGAAGAATGAATGTTTCTCTGCAGCCCAATAATAGTAATAACACAACCATAATAATAATACTTAATGTTATTGAATGCTTATTATGTGCCAGGTACTGTTTTAAGCAGTATACATGCATTAATACATTAATCCTTCCATCAACCCTATGAGGAAAGTACTGTTTACCCCATTTGACAGATGGGGAAACCAAGGCACAGAGAGGTTAAGTAATTTGCCCAAGACTACCCAGCTAATGAGTTGTGCCACAGAGACTCAGTGATATCAATCATTAAACCTTCAAGCTTAAATGGAGCCTCTGCTATGAAGTATTAAATAGCTGGTAGAACCAGGATTAGATCCCAGTCGTGTATTGTGCTTAGGTAAGAGAGGGATTCAATCTTTGAATCATGCATTGTCCTATTTATTCGTCCATTCATTTGTCTGGCTCCGAAACCCCTAAACTAAGCATTGTGGAGCATTAAAAAAATGTGTGCCATATGCCTTCCCATGAATATAGTCCCATGAACATATTCAAAGGTCTTGTGGGTTGTGACACAAAATAGTTGTTAGGTAAAACAGAGAACGATAACTGCAGGAAGACACATGAACAGTTGAAAGAAATGATTGTCACATTTTAGGACATGTTGAAGGAGTAGAACAACAACTGATCCAATGTAGGAAAGGACTTATAGTTTCTCTAGGAAGGAGGTATATTTTGGAAGCAGATGCATTGAAGGGAATAATAGAAATGGATCAATGGTGTTATTGATGTAAGGGAAATTTCAGGAAAAAAGAGAAATAAGAATATTTGAAAAAATTATTGGACAATTTTGAGAATATTTGAAAAAATTACTGGGCAATTTTATAATTACTTTTTATTTATACACTGAACCATACTCTGACTTATTCTTCCTTCAAGTTTTAAGCCTAGTGAAGTCCTGTGAAGAGAAAAGGGAATTGATAAAGGTGAGATTTCAAGAAAGCCTTTTCTTCATACTTCTTTGCCTTATCTTTCTGTTTGAACTGAGATTTTGTTAAATTCAAGTAGGGAACACAGCTATAGACACTTAAAATGAAGAAATCAAGGAACAAAGAGGTTATACAGTCTGCAAAATGTCTCAGGGGTTAAGTAACTGTACTAGTAAATGGCTGAGCTGTGGTTGAATCCAGGGCAGTCTCTCTCCAAAGCTGGTGATTTTCATTACCCCTGTTATAACATAGCAGCACAGTGTTTCTCATTCCTCTACCAAGTCAGCTTCAAAGGCCTTTCCCCTAGAGGAAAGGCCTTTATATTAGCTGGAGTCTGATTTGAAAGTTTGCTTGTAAATAGGGCTAAATGATAATTATTGTTGTTTCCCTTGTGACTGTTTTCATCTGGTTTGGGCACTCATCACCTCACACCTGTTCTGTAGCACGTCTCAGCTGGGTTTCCTGTTTTCAGCCTCTCTCCATCTTGTTGTCTTATTAACCTTTCTGAAGCTCCACTTTCCTCCTGTCACTGCCTAGCTCGAAACCTTCACCGACATCCCTTGTCTGCTAGCTCAAGTTTTTGAGCTTTCCAAGGCTCCCTAAGGTCAGTCTGCACTCCTTGGCCAGCTTCTTCTCTCCGCCTCCCTGTAGGAACCTAAGTTTATTTACAAGCAGATGGTATAGCTTGTTACTCTACTTCTACCCTCTCTGACATTCTTTTCATTTCTAACCCTCTGGATATTCCACCTTATCATCCCTCTGCCACATTCTACCCATTTCTGAATTCTGCCTACTTTTCAAAGCCCTGCTCAAGTTTTTTCTCCTTTTCTATGATTCTTTGCTATCTTAGCTCAAAGTGTTTAATTAATTCATTTATGAAACACTTATTGAGCCTGAGTTTCTAAAATACTTATTGTCTAAAAATCACTCTTGTGGCCATTTTCGTATTCTGCTTTATGTTCTCAGGTATTTTTTTGTGAATGTTCATGTAAACTTGGCTCTACTCCTAGATTATAGGGCACTGTGAGAGTAGTGATTGTAACATTTCTGTAGTTTCTACAATCTAGTAAAGTGCCTTTTATGTAGTAGCTCTTCAGTAAGTACTTGTTGACTGGTTATTTCCCACTTATTTGGTAGCTAATATGCTAATAACCTCTCTCCCACTTCTAGTTGTTGCTTAACTTCTTCATACTTCTACAGATTTATGCTTTTCATTCATTTTATTATCAATGTAATGCATGCACATGAATACTCTCATTAAATAATATGTACATCAAATAAAAACTGAAAGCCGGCCAAGTGCGGTGGCTCATGCCTGTAATTCCAGCACTTTGGGAGGCTGAGGCGGGCGGATCACCTGAGGTCAGGAGTTTGAGACCAGCCAGGCCAACATGGTGAAACCCCGTCTCTACTAAAAATACAAAAATTAGCTGGGCGTGATGGCGGGCACCTGTAATCCCAGCTACTTGGGAGGCTGAGGCGAGAGAATCGCTTGAACCTCGGAGGTGGAGGTTGTAGTGAGCTGTTGCACTCCAGCCTGGGCAACAAGAGTGAAACTCCGTCAAAAAAAAAAAAAAAAAAAAGTGAAAGCCTCCCTTCATGTTCCATTCCCACTTTTTTTTTTTTTTTTGAGACGGAGTCTCACTCTGTTGCCAGGTTGGAGTTGGGGTGCAGTGATGCAGTCTCAGCTCACTGCAACCTCCACCTCCCGGGTTCAAGAGATTCTCCTGCCTCAGCCTCTGGAGTAGGTGGGACTACAGGCATGCGCCACCACGCCCAGATAATTTTTGTATTTTTAGTGGAGACAGGGTTTCACCATGTTGGCCAGGATGGTCTCGATCTCTTGAGCTCATGATCCGCCCACCTCGGCTTCCCAAAGTGCTGGGATTACAGGCGTGAACCACCACACCTGGCCTCCATCCCCAGTTCTACTCCATAGGTATAACCACTTTCAACAGTCTGACCTGTATCTTTTCAGATCATTTGCCATGCATACAGAAGTATATACATTTTAAAGTATATAGATAGAATCACATTGTTATAAAACTTGCTTGTCTAGATAACCTTATAGTTGGTAATTATGGTGTGTTTTTCAGTGGGTAAAGAATATATGCAGAGGACCTGTTTATTCTCTTTCATTGGTACTTTTTTTTTTAAACAAGAAGTTATCTGTTTGTTATTTGTGCTATAGTATCATATTTCTCTGATCTAAATTAATTCTTTCCCTGTAACATCTCTTTAAACACCATTATCCATCTTAATCCTTTTAATAACTATAGTACATTCTTTGGGTAAGTGTCACAAAAATGGCCATAGCAAAACTAACCTTATGCATCAAAATATGATATCCTTTAATAAAACAAGTGCTTTGTAAAGTTTTGGATGCAGATAGAAAGTGACACTAACATTGTTTTGATTTTTGGCTCAAATAGTATATCACTGTGTCATTTGTAAGAAATCCTGGCTAAGGAATTTTTGATTCTCTTTGAATATTACTCATCTCATTAATGCTGCTCTGTGAATTTGAATACTAATCAGCCAACAAATAAAGATTTTTAAATACCTGGGATAATTTTTAGTTAGAAACAGACTAAAGAAGGCAGAAGGTCACCATTTTTGAATAGCTCCCTAGCCAGTTGTCTGCAGGAGAAAAATAATTACACTTTACATTTGTAATATTTAAAGATTGTAAAAACTCCTCTGATTTTCACAGTACGGTAATCTTATTTTAAGTTGGCATCTCCATTTTATAACTGAGAAAACAGACTCAAGGAAGTTGCTCAAAATAACAGGGCTTTTACGTAGAAGAGCTGGGATTAGAACTCATTACTTATACATTTAAGCATGACATTCTTAAATGAACTATAACAGCTAAAAGTAATCCCTCCACTCCACTGAAGTGAACTGGTGTAGGTACTTGTGTTTTGGGGGTGGTTGGGCCAATCTGAAACAGGTTCTCTGGGAGACTAGAGTGGGTCTGTGGTTTCTGGGAGAGGCCATGTGTGCTTGTAGGTGTGCAAGGGTGAGTTTACTCCTGGATTCTTCCATGTTTTTAAACTGTCATTCATTGACAGACTCCTGAAGAGGCTGTAGAATGACATTCTTGGAGACTTAGGACTTGAATCCCAGACCCCCTTTGCAGTAGGCCCCAAACCCAAGGTGTGGTTAGAAACCAGTCCAGAGAATAGGAGCACTATTTGAGAGCACTCTGTGGGATGCCAAAATCACTTCTGAAACTTCCAAAAAGATTCTAAAAGCCATTGAAATGCAGACATTCATTAGCTATCACAATGCACCCAGTGAGAGGGAGGAGGAGTCTGCTTCCTTTACTGCAGAGGAGGCCCATAGTGAATAAGCAGAGGAGTGGAAATATAACTTGAGCTTTCTGGTGACTTAGTCACTAAGCCATGCACACTTTAAAAAATGAATGTAATCACCATTGAGGTAAATCTTTGGTTATCTCTCAGTGGCCTGATAGGTATGTTATTCTCATCTGGGAGTTTATTTCCTTGTAATTGTTGGAAAAGCAGATCATGGACTTATTTGCCTGGCCATTACGAATCTCCTTGGAAGAGTAGACTTAGGATAAATCCTGTGAGATGTAGATTCAAAAGGATCTATAGGCTAGGCTTAGCCAAGTTAAAATCCATAGGTGAAACTAAACATGTAACCTAAAACTATTAGAAAAATAAGTGCTATTGTTTCATAGAACATTTGTAGAAGCAAATGAATGGCACCCCTGTCCAAAAGTCAGGATTTTCAACAACTTGCAGCAGAAAACTTACATTTATGAAATGTCTTCATTTGGGGTTTTTGTGTCACTGAATGACTGAGGTCTTTTGTTTCTTTTGTTTTTCTCATGGCAATAAAGTTGAAATTTAGCAAGCTTTCAAAATGAAATTTCTCATAGAAGTTATAACCACAGGTTTTAAGTTTTCATCACCTAAATGTGGAACAGAACGATTGAAAACTCAGGGGGAGGGGAAAAGAGAGTCGAGGACACATGTGGTGTGTATCAAGAATCAGTGTAAATCAGAAAGGTGTGGTAAGGGGGATTTCCTGTGTTACAGCCTTGTTGAAACTATGCTCCCCCACCTTCCATCAATAAATTCCAAATGAAGGTGCTGGCCTTTCTGACACCTTGCCCCTTACCTGACATTCTGAGTTTCCTTCAGAAAGCTTCAAGGAAACTCAAAGTGTCAGGTAAGGGGCAAACTTGTCCTTGGAGATAATGTGTTCTTTGACTGTGGCAGTTACTTACCTGTAGGATGGGACCAGACTAGTACAATCTGAGCCTATTCTTTTTATCCCTGTTGTTGCATTCATTTCCGGGTTTCCAGGTATTATAATAATAACTACCATTTGTTGATCACTTAAATGTTACAAGTACTGGACCAAGAGCTTTTCAAAGGTGATCAGGTTTGGTCTTCACACCCCAACGAGGCAGCTACTATTAATTGTCCCATTTGATAGAAGCTTATAGAAGTTAATCAGTGGTTCCCAACTCTAGCTGTCCATTAGTATTAGCTAGGGGAGCTTTAAAAAATATTGGGGGCAGGCACAGTGGCTCACATCTGAAGTCCCAAAACGTTGTGAGGCTAAGCCAAGAGGATTGTTTGAGGCCAGGTGTTTGAGATCAGCCTAGGCAACATAGGGGGACCCCGTCTCTACAAAATAAAAAGTTAGCTGGGCTTGGTGGCACAGACCTGTAGTCTTAGCTACTCAGGAGGCTGAGGCGGGAGGATTGCTTTAGCCCAAGTGTGAGGCAGTGAGACATAATCATCCCACTGCACTCCAGCCTGGATGACAGAGATTTGTCTCAAAAACAAACAAGCAGCAGCACAACAACAACAACAACAAAAAAACTGGGTCCTAGGCCAATTCAATCTCTAGGGTGGAGCATAGGCATTTTGATTTAAAAAAAATCTCCCCAGGTGGTTCTAAAATGCACACAGCATAAGAATCTCTGAGTGAGTTGATTTGCCAAATGCACTTCAGATGGTCTGTAGTGGCCTTCAAATCTAGAGCCCAAGTATAGCCAGCTTGAATCTAAAGCCAGGCACAGCCAGCTCTTACGGAAAAATGCCTAAAGTTTTAATGTGCATTTGAATCGCCAGTGGATCTAGTAAGAAATAAGATGCCGAATTTCTAACAAACTTCCAGGTGATGCCCTCCTCCTGGCCCGGGAACCAGGAGGAGGGCATCACCTGGAAGTTTGCAACAGCAAAGCTTGCTACTAGATACTAATGTTACTACTTATGGTAGCAAGAGGAGAAAATGTTCACCGAAAGGCAGAAACAACATGGGGAGCTGGGAGGGGCTGCTCATGCATTTTGCTTTAGTGATGATGGCAGGGATCACAGGCTGATTATATAAAGTTCTTAGTGTTTTCCTAGGGCTATCATAGGCTTTCCTAGGGTTTAAATAAACTGTTATGGGTTATTTTTCTATTCTTGAGAATGCTTGGAACTTCAAGACTGTGGTGAAACTAGTAAAACTTTACTTGTTGAGGTGTTTTAATCTGTTAGGAAAAGATGTGATTGTAATTAAACTCGTCAGTTATCAAACCCTTTCTTCCTGTTCTTAAAGGGGGCTGAAACAGGAGTTCAGATAGATGAGAAATGATAAGATAGCCAGGAATTTTCACAGTTACATGTTCATTCAATTAAGCACCTACTATGTACCAGCATTGCAATATGCTGTCCTTATAGGATACAAAAATGAATGAGACATTGTCTTGTCCTGATAGAACTTACACTTTAGTGGAAAAAAATGATGTATAGAGTAGATAATGATATAGTAGAAATCTGAACAGGCAAATTACAGAGGAAGAAGCAGTAAACCTTACCTGAAATAGTTGAGGAGGATTCCACAGGTGTCACCAGACAAATTTACTGTTGTTATTATCTCTGATTGTTGTAAATGTTTATAAGAGTCTAGGTTAGGCCGGTGCAGTGGCTCATGCCTGTAATCCCAGCACTTTGGGAGGCCGAGGCGGGCGGATCACCTGAGGTCAAGAGTTCGAGACAAGCCTGGCCAATATGGAGAAACCCTGTCTCTACCAAAAATACAAAAATTAGCAGGGCATGGTGGCAGGCGCTTGTAATCCAAGCTACTCAGGAGGCTGAGGCAGGAGAATCGCTTGAACTCCAGAGGTAGAAGTTGCAGTGAGCCAAGATCGTGCCACTGCACTCCAGCCTGGGCAACCAGTGAAACTCTGTCTCAGAAAAAAAAAAAAAAAAAAAAAAAGTTTAGGTTATTAGACCATTGCCGAGATTTTTAAAAGCTTCCTCTGCATTTCAGAATGGTTTCATAATTTTGAGATTAAAGGACCAGGTTATTCTCATCAATTACATGCATGACAAACATTTTTTAGATTAAACGTATTTTCTTCTGGAAGTAGCAACAATATCAGCAACATTATCAGACTACATTTATTGAACCGTTCCAAGGTGCTAGGCACTGTGCTAAACACTTTACAAGTATTTGTCTTATTTAATCTTCCTTTAAAAACAGCTTTATTGAGATAGAATTCACATCCTATACAATGCACATACCATTTAAAATTTACCATTCAGTGACTTCTATTATAGTTAGAGCTGTGCAGCCATTGCCACAGTCAATTTTAAAACATTTTCATTAGCCCAAAAGGAAAACTCTCACTCCGTGGCCGTTTCCTCATAACTTTTCCATCCCAGCCTTAGGCAACCACTAATCTACCTTCTGTCTCTATTGGTTTGCTTATTTTGGATATTTCATATGATGGGAATCATACAACATGTGGTCGTTTGTGACGCTTTTTAAAATTTTATTTTACTTTAAATTCCAGGGATACATGTGCAGAAAGTACAGATTTGTTACCTAGGTATACTTGTGCCATGGTGGTTTGCTACATCAACCTGTCATCTAGGTTTTAAGCCCTGCATGCATTAGATATTTGTCCTGATGCTCTCCCTCCTTTCGCCCCCCTACCCCGCCGACAGGCCCTGGTGGTGATGTTTCCCTCCCTGTGTCCATGTGTTCTCGTTGTTCAGCTCCCACTTATGAGTGAGAACATGCAGTGTTTGGTTTTCTGATCCTGTGTTAGTTTGCTGAAGATGATGGCTTACAGCTTCATCCATGTCCTTGCAAAGCATGATTTCATTCCTTTTTATGACTGCATAGTATTCCTTGGTGTATATGTACCACATTTTCTTCATTGGTGAAAATAAAGAAATGTCCGTCATTGGTGGGCATTTGGGTTGGTTCCATGTCTTTTCTATTGTAAATAGTGTTGCAGTAAACATATGGGTGCATGTGTTTTTATAGTTTAGGTTGGGCCGGGTGAGTTATATTCCTCTGGGTATATACCCAGTAATGGGATTGCTGAGTCAAATGGTACTTCTGGTACTAAATCCTTGAGGAATTGGTGCACTGTCTTCCCCAATGGTTAAACTAATTTACATTCCCACCAACAGTGTAAAAATGTTACTATTTCTCCACAGCCTCACCAGCATGTGTAGTTTCTTGACTTTTTAATAATCGCCATTCTGACTGATGTGAGATGGTATCTCATTGTGGTTTTGATTTGCATTTCTCTAATGATCAGTGATGTTGAACTTTTTATCATATGTTTTTTGGCCACTTAAATGTCTTCTTTTGAGAAGTGTCTGTTCATATCCTTCACCCACTTTTTGATGGTTTTTTTTTTCTTGTAAATTTGTTTAAGTTGCTTGTAGATTCTGGATATTAGACCTTTGCCAGATGGACAGATTGCAAAATTTTTCCCCCATACGGTAGGTTGCCTGTTCACCCTGATGATAGTTTCTTTTGATGTGTAGATGCTCTTTAGCTTAATTAGATCCCATTTGTGTGACTGTCTTCTTTAAGTTAACAAAGTTTTCAAAGTTAATACTTGTTATAGCACATATTAGTATTTCATTTCCTTTTATGACTAAATTATATTCCACTGTATGAATATACCACATTTCATTTAACCATTTATTAGTTTAATTGACTTTTTGGCTGTTATGAATATGCTGCTATGAAAATTTGTATACAAGTTTTTGTATGGACATATGTTTTCCCTTCTCTTGAGTATATACCAAGGAGTAGGAATATATGCTGGGTCATGTGGTAATTCTATCCTCTTTGAGAAAATGACAAATTGTTTTCCCCAATGGCTATACCATTTCACATTTGAACCAGCAGGGTATGAGGGTGCCAGTTTTTCCACATCCATGCCAACACTTGTTAATGGCTCTCATTTTGATTCTTGACATCCTAGTAGGTGTGAAATGGTATCTCATCATGGTTTTGATTTTTATTCCCCGATGGCTAATAATGTTGAGCATCTTTTCCTGTGCTTTTTGACCATTTGTAGATCTTCTTTTGAGAAATGTCTCTTCAGATTCTTTATCCCTTTTTAAATTCATTTATTTGTCTTTTTATTATTGAGTTGTAAGAGTTTTTCATATATTCTAGATATAAGTCCTTTATCAAACATATGATTTACAAAATTTTTCCCTCATTCTGTGGATTCTTTTTACTTCCTTGAGCATGTCGTTTCAAGAACAAATGTTTTTTAATTTGGTAATTATCTCATTTAATTTTCACAATGTCTCTGAGAGGTAGATTCTGTTATTATTCCCATTTTGTAGAAGAGGAAATTGAGGCTCAGACTTGCATAAGGCCGCATAGATTATAAGGAACAGAGCCAGGATTTCACATCCATGCTCCCCCACCTCTGCCCATTGGTGGGCAGTTTGACTTGGTGCATAATTCTTAATGCCTCATTTGAATTTTTTTTTTTTTCTAAAAACGTGAACCCAGAGCACAAATACTCAAGGGAGAACATAAGCCTTCTATGCCTCTTAATGGCTCTGGCAATTGACAGTGACATTGTATAAGATATATGCCTCAAACTGAAGTTGTGTGTGGGTGTGGTGTCTCAAAGAAAATGGTGTTTTTTGTTTTTTTTGCCAAATGCTCAATGAAATATGATGATGCTTTCCTTTGATCATGGACATTATGATCTTGGACAGCAGAGGGATGGAACCTATGGCCAGAGGTGGTCTCTATAATAATTGTATGGTTCTTTATCAGAGATTGTTTATGAAGCAAATCATCAATGTTGAACTCTTTAGGGAATTTTTTTTTCTTCTTGTTCAAGTATAATGACCCAGAATATTTTATTCCAAGAGTATTTTTTCTCTTCTCTGCATTTTGGACTTACCTTAGAAGTCTTATTTTTTCTTAAGGTAGAAAAAAAATTTCATTCTTATTTTGAGACTCAGTTTTTTCTGTAAGAGAATGTTTCTTTTAGTTCGAGTATAATGAAGCTTTTTTGATACAGTGCCAATTCTCTTTCCTACCTGTTTGACTGCTTTTGGTATTTCTCACTCTACCTTTGGTCTGTTGTTGTCCTATTCCAGGCCTTATGCTAAAATGGTAACCTCCTTATTGAAGTCAATGGCCCTAATTTCTTTGAAAGGAAGGGAATAAACATTTCTTGAGCACCTACCCTCTGCAAGGCACTTTATTTATTTAACTGGCAAAAACATTCTATATTATTTACAATATGATGTTTTGAAATATGTATACCTTGTGGAATGGCTCAGTGGAGCTAATTAACATATATATTACCTCACATACTTTTTAATTTTTCTGTGGTGAGAATACTTAATCTATTCTCTTAGCGATTTTAAAGAATATTGTTACTAACCGTAGTCATTATGTTGTACAGTAGATCTCTTGAAGGTATTCTTTTATAACTGAAATTTTATATCCTTTGAGCAATATCTCCCAAACCAACCCTCTGCCCCACAATAACCACCATTTTACTCTCTGCTTCTGTGGGTTTACAAATATAAATGAGATTGTGTGGTAGTATTCTTTTTGTGCCTGGTTTATTTCACTTACCCTAATGTTGCCTAGGTTCATCCATGTTATTGCAAATGACAGGATTTCCTTCTTTTTCAAGGCTGAATAATATTCTGTTGTATATGTATATATACCACATTTTCTTTATTTATCTGTTGATGGACACTTAAGTGGGTTCTTTATCTTGACTATTGTGAATAATGTTGCAGTGAACATGGAAGTGCAGCTATCTGTTTGACATAGTGATTTCATTTCCTATGTATATATATCTAGTAGTGGGATTGCTGGATTTTTAGTTTCTTGAGGAACTTCCGTACTGTTTTCCATAATGGCTCTACTGATTTACATTCCCACCAAGTATGCAAGGGTTTCCTTTTCTCTACACCCTCACCAACACTTATTATCTTTTGTCTTTTTGATAATAGCTATTCTAACAGATGTGAGATGATGTCACTATGGATTTAATTTGCATTTCCCTGATAATCAGTGACGTTGAACATTTTTCCATATACTTTTTGGCCATTTGTCCATCTTCTTTTGTGAAATGACTTTGCCCATTTAAAAATATTTGTTTTCTTGCTGTTGAGTTGTGTTCTTTATATATTTTGAATATTAACTGCTTATCAGATGTGTGGTTTGCAAATATTTTCTCATTTTTTAGGTTGTCTCTTCCCTGTGTTGATTGTTTCCTTGGCTGTGCACAAGCTTTTTAGTTTGATGTAATCCCATTTGTCAAATTTTTATTTTGTTGCCTGTTCATATCCAAAAAATTATTGCCCAGGCCAATGTAATGGAGCTTTTCCTGTATGTGTTCTTCTAATAGTTTTATAGTTTCAGGTCTTAAATTTAACCCTTTAATCCATTTTGAGTTGATGTTTGTATAAGATGTGAGATAAAGGTCTAATTGCATTCTTCTGCATGTGGATATCCAGTTTCTCAACACCATTTATTGAAGAGGCTGTCTTTTCCCTATTGCCTGTTCTTGGCAATTTTGTCAAAAATCAGTTGAGTGTAATGTGTGGCTCCATTTCTGGCGTCTCGGTTCTGTTCCATTGGTATATGTGCCATTTTTTAATGCCAGTACCATACTTTTTTTTCTTTTTATTACGATAGCTTTGTTGTCTATTTTGAAGTCAGGTAGTGTGAGGCCTCCAGCTTAGTTCTTTTTGCTCAAGATTGTTTTGGCTGTTTGGGGTCTTCTGGGCTTCCATATGAATTTTAGGATTTTTTCTAAATCTATGAAAAATACCATTGGGATTTTGTTAGGGACAGCATTGAATCTCTTTGGATAGTATGGATATTTCAATGATATTTATTCTTTGAATCCATGAACATGGGATAGCTCTTATGTGTACGAGTCTTTTACCTGTTTGGTTAAATATTTCTAAGTATTTTTTTTTTGTAAAAGCTATTATAAATAGAATTGTTGTCTTCATTTCTTTTTTTTGGATAGTTCATTGTTAGTGTACAAAAATGCTTGTGAGTTTTGTATGTTGATTTTGTACCCTGCAACTTTACTGAATTTGTATATAGTTCTGACAGTTTTTTGGTTGAATCTTAGGGTTTTCTAGATATAAGATTATGTCTGGAAAGAGGGATAGTCTAACTTCTTCCTTTCCAACTTGGAGCCTTTATTTCTTCTTTATGCCTAATTGATCTGTCTAGGACTTCCAGTTCATATTGAATAGAAGTGGTGAGAGAGGGCATCTTTATCTTATTCCTCATCTTAGCAGAAGAGCTTTCGACTTTTCACTGTTGAGTATAACGTTAGCTGTGAGTTTGTCATACATGGCCTTTATTGTGTGGTGGTACATTCCTTCTATACTTAATTTGTGGAGAGTTTGTATCATAAAAGGGCATAAAATTTTGTCAGATGCTTTTTCTACATCTGTTGAGATGATCATAAGGTTTTTGTCCTTCATTCTATTAATATGGTGTAACACATTTATTGATTTGTGTATGTTGAATCATCCATGTATCCCTGAGATAAATTCTACTTGTTCATGGTGAATGATTCTCTTAATGTGCTGTTGAATTCAGTTTGTTAGCATTTTGTTGAGGAATTTTTCAACTATATTCATCAGAGATATTGGTCCATAATTATCTTTTCTTGTAGTATCATCGTCTGGCTTTTGTATCAAGGTAATTCTGGTCTCATAAAATGAGTTTGGAAGTATTCCCTCTTCTTCAATTTTTTGGAAGCATTTGAGAAGGATTGGTATTAGTTCTTTAAATGTTTGGTAGAATTTAGCAGGGAAGCTGTCGGATCCTGGCCTTTTCTTTGAGGAGAGATCTTTTATTTCTGATTCAGTCTCCTTAGTCATTATTGGTCTGTTCAGATTTTTTATTTCTTCACGATTCAGTCTTGGTAGGTTGTGTGTGTCTAGGAATTTATCCACTTCTTCCAGGTTATTCGATTTTCTTGCATATAACTGCTCTTGGTAGTTTTCTTAGGATCTTTGTGTTTCTGCGGTACAAGTTGTAATGCCTCCTGTTTCATTTATAATTTTATTTATTTTAGTTTTTTCTCTTTTTTCTTAATCTAGCTAAAGATTTGTTGATTTTATCTTTTCAAAAAAACAGCTCTAAGGCTGGGCGCAGTGGCTTACGCCTGTAATCCCAGCACTTTGGGAGGCTGAGGTGGGCAGATCACGAGGTCAGGAGTTGGAGACCAGTCTGATCAATATGGTGAAACCCTGTCTCCACTAAAAATACAAAAATTAGCCAGGCGTGGTGGCATGCACCTGTAGTCCCAGCTACTTGGGAGGCTGAGGCAGAAGAATCGCTTGAACCCGGGAGGCGGAGGTTGCAGTGAGCCAAGATCATGCCACTGCACTCCAGCCTGGGTGACAGAGCGAGACTCCATCTCAAAACAAACAAACAAACAACTCTTAGTTGTATTAATATTTTCTATTGTTTTTCTAGTCACTATTTTATTATTTCTGCTCTGATCTTTATTATTTCTCTCCTTCTACTAACTTTGGGCCTAGTTTGTTCTTTTTTTCTAGTTCCTTCAGGCATAATGTTAGGTTATTTAAAATCTTTTTTTTCCCCTGTAAGCATTTATTGCTATAAACTTGCATCTTATTTTGCTGCTTCCCATAAGTTTTGGTATATTGTGGTTCCATTTTTATTTGTCTTACAATATTTTAAAATTTGCCTTTTAATTTCTCCATTGATCAATTGGTTATTTAGCAGCATGTTGTTAAATTACCATGTATTTGTGAAATTTCTGAATTTCTTCCTGTTACTGGTTTCTAGTTTTATACTATTGTGGTTGGAAAATATATTTGATATGATTTCAGTCTTCCTTAATTTGTTAAGATTTGTTTGTGGCCTAATATATGACCAATCCTGGAGAATTTTCTGTATGTGCTCAAGAAGAATGTATGTTTTGCTGCTGTTGGATGGAATGTTTTATATATGTCTGTTATGTCCAATTGGTTTGTAGTATTGTTCATGTCCAGTTTTTCCTTATTAATTTTCTCTCTGGATAATCGCTGAAGGTAGGTTATTGAAGTACCCTGCTATTATTGTATTTGTCTATCACTCCCTTGAGATCTATTAATTTTTGCTTTATATATTTAGGTGCTGCAATGTTTGTTGCACAGATATTTTTAACTATTATATGTTCATTAATTAATCCCTTTATCATGTTTTATGACCTTTTTTGTCTGTTTAACAGCTTTTGACTTAAAGTACATTTGATCTAAGTTATAGCTACCCCTCTTCTCTTTTGGTTTCCTTTTGCATGGAGTAGGTTTCCTCATCCCCTCATTTTCAGCCTGTGTCCTTAAAGGAGAAGTAAGTCTCTTGTAGGCAGCATTTAGTTGAGTATTTTTTTAAATCCATTCAGTCACTCTATGTCTTTTTTTTTTTATTTTTATTTTTTGAGACTGGATCTCACTCTGTCACCCAGGTGGGAGTGCAGTGGTGTAATCATGGCTGACTGCAGCCTCGACCTGCTGGGTTGGTGATCCTCCCACCTCATTCCTCTCACATAGTTGGGACTATAGGCATGCACCATCATGCCTGGCTAATTTTCTGTATTTTTTGCAGAGATGGGGTTTTGCCATGTTGCCCAGGCTGGTCTTGAATTCCTGGGCTCAAGAAATATGCCTGCTTTGGCCTCCCAAAGTGCTGGAATTACAGACATAAGCCACTGTACCTAGCCACTCTAATGCCTTTTGAATGGACAATGTAATTCATTTACATTCAAGGTAACTATTGATAGGTAAGGACTTACTATTGTGATTTTGTTAATGTTTTCTGGTAGTTTTGTTTGTTTCTTTCTTCCTGTCTTGTCTTCATTTCTGATTAGGTGATTTTTTTAATAGTATTTTGCTTTGATTCGTTTTTGATCTTTTGTGTACAATAGTTTCTTTTTGTCCATCGTTTTGCTTTCTGAACTTTCAGTTACTATGGTACATTACAATAAGATATTTTGAGAGAGAAAGAGGAAGAAAGAAAACATTTACATGTTTGAATTTTATTATGGTATAACTTGTTATAATACTATTTTATTATAGTATAACTTCTTATATTATAATATAATTATACTATAATAAATTATAGTATATTGTTATAATTGTTCCATTTTATTATTAGTTATTGTTAATCTCTTACTGTGCCTAATTTATAAATTAAACTTTATCATAGGTATGTATGTATAAGAGAAAACATTATATATATTATATGGTTTGGTACTATGTGTGGTTTCAGGCATCTACTGGGGATCTTGAACTGTATCCCTTGTGAATAAGGTGGGGGGTGGCTATTAAACCTACTATAGGTTTTTACTTTGTATTTAGAGTGAAGCTTATATAAAAACATAGTTATTTTAGGCTTTTTAAAACTGTAGTAACTTCGATCACATAAAACAACTCAACACCTTCACTCTACTCCCTCCACATGTTATGTTTATGATGTCACAATTTATATCTTTGTATATTGCATATTCTTTAAAAACTTTTATTGTTAAGGTTCCTTTATTATAGCCATTATTATTTTTAGTACTTTTAGTAATTTTGTCTTGTAAGCATTATACTAAAGATATAAATTATTCACATACTATCATTACAGTATTTTTCTGAATTCGACTCCCTTTTATCAGTGATTTTTATATCTTAGTGGGTTTTGGTGTTGCTAGTTAGCATCTTTTTCTTTCAGAACTCCCTTTAGCATTTCTTAAAAGACACGTCTGGTGATGATGAGTTCCTTAGCCTTTATTTGTCTGGGAAAGTCTGTCTATCTTTTATTTTGGAAAGGCAGCTTTGCTGGGTACGGTATCTATGATTGGGTATTTTTTTCTTTTAGCCCTTAGAATATGTCATCCTTCTGTCTCCTGGCCTATAAAGTTTCTGCTGAGAAGTCTTCTGCTAGCCTTATTATAACTCCCTTATATGTCATTTGCTACTTTTCTTTTGCTGGTTTTGGAAATCTCTCAATCTTTGATTTTTAACAGTTTGATGATAAAATGCCTTGTAGTCTTATTTGGATTGCAATTGATTAAAGATCTTTGACTTTCCTGTGCCTGGATATTTATATCTTTCTCTAGATTTGGAAAATATTCTGCTATTATTTTTTAAAATAAGCTTTCTTTCCTAGTCTTCCTCTTATTCTTTTTGAACTCTTATACCTAAAAAATTTGTCCTTTTGATGCTGTCTCATAAATCTTGTAAACTTTCTTCATTCCTTTACACTTTTCTCCTCTGGTTATATATTTCAAAATAACCAGTCTTTGATTTCATTGATTCTATCTTCTGCTTGATCAATTCTGCTGTTGAGGCTCTCTATTGCATTTTTCAGTTGATTCATTGTATTTTTTAAGCTCCAGAATTTATGTTTAATTTTAAAAGATAATTTCAATTTCTCATTATACTTATAATTTTGGTCATTTATTGGTTTCCAGATTTCATTTGTTTCTTTTTACCATTGACCCTGGAACAACATGGGGGTTAGGAGTGCCAATTTGCCATGCATTCACAAATCTGTATAACTTTTTTTTTTTTTTTTTGAGACAGGGTCTTGCTCTGTCAACCACTGCAGCCTTGACCTCCTGGGCTCAAGCGATCCTGCTACCTCAGCCTCCCAGGTAGCTGAGACCATAGCGCATGCCACCACCCCCGGCTAATTTTTTGTAGACATTGGGTTTCACCATGTTGCCCAGGCTAGGCTTGAATTCCTCAGTTCAAGTGATCCACCTGCCTTGGCCTCTCAAATTGCTGGGATTACAGACATAAGACACTGTGCCCAGCATATGCATAACTTTATTTCTGAAAAACATAAGTACTAATAGCCTTCTTTTGACCAGAAGCCTTATGGAACAGTAGATTAACACATATTTTGTTTTTTGCAAATGTGTAAGGTTTTTGCACCTGCTGTTGTAGCTGCACTGACAGTTTCACAGATTTCCTATTCTGTTTTCATAATGATCTTTATGCTGGATTTATCTATCTTGAAATGGTGGACATCTGCAGTTGCAGACCTCAACCTACAGTATGTATCAAGCAATTGAACTTTTTCTTATAATGTCATTACTTTTCTTGGCTTCTTGGGAGCACTTCCAGCATCACCAGTGACACTTCATATGAGTCCCATGATGTTAGTCAAGGTTTGCAGCATTGTGCTAAACATGGTGGAAAATATGTGAGAACCATAAGAGATCACTTTTTACTGCCATATGTAGTTTATTGGAGAGACAAATTGCTCATGCAGAGATGGTTAGCATCACATGGCATTTTAGGTTGGTGCTCCCAAGACTTGAACTTACTACTTAGCAATAGCAGGTGGCTACAGAATTAATATAGTAGTATGGTATGTACAACAGTTAATTTTACGCAGTTATGGTTTAATACTGCATTTTATATCTTTTTACATTTCTTTTGACTGTGAATTGGCGTGTCCAGTTTGTGTTTGTGTAGGTTTTGATATATATGTATATTTTTATGTGTGTGAAATTTCACATGAAATCCAAGAAAATGAGCTTTTTTTTTGAGACAGAGTCTCACTCTGTTGCCCAGGCAGGAGTGCAGTGGTGTGATCTTGACTCACTGCAACCTCTGCCGCCCGGGTTCAAGCGATTCTCATGCCTCAGCCTCCCGAGTGGCTGGGATTACAGGCACCTGCCACCATGCCTGGCTAATTTTTATAGTTTTGGTAGAGAGGGGCTTTCACCATCTTGGTCAGGCTTGAACTCCTGACCTCATGATCCACTCGCCTCAGCCTCCCAAAGTGCTGGGATTATAGGTGTGAGCCACTACACCTGGCCTATTTTTTTTCTCTTAAACATTACTCAGACCAGATCTGGTCTATTTTTTTAGTTTTAAAATTTTATTTTAGATTCGGGAGCTACACGTGCTTCTTTGTTACATGGGCATGTTACATACTGGTAGGGACTGGGCTTCTAGAATACCCAGTACCCAAATAGTGAACATTGTAACCAATAAGTAATTTTTCAGCCCTTGCTTCCCTCCTACCTTCCCTGCTTTTGGAGTTGCTGGTGTCTATTATTTACATCTTTATGACCATGTGTACCCATTGTTTAGCTTCCACTTATAAGTGAGAACATGCAGCATTTGGTTTTCTGAGTTAGTTCACTTAGGATAATGGCCTCAGCTCTATACATGTTGTTGTGAAGGACATTTCATTCTTTGTTATGGCTGCAAAGTGTTGAAAAATATTAACTCATAAAGATTTGCATATATTTTATTGCAGTAAATAACATAGACTACTATCTACATATATTTTGTGAATTCATGCCATACTTAACATTTTCTT
The DNA here is from genome assembly GCF_000001405.40 of Homo sapiens. Classification (NCBI taxonomy): domain Eukaryota; kingdom Metazoa; phylum Chordata; class Mammalia; order Primates; family Hominidae; genus Homo; species Homo sapiens. Next base: position 99,204,797 of record NC_000010.11, on the reverse strand, counting down.
TTTTTAAATATTTCTGTGCTATGCAGTTTATCTGCAACTTTTTTTCAAATTTTTCCAAATCTCCAAAAAATGTTTCCATATATTTATTCAAAAAATCTGCATATAGTTGAACCCATGGAGTTTATTTACATGGTGCTGGTCACAGGTCTACTGTATTTTCTTGAGGTTTGTTGAGCTTCCTCAAAATAATTACTTTAAATTATTTATCAGGCGGTTTATACATCTCCATTTCTTTGGAGTCAGCTATTGGGAGATTATTGTGTTCTTTCAGTGGTGTTAATATTTCCTAGGTTTTTTTCATGTTTCCTGTTACCTTACATTGATGTCTGTGCATTTTGTGAAGTAGGAACTTATTTGAATTTTTGCAGACTGGTTTTGTCTAGGAAAGCCCTTAAGCAGTGAGACAGTCCAGAGATTCAGGGAAGGTTATCTGGCATGGTCCATGGGATGGACTGCTGCTGGAGTCATCAGGCAGGCTGGCCTAGTTCCTGAGTCAGCAGGTGTGTGGGCCTGGGACCTGGTTACATGGGGTTGGACCTGGAGCCTGGATCTACTGGGGTGGGTCTGTTGTTTGGGTTTGTGGGATTGGGCCTCGAGCCTAGGTTTTTGAAGGCATGCCTGGGGCCTGTATGAATGGTCATCAGCCTGAAGTCTGGGTCCAATGTAGGGGACCTGGCACTGGTGTGGGCCTTGACCTGGATTGTACAGGGGCTGACAATGTGCTGGGATGTACCTGGCTCCTGGATCCAATGGGACAGGCCTGGAGTCTGTGTCTATAAGATCCACTGAGACAGGCTTGGAGTCTGTGTCTATAAGTGCTGGCCTATAGCCTGGGTTTCTAGGGGTGGTCCTGGAACCTTGGCCTGTGGGGTCATATCTGTCACCAGGGTCTGCTGGAGTGGGCCTGGACCCTTGGGCCTGGTGGAGCGGTCCTGGCTTCTGGGTTTGTGGCAACTGGCCTGGAGCCTGAGATTATGGGTGCTAACCTGGTCCTGGAGCTATGGGTGCTGGCCTTGGAGCCTGGGGCCATGAGAACTTCCCTGGAGACTGGGTCCACTAGGGCCAGCCTGGCGGTTGGTTCAGCGTGTGGGTGCTGGCCTGGATGGTAGGTTTTCGAGGGCTGGTTTCAGTCTTGGGTCTGGAACCTGGGCCCACAGGGAGCTCCTGAAGCCTGTGTCTGTGGGGGCCAGTCTAGTGCAGGAGTCTGTTGGGATGGGCCTGGATCCTGGGTCTGATTGAGCAGTACTGAATTCTGGGTCTGCTGAAGTATGGGGCTGCAGGGATTGGCCTGGCACTGGGCGGGCCTGGAGCCTGTGTCCATAGCTGTTGGCCTGGTACATGAGGCCAGGGTTGCTGACCTGGCTTGGATGGTCTGAAACCTGGAGTAGGATTGGAATCTGAGACCACAGGGACTGGCCAGGTGTTTGGTGGGCTTGGAGCCTGTAGTTGTAGGAGCCTGCGTACAGACTGGGTTTGAGGGTGCTGGCTCGTGACTAGGGCTGCAGGGAGCCATCTTGGAGCTGGGGATTGTCTAGGATCTCATGTCACTGGGGCTATCCTGGCCCTGGGGGCTGGCCTGTAGTCTGAGTCTCTGGGGGCTGGCCTGTTGCTGGGGTTGGGCCAGGCTAGTGCTGAGGCTGGTCTGAAGCCTGGGACTGCTGGGGTCATCCTCGTGGTGGGATGGGCCTGGAGACTGAATCTGCTAGGCAGGCCAAAAGCTGATGCTGCAGGATCTGGCTTGGCATGAGGGAAGGTTTGGAGGCTCGTTCTGGGGCCATGGGGGCCTGTCCAGCACTGGACTTTACTGAGGAGGGCCCAGTTTCAGGGTCCAAGGCAAAGTCGGATTGCTCACTTCCTTCTCTTTCCTTCTCTCTCCATGATGTGCTGCCTAGAGTCGGAGGAGGGGTGACATGGGTAAAATTGTCCCTCTTATTCTCTTCAGTATGTCTTTTCTTATTTTTTGTGCTATGCCTAGGTGCTATAATCTCTCACCTAGTTTTCTTAGCTATTGTGAAGGTTCGTTTGTGTGTGGTTAGTTGTTCAAATGGATGTGTCTATAGGGGTGATGAGTGCTGGAAAGTCTTATTCTACCATCTTGCTGACATCTGGCTGGGACTCTGCTTTATATTTTATCTCATTTAATCCTCACAACTACCCTACTAAGCAGGTTTCCAAATACCACCATTTAATTCATTTTTAAATTGATACATAATAGATATACATATTTTGGGGGTACATGTGATAAAATACTGCCATTTTAAAGATGAGGAAACTGAAGTTCAGCAGGGGTTAAATAACTTGTCCCAGCTTTACAACTAGGATTTGGGAATTAGTGCTAATGATTCTAAAATCTGTCGTCTTCAACAATACATGGTTACTCTTGCTCCATTTAAAAGTATCATCATTTTTAGTTTAGCGATGAATATATATGGTTGATCAGAAATACTTGCATCCTTATATTGAATTTCTGAATACCCTTATAACATTTAAAAGCCAAATAGGGGCTAACGATCCTCTTAGTATCAAATAATGATGCCTGAGGATTTGCTCTGCATTTCATCATCTCTGTTCCTGGTATCTCTGCTCTTGAGTATATCATGGTGTTTTAAAAATCACTATATATAACTGATATCTCTATCTCTATATCTGTCTATATCTATATTATCTATATCTATATCTCTATCTATCTATATATCAGATGTGAGGAAGGTAAAGATTGTATTCTGGCCTGGCAGTGGATTTACTTTGTTACTTCCAGCACCTGGCTTGCTCTTCCAGTGATCTCGTTTTATTTACTAGAATAGGAGATGGCTGTGGTTAGAGTATGGAAGTGAGCATCGTGAGACCCTGGTGATATTGTGGTGGGCTAATGAGTTACCACCATGGAGTATGGCGTCGTGTTCATCTTCTGGCCATTTTGGTTTCTTGGGAGTTGGAAGGGCTCTGGAAAAAACTAGGAGTCTAGGCTGAGAAATAAGGTTTTCTTGGAAATGAAGGAATATAGAATGAGTTTTTGTTTTATGCATATTAACCTTTGATCCCTTTTCTGAGGTTTTTAGTCATAATCAGGAGTATTTGGAAAGGCAGGGATACTCTTGTTTGTGTTTCACAAAGTGCCTAATGTTTGGAAATGGATAAGTTACAGATAATAATAATGTGTCATTGGGCAAATTCCATTTCCAATATACTAATGTAGTTTAGGAACTAGTTGTAAAAGACTTTCCTTGAAAAATGAAGTTGTAGGGGTTGAGATCAGATTGTGGAAGACAATCTGAGACAGCTTTAGAATTAAGATAAGGGGATTTGATTTTTCTTTAAACAATAGGGAGTCAAGGAAGGATTGTGACTAAGAAAATTATGTGTGATATTTTAGGAAGATTTATCTCATGGCTCCTCACAGGACAGAATAGAATAGTGGTGAGGTTGCCTAGGTTAGAAGGACCAAAAAGGCTAGTGAAGATATTCAAGAGTGAGATGAGCATGATTACATTAGTCAAGCAGCAGTGGAAAAGAAAGGGATAGTTAGGGACTCATTACAAAGGAAAAATTGACAGGATATGGTAATTGATTTGATCTGGATAATATCCTTTGCAATTATTTGTATTTGAGTTGCAGTATGAAAGGGAGACATTTGTATTTTTTTGGAAAATGTACTGGGATCAAATAATGCTTATAAACTGAGGAGTTAATAACATGGGCATGACTCAAACTTAATTTTCAAAAATTCAGTGCAGATTAGATTTTTGGCTCTGTCAAATCAGCTGAAAACAATTCACTTTTCTGCTTTTACCTATTTATTCTTTTTGCCTGAGTCCTCTCCTAAAAGCCAAAATGCAGGCAGACAATTTGATAGTTGAGGATGGGTTAAAAAATGGTTTCCAAGTATTGGTACATGGGTAGGAAGTACTTTTGTATGTGAGATACCTTCTTATACAGCTAAATATGACATACCAGTGTGACAGATACATATGAATCTAGTTAATATAGAGGGGAAAATCTTTCTGTAGCTAATAATGTGCTGCTAAACCTAACCTGTTTTCTTACAATTATATGTTCTTGCTTAGAAACAAGGACTGGGTGAGTGAATGGCCCTGTTACTTGTCATCATCATCATTGTCATCATTTTATTATTGATGATACTTATTAAAACATTTAATATGAACCAGGCATTGTATTCATATTATACCTACCATTTTATTTAATTATCATATAACCATCTTATGAGGTAGGTACCATTTTTATTATTGCACAAATGAGGAAGTTTAAGCTGAAAATGTTAAATAACTTGTTGAAGGTTGTACTGCTAATAAATGTCAGAGCTAGGACAGGAACTCAGATCACTTGACCCCAAATCTCTACAATATCTGCTAAAACACTTCCAGGTACCTCTTCAGCATCAGTTTTAGAGCTATAAAAACTTGCATCCTAATATTATTGTACTTCCTAACGAGAAATCTGGTTATAGGGACAAAGAGTTACTTATAAAATGTTTGATGTCATGTTTCCAGGTGCCTATCGCTTTGCTACATGCAGAACACATTTCAGTCAGGCAGTTACTAATAGTAATGGGTCACTAGCTGCCCAGGTGATTTTTTTAATTGTGGTAAAAAAAACACATAATATAAAATTTACCATTTTGAACTAATAAATGAATTCAGTAAAGTTGTAGATACAAAATTACCATACAAAAATCAGTTGCATTTCTTTACACTAACATTGAGCTATCTGAGAAGGAAATAAAACAATTCCATTTACAATAGCATCAAAGAGGGTAAAATATTTAGGAATAAACTTAAGGAGGTGAAAGACTACTATGCTGAAAACTACAAAACATTGATGAAGGAGTTGAAGAAGACACACATAAATGGAAAGACATTCCATGTTCATGGGTTAGAAGAATTAATATTTTTAAAGTGTCTATACTACCGAAAGAAATCTACAGATTCAATGCAATCCCTATCAGAATCTCAATGTCTGTTGTTTTTCTTAACAGAAACAGAGAAAACAATTCAAAAAATCCATTTGGAATCACAAAAGACTTTGAAATGCCAATGCATTCTTGAGAAAGAACAAAGCTGGAGGCGTTACGTGTCCTTGTTTCAAAATATATTACAGAGCTACATTAATTAAAATAGTTTTGTAAGGGCATAAAGACAGACATATAGACCAAAGGAACATAATTGAGAGCCCAGAAATAAGACCATGCATATATGGTCAAATAATCCTTGACAAGGGTGCCATAAATATACAATTGGAAAATGACAGTCCCTTCAACAAGTGATGTTGGGAAAACGGGATATCCACATGCAAAAGAATAAAATCGGACCCTTATTTTATACCATACCCAAAAATCAAGCCAAAATGGACTAAAGACTCAGTATCACTAATCATCAGGGAAATGCAAATTAAACCACAGTGAGATATCACTTCATACCTGTTAGGATAGCTATTATTTAAAAAATGATAGCTGTTGGTGAGGATGTGGAGAAACTGGAACCCTTTTATACTATCAATGGAAATGTAAAATGGTGCAGCCACTATGTAAAACAGTATGGAAGTTCCTTAAAAAATTAAGATACTTTATGATCCAGAAATCCTCTCATTCCAAGAGAATTGAAATTAAAATCTCAAAGAGGTATTTGCACTCCCATGTTCCTTGCAACAATATTCACAATAGTCAAGATGTGGAAACAACCTAAATGTCCATTGATGGATTAATGACTAAAAAATGTGGTATAAAAAGACAATGGAATATTATTCAGCGTTAAAAAGAAAGCAGTTTTGTCATATGTGACAACATGGATTAACCTGGAGCACATTATGCTAAGTGAAATAAACTAATCACAGAAGGACAAATATTGCATGATCTCGCTTATATGAAGTATTTGAGATAGTCAAACTAATAGAAACAAAGAGTAGAATGGTGGTTTCCAGGTACTGGGAGAAGAGGAAAATGGGAAATTATTATCCAGTGGGTATAAAGTTTCACATATGCACGATGATTAATTAATTCATTAAGATCAGCTGTAGAATTTTGTGACCTTAGTTAACAACAGTTATTTGTAAAAACTGAGGGTAGAGCTCATGTTGTGTTATTACCACAATAATATAAAAAATTTCCATCATAGCCTTCATATTATAAAACCCTAAAGTTTATTATATGTACATATTAAGGTTTTAAAGTGTTGTACTATGAGTCTTACCTATAGTTAGGTCATGAGTAGTGATTTGCCATTTCAATAAAATCATGCCATCTGTTATTATTTATGGTATCATAACTCAGTTGTAAGCTCTATAAAAGTGGAGTCCATGTCTTTTATTTCTCCCATACCTTGTGCAATAAAAACGTTGGAGAATCATACAGTAGTTACTGCTTTTGATTTATGCAAAGATGTATTGATTATGAGGAGAGTAAGCTCCTTCAAACTAAATGCTGGAAACTGTTATTTTTGAACATTAACTGTGTACCAGACACTGTCCTAAATATTTAATATAGTTTGTTTCATTTAAACATTTATTAAACCTTGAGAAAAAATTATTATTACTCACATTTTAAAGATGAGGTATCTGAGATTCAGAAACGTGTGAGTTGTGTGAAATGACATAATTAGTAAGATTTGAAACTGGGCCTTTGCTGTTTTTGATTGTTTTTTATTCCTCAAGAAATGTATCTTATTAGCTGGTAATAAATTACTGTGGCCTTGGAAAAAATTCACTTTTTTTTTTTTTTGAGACGGAGTCTTGCTCTGTTGCCCAAGCTGGAGTGTGGCACGATCTTGGCTCACTGCAACCTGTGCTTCCTGGGTTCAAGCAATTCTCTTGCCTCAGCCTCCCGAGTTGCTGGGATTACAGGTGTGCGCCACCACACCTGGCTAATTTTTGTATTTTTAGTAGAGCTGGGGTTTCACCATGTTGGCCATGGTTGGCCAGGCTGGTCTCAAACTCCTGATCTCAGGTGATCCACCTGCTTTGGCCTCCCAAAGTGATGGGATTACCGGTGTGAGCCACTGCGCCTGGCCCATTGTAACCATTTTTAAGTTTACAGTTTAGTAGTGTTATGCTCGGGTGTTACTGAGTCTATGAAAATGATATATTCTCTCTGTCTTGTTTATCTTCATCAGACTCATGTTTTATATTAGTATTTCTATATTACATTTACATGATATTTTACTATTTGCTAAGTGCTTCGCATGTATGTGTCATTTAATCTTCAAAAAACTCTGTCAGGTGGATACTCATTCTTTTCTTAGCAGTATTATTTATTTTGTTTTCTTATTTTTATTTTTAATTTTTGTGTACATAGTTGGTATATATATTATGGGATACATGAGATATTTTGATACAAGCATGCAATGTGAAATAAGCACATAATGGAGAATGGGGTATCCATCCCCTCAAGCATTTATCCTTTGAGTTACAAACAATCCACATACACTCTTGTTATTTTAAAATGTACATTTTATTATTTACTGTAATCACTCTGTTGTGCTAGCCAACAGTAGGTCTTGTTCATTCTTTCTATTTTTTTGTACCCATTAACCATCTTCACCTCCCTGCCAACCCCCCATGACCCTTCCCAGCCTCTGGTAACAATCCTTTTACTATGTCCATGAGTTTAATTGTTTTGACTTTTTAGATCCCACAAATAAGTGAGAACATGCAATGTTTGTCTATCTGTGCCTGGCTTATTTCACTTAACATAATGATTTCTATTTCCATCCATGGTGTTGCAAAGGACTGAATCTCATTCCTTTTTATGGCTGAATAGTACTCCATTGTGTATATATACCACATTTTCTTTATTCACTCATCTGTTGATGGATACTTAGGTTGATTCCAAATCTTAGCTGTTGTAAACAGTGCTGCAACAAACACAAGAGTGCAGATACCTCTTTGATATACTGATTTGCTTTTTTGGGAGGTATATACCCAGTAGTAGGATTGCTGGATAATATGGTAGCTCAATTTTCAGCTTTTTTGAGGAACCTCTAAACTCTTCTCCATAGTGGTCATACTAATCTACATTTGCACCAGCACCAGCAATGTACAAGGATTTCCTTTTCTGCACATCCTTGCCAGCATTTGTTATTGCCTGTCTTTTGGATGTAAGCCATTTTAACTGGGGTGAGATAATATCTCCTTGCAGTTTTGATTTGCATGTTTCTGATGATCAGTGATGTTGAGCACCTTTTCATATGCCTGTTTGCTATTTGTATGTCTTATTTTGAGAAATGTCTGTTGAAATCTTTTGCCCATTTTTTTGATCAGATTATTAAATTTTTTTTCCTATAGAGTTTGTTTGGGCTCCTTATGTATTCTGGTTATTAATCCCTTGTCAGATGCGTAGTTTGTAAATGTTTTCTACCATTCTGTGGGTTGTCTCTTCACTTTGTTGGTTGAATCCTTTGCTGTGCAGAAGCTTTTTAACTTGATGTGATCCAGGGTATTCATTTTCACTTTGGTTACCTGTGTTTGTGGGGTATTACTCAACAATTTTTTGCCCAGACCAATGTCCTAGAGATTTTCTGCAATGTTTCCTTTTAGTAGTTTCATAGTTTGAAGTCTTAGATTTAAGTTTTTAATCCATTTTGATTTGATTTTTGCATACAGTAAGAGATACGGGCCTAGTTTTATTCTTCTGCATATGGATATGCAGTTTTCCCAGCACCATTTATTGAAGAGACTGTCCTTTCCCCAGTGTGTGTTCTTTGTACCTTTGTTGAAAATGAGTTCACTGTAGAGGTATGTTTTTATTTCTGGGTTCTCTATTCTGTCCGTTGATCTATGTGTCTGTTTTTATGCCACTACCATGCTGTTTTGGTTACTATACCTCTGCAGTATAATATGAAGTCAGGTAATGTGATTCCTCCAGTTTTGCTAGGTTTGCTAAGGATAGTTTTGGCTATTCTTGGTCTTTTGTGGTTCCATATAAATTTTAGGATTTTTTTTTTATTTTGGTGAAGAATGTCATTGATATTTTGATAGGGATTGCATTGAATCTGTAGATTGCTATGGGTAGAATGGACATTTTAACAATATTGATTCTTCCAATGCATGAACATGGAATATCTCCATTTTTATGGTGTCCTCTTCAATTCCTTTCATCAATGTTTTATAGTTTTCACTGTAGAGATTGTTTACTTCTTTTGCTAAGCTTATTTCTGGGTGTTTTATTTTATTTCTTGCTACTGTAAGTGGGATTACTTTCTTGATTTCTTTTTCAGATTGTTTGTGTTGGCATATAGAAATGCTATTGATTTTTGTATGTTGATTTCATATCCTGCAACTTTACTCAACTTATCAGTTCTAATAGTTTTTTTTTAATGGAGTCTTTGTTTTTTTCCAAATATAAGATTATATCATGTACAAACAAGGATAATTTGATTTTTTTTTCCAAATTTTGAGGCCCTTTGTTTTTTTCTCGTCTTATTGCTATATCTAGAACTTCCAGTACTATGCTGCGTAGCAGTGGTGTAATTGGGTGCACTTGTCTTGTTCTAGATCTTAGAGGAAAGGCCCATTCAGTATGATACTAGCAGTGGCTCTATTGTATATGGCTTTTATTGTGTTAAGGCATATTCCTTATATACCTAGTTATTTGAGGGTTTTTATCATGAAGGGATGTTGAATTTATCAAATGCTTTTTTAGCATCAGTTGAAATGATCTTTTTTTGTCCTTCTTTTTGTTGACATGATGTATCATACTGATTGATTTGCCTATGTCGAGCCATCCTTGCATCACTGACATAAATCCCACTTGGTCCGAGTGAGTGATCTTTTTAATATGTTGTTTATTTGGCTTGGTTGAATTTTATTGATTCTTGTAACAATGTTCATAAGGGATTTTGGCCTGTAGTTTTCTTTTTTTAATATGTCTGGTTTTGGTATCAAGATAATCCTGGCCTTGTAGAATGAATTTGGAAGTTCTTCCTTCTTCTCTAATTTTTCAGAATAGTTTGAGTAGGTTTGGTAATAGTTCTTCTTTAAATGTTTAATAAAATTCAGCAGTGAAGCCATTGGATCTGGGCTTTTCTTTGCTGGAAGACTTTTTATTAGCATTTGATCTCATTACTTATTATTGGTCTGTTCAGGTTTTGGATTTTTTTCATGGTTCAATCTTGGTGAGTTGTATGTGTTTGTTTCTTTTAGGTTTTCCAGTTTATTGGCATGTAGTTTCTCAGGTAGCCTCTAATTATCTTTTGAATTTCTGCAATATCAGTTGTAATGTCTTCTTTTTCATCTCTGATTGTATTTATTTGGGTTTTTTTTTTAATCTGGCTAAAGATTTGATTTTGTTTGTCTTTTCAGAAAATGAACTCTTTGTTTTATCAATCCTTTGTATTTTTTGTTTCAGTTTCATTGATATCTGCTCTGGTCTTTATTATTTCTTTTTTCTATTGATTTTGGGTTTGGTTTGCTTTTGCTTTTACAGTTCATTAAGATGCATCATTATATTGTTTATCTGAAGTTTTTCTACTTTTTTTGATGTAGGTATTTATTGCTACAGACTTTCTTCTTAGTACTGTTTTTGCTGTGTCCTATAGGTTTTGGTATGTTGTGCTTCCATTTTCATTTATTTAAAGAAATTTTTAAATTTTCTTCTTAGTTTCTTCATTGTGCTGCCAATAAGTTAGGAACATATTGTTTAATTTCCATGTGTTCTATGTTTCAAAATTTCTCTTATTATTAATTTCTAGTTTTATTCTGTTACATTCAGAGAAAATACTTGATATGATTTTAATTTTTTGAACTTTTAAGAGTTGTTTTGTGGCCTTACGTGGTCTGTTTTTGGGAATGACCTATGTACCGAGGATAAGAATATGTATTCTCCAGCTCTTGGATGAAATATTCATTAGATCCATTGGGTCTCTAGTGCAGATTAAATCCAGTATTTCTTTGTTGATTTTCTATCTGGATGATCTGTCCAATGCTGAAAGTGGGGTGTTGAAGTCTCCAGCTACTATTGTATTGGAGTCTATCTCTCTCATTAGCTCTAATAATATTTGCTTTTTATAATATATCAGGTGCTCCAGTGTTAGGTGCCTATATATTTATAATTTTTGTATTCTCTTGCTGAATTGACCCCTTTATTCTTATATGATGACCTTTTTGGTTTCTCTTTGTAGTTTTTATCTTGAAATCTATTCCATGTGATATAAACATAGCTACTCTTGCTCTTCGTTGGTTTCCATTGGCACTGAATACCTTTTACTATCCCTTTATTTTCAGTTTGTGTGTGTCTTTATAGGTGAAGTGTGTTTTTTGTAGGCAGCCGATCACTGGGTCTTGTTTTTTTTTTTCTATCCATTCAGCCACTGTATGTCTTTTGATTGGAAAGTTTAGACTTTTAAATTCAATGTTATTATTGATAACTAAGGACTTACTTCTGCCATTTTGTTATGTGTTTTCTACTTGTCTTGTAGTCTTCTCTTCCTTCTTTCCTTCTTCCTGTCTTCCTTTTAGTGAAGGTGATTTTCTTTGGTAGTATGTTATAGTTTCTCACTTTTTATTTTTTGGTACTTGTATGCTTTTTGATTTGAGGTTACCATGAGACAAATAATACCGTATAACTCATTATTTTAAACTGATGACAGTTTAACACTGATTGTACAAGAAAAGAGAAAACTAATAAAAACTCTACTCTTTCCCCTCTGCTTTTAAACATTTTATTGTTTCTATTCATATCCTATTGTACTGTCTATGTCTTGAAAAGTTGTTGTAGTTATTATTTTTGATAGGTTCATCTTTTAGTCTTTCTATTCAAGATATGAGTAGTTTATATATTACAATTATAGTGGTATAATATTTTGTATTTTTCTGCACACTTACTATTACCAGTGAGTTTTCTACTTTCAGATGTTTTCTTATTGCTCATTAACATCCTTTTTTTTATATATGAAAAACTCCCTTTAGGATTTCTTGTAGGACAGGTCTGGTATTGATGAAAATCCTCAGCATTTGTTTGTCTGAGAAAGTTTTTATTTCTCCTTCATGTCTGAAGGATATTTTTGCTGAATATACTATTCTAGGATAAAGTTTTTTCTTTAGCACTTTAAATATGTAATGCTGCCCAGGCACAGTAGCTCATGCCTACAGTCCCAGCACTTTGGGAAGCTGAGGATCGCTTGAGCCCAGGAGTTTGAGAACAGCTTTGGGAAATGGTGAAACACCATCTATACAAAATAAAAAAAAAATTAGCCAGATATGGTGGCAGATGCCTGTAGTCCCAGCTATTTGGGAGGCTGAGGTGGGAGGATCACAGTAGCCTGGGAGGTTAAGTCTGTGGTGTGCTGTGATTGTGCGACTGCACTCCAGCATAGGTGACACAGTGAGACTCTGTCTAAAAAAAAAGTCATGCTACTCTTTCCTGGCCCATACGATTTCCACTGAGAAGTCCATTGCCAGATGTATTGGAGCTCCTTTGTTACCGGTTTCTTTTCTCTTGCTGCTTTTAGGATCCTTTCTCTAACCTTGACCTTTTGGAGTTTGATTATTTAATGTCTTGAGAGATAGTCTTCTTTGTATTAGATGTGTTTGGTGTTCTATAACCTTCTTGTACTTGAATATTGATTTCTTTTCTAGGTTTGGGATGTTTTCTGATATTATCCCTTTGGATAAACTTTCTACTTCATTCTTTCTACCTCTTCTTTAAGGACAATAGCTCTTAGATTTGTCATTTTGAGGCTATATTCTTGGTCTTATAGGTATGTTTCATTTTAAAAAATTCTTTTTTCTTTTGTCTCCTCTATGTATGTTCAAATACCCCATCTTCAAGCTTACTAATTATTTCTTCTGATTAATTCTATAATTAAAGGATATTGATGCATTTTTCATCTCCAGATTTTCTGCTACTTTTTAATTATTTCAGTTTCTTTGTTAAATTTATCTAATAGGATTCTGAATTCCTTCTTTATGTCATCTTGAATTTCTTGGAGTTTCCTTAGAACAGCTATTTTGAATTTCTGTCTGAAAGGTCACATTTCTCTGCCTCTCCAGGATTGGTCCCTGGTGGCCTATTTAGTTCTTTTGGTGAGGTCATATTTTCCTGGATGTTGTTGATGGTTGTGGATGTTCGTTGGTGTCTGGGCGTTGATGAGTTAGATATTTATTGTAGTCTTCACAGTCTTTTTGTACCCATTCTTCTTGGGAACGCTTTCCACGTATTCAAAGGGATTTGGGTGTTGTGATGTAAGTCTTTGGTCACTGCAGCTATATCTGCATGAGGGGGCACCCCAAGCCAAGTAACAGTGTGGCTCATGCAGTGTCATAGAGGTACTGCCTTGGGAGTCTTGGGTAAGATCCAGGAGAATTCACTGGATTAGGCAGAGACTCTTGTTTCCTTCCCTTACTTTGCCTGCAAACAAATGGAAACAGTCTGTGTCTCTCTGTGCTGAGCTGCCTTGAGATAGGGGAGAGGTGACTTAAGCACCACTATGTTCACCACCCCTGGGACTGCACTGAGTCAGACCTGAAACCAGCATAGCATTGGGTCTCGGTGACAGTTCATGGTCATAAGTGCCTGGCTGCCACCTAAGGGGTCTACAGTCAGCAGTGGTGAAGCCAGCCAGGCTTGTTTCCTTGCATTCAGGGTGGCGAACTACCCCCCAGCCCCAGGTAGGTCCAGAGGTGTTGTCTGGGAGCCAGGGCCTGGAGTTGGGAACCTTAGGAATTTACTTGGTACTCTATTCCACTGCTGCTGAGCTGGCACCCAAACCTCAAGACAAAGTCCTTCCCCTTCTTCTTTCCCCTTTCTTCAAGCAGAGGAGTCTCTCCCTGTGGCCACGACCACCCTAGGCCTGCTGTGAGTACTGCCTGGCTACTGCCAATATTCACTCAAGGCCCAAGAACTCTTCAGTCAGCTTGTGTTGAATGCTGCCAGTCCTGAGTCTCTCCCTTCAGGGCTATGGGCTCCCCTCTGGCCCAGGGCAGGTCCAGACACGCCATCTAGGAGCCAAGGCCTAGAGCTGGGGACTCCCAGGAGCCTGCCTGGTGCTCTGTTCCACTGTGGCTGAGCTGGTACCCAAGCTGATTTTTTTATTTTTATAAAGGTGCTTTTTTTTGTATGGATAGTTGTTCAATTTGGTGTTCCTGCATGGGGATGGGTGGCGGAAGGGCGAACACAATTGCTGGAGGCTTCTATTTGGCCATCTTGCTCTGCCTCCTCCTCTCCATTTTCCATAGAACATGCTTTGAGAAAGTCTGGGCCTGAGAATATTTTGGGAAGTCAAAGTGGTATAGCAGTTAAGGATGCTGGATTTAGAGTCAGACAGACATATATATGAACTCTAACTGTGTGGACGAGTCAGTTAATGTTGCTAGGCCTTAGTTTTTTGTTGTTGTTGTTTTTTAATCTGTAAAACAGAAATAATAAATAGCTAATACTTATTGAGTACTTCAATCTTTACAGAAATTCTATGTAACAGATTCTTTCATTATTTCTGTATTATAGATAGATACGGAAACTAAGGAACAAAGAGATTATGTAACTTCTGCAAGGTCCCTCAGCTTATAAGAGATGAAGTAAAGACATCTAACCCAAGTAGTCTGACTCTAGAATTTGAACTATTAGTTAAAACTCTGTATTACCACTTTGTGTTGTTGTGAAATGACATCATATTATATATGTAAAGTATTAGCACAATGCCCAATGCATAGTAGGTAGTTAACAAATGGTAGTTACTCTGTTCATTTAGATAAGTCACTACATGGTTGCCCCATAAAGTGATTTGTGACAGAAAGGACTCAGTACTGAAAGATGTTAGAAAAAGCCCATAGAGAGAAAGACAGTGGAGATTCATTAACAGAGGTATCCACCTAGGCTAGTTCGCAGAGGGTTGGAGGCCCTGTCTCTGCTTCCAAAGCTGGCCAAAGCAGCCCTTGGGCCCTCTCTGACTAAAGAACAGCAACAACTTGGTATCAGACAGTGTGGTCAATTCATTCCAAGGAAGGGAAGACATTTTAGAAATTTTCAAGGGTTTACTTCTGTCTCAAAATGGACGCATAAGAGATGCACTGTTCCCTTTAGACCCACAGTCAGAGCCCATTCAGAAGATTATATTCTACATGAATAAAACCAAGCAAACAGGCAAACAAAACAACAGAAAAATCCTTGCTTGGTATGGCATTGGTTATCTGTACCCTGCAGCCAAATGCATTCTTTCGGGACACCAACTTTGGAACTTCCTAATTTAGGGTTAAGCTACAGTTTTCATGTGGTTCTGGTGTTATTTTGTGCATGGCTCCCATATACACAAACTTTGCAGTAGAGAGCACTTTATTAGAATTTCAACACAATGACAGAACCGCTTAAGTAAGTTCATGCTTTTTATTGAGGCCCTCTCCTCTCCTCCCAAGGTCAGGGTCTTTTTCTCCTTAATTGTCTACTCTGACATGTGGAAAAGGAGAGAAAGTTAGGTGTTTCTGTCTTTTGGGGAAATGTGGTATCTTCCATTTAAACTTACTCTCATATTGTTTTGCTTTCTTGGCCTGTTTATATAAATACAAGAAGCCAGAAGCCGGTAAAAATAAAAATCATGAAGTTATCCATGAGACATGCAGAAGCAGCCTCCTTGTATGATAAACAAGCTCAGCTGCAGGAAGATCTGTGGTCTGATATTCATTACTGAAAAACTTGCATTGGATGGACAGTTTGTCTGGATGAGTTAATTAATTTTAAGAGTTCTCTGTCTTCTTAGAAATATACCATTCCAGATTGGCTGAAAGCATGTTTATTTTCAACATTCATCAGTAATTCTGGGTCAGCCACTCCACAGTTTGGTTTGCCTTGGTGCCAGCTGCATGTGGCAGAAAAGTTAATTAGATGTCTCTTGTGTTAAAAGAGGAAAAAGTCATGTGGAGGAACAGGACTCTTGCAGAGAAGGGAGTGTAGAATTTCCAATTTTCCTCAGGACTGAGAAGTCATGAGCACACAGACTAGTCCATGAGGAGCTCAGGGAGTTTTTCCAAGGATAGCTTCTCATCTCTGCAAATGAATTTACATTTCGATGTTATAAAAATATTTAAACAAATTATTTCACTTGTCCAAAAGCTCTTTTTCTGTCTCACATTTATCCTGCCTTCCAAGTCCTATTTGAGTCCTACTTTTACTCCCAAACATTCTCTTATTACAGTGGCTTTAAGATTAAGCCTCCTCTTTGAAGTTCTAAAGAACTAGGAGATGATAGCCATGCTTTTTTCCAATATGTTGTATGATTTGCTGTTGTTTCCAGTATATTTAGTAGATATCTCAATTAGATTTAGGCGAGGAATTACCCTGTGAATGGGTAAAACAAGAGATAACCTTTGCAAATGATTTTAAAAGAATTCCTGTTCCTTCTCCTCCTCTTCCCTATCACCTTTAAATTGGTCAACATTATTAGGTAAAATTTGCCAATTTTTAAGTATATAATTTGGTGAGTTTTGATAAATATGTTCATTCATTAGCTACTACCATACTGATATAACATTCCTATTCCTCAAAAAGTTTCTTCTTGCCGCTTTACAGTCAACCCTTCACCCCACTCACCCTAGGAACTACTGATCTGCTTTCTGTCATTATAGTTGGGCTACTTTCACTTAGTGTAATGTTTTGGGGATTCATCAATGTTGTTGCATAGTTTGTTTCTTTTTATTGTAAGTATTATTATGTTGAATGTATATATACACTTGTCCCTCAATATCCATAGGGGATTGGAGGACCCATCGTGGGTATCAAAATCCATGGATGCTCATGTCCTGTAGTTGGCCTTGCAGAAACCATGGATATGAATTTGCTTACTATACAATTTGCTTATCCATTTACCACCTGATGGAAATTTAGGTTGTTTCCAGTTTTGGGTATTATGAATAAAACTGCTATGAAGATTTATATCTTTTCATGGACATGTGTTTCTATCTCTTTGGAGCAAATACCTAGGAGTGGTTTTCATGGATTGTGTAGTAGGTATATGTTTAACTTTTTAAGAAATTGCCAAACTTTTTCCCCAAGTGCTTGGACCATTTTTGCATTCCCACCAGCAATGTGTGAAAGTTAAAGTTGTTCCACATCCTTATCAAAGCTTATTATAGTCAGTCTTTTTAATTTTAGCAGTTCTAGTGAGTATTCAGTAGTATCTTACTACGTTTTCATTTGCATTTCCCTAATGACTAATGATAATGAACATTGTTTTATGTGCTTATTTGGCATTTGTATACTTTGGTGAAATTCCTGTTCACATCCTTTCTTTATCTTTAAATTGAGTTGTTGGTCCTATTATTGAACTGTGTTTTTATATATTCAGAATACCAGTCTTTTGTCAGATATTTGTTTTGTAAATATTTTTCCTTGTATCTGGTTTGCCTTTTCATTTTCTTAAAGTGTCTTTTGAAGAGTAAAAGTTTTAAATTTTGATGAAATGCAATTCATAATTTAAAAAGTAATTTGTGCTTTTTATGTCCTAGAGTTTATAAAATACATTTTAAAATAACCAGTCTTCTTTCAAAAATTATACTGCTTCATGCAAAGTATAAGTACACTTCTCTGTCTTACCTCTTGCTGTTGATGTCATAATTTCACTCCAACATATTCCATACATGAAATTTTTTGTTCCCATCTTTGCTTGAAACATTGTTACCTATTAGGATGATTAACAATAAGAAAAAAAGTGATTTTGATTTTATCTTTGTTTCTTTCTTTTCTGATATTATTCAATTTTCTTTTATATTCAAGTTTTTGAGGCTGGGTGGGGTAGCTCATGCCTATAATCCCAGCACTTTGGGAGGCTGAGGTTTGGGGATTGCTTGAGTCCAGGAGTTCGAGACCAGCCTGGGCAGCATGACAAAACTCCATCTCTACAAAAAATACAAAAAACTAGCTGGGCATGGGAGTGTGTGCTTATAGTTCCAGCTACTAGGGAGACTGAAGTGGGAGGATAGCTTGAGCCAGGGAGGTTGAGGCTGAGGCTGCAGTGAGCCGTGACTGTGTTACTGCACTCCAGCCTGGACAGCAGAATGAGACCCTGTCTCACAAAAAAATGTTTTTGACATATATTCCTTCTGTCTGAAGGCCTTTTCTTTAATATTTTTTAAAGAATAAGCATGCCTCCAGGAATTTAAGTTTGTTTTCTTCATTTTTGAAGGATTTTTTGCATAGTATGGAATTTGAGTTAACATTTTTTTCTTCCAGCACTTTAAAGATGTCAGTCCATTTTCTTCCATAGTTTCTGATGACAAGTCTGCTGTAAATCTTTTTTTTTTTTTTTTTTTTTTTTTTTTTTTGAGATGGAGTCTCACTCTGTCACCTAGGCTGGAGTACACTGGCGTAATCTTGGCTCACTGTAACCTCCGCCTCTCGGGTTCAAACGATTCTTCTACCTCAGCCTCCTGAGTAGCTCGGACTACAGGCACCTGACACCACGCCTGACTAATTTTTGTATTTTTAGTAGAGACAGGGTTTCACCATATTGGCCAGGCTGGTCTCGAACTCCTGACCTTGTGATCTGCCTGCCTTGGCCTCTCAAAGTGCTGGAATTACAGGTGTGAGCCACCATGCCCGGTCTGCAATTCTTATTCTTATTCCTTTATAGGCAATGTATCTTTTTCCTTTGGCTGCTTTCAAGATTTTCTCTTTGTCTGTGGTTTTTAGCAGTTTAATTATGATATGCCTTGTGTGTGTGTGTGTGTGTGTGTGTGTGTGTGTGTGTGTGTGTGTGTGTGGTTATTTATCCTGCTTAGTGTTATCAGTGTTTATTGGATCTGGCCATGGTTTATTGTCTGTCACTAATTTTGGAAATTTCTCAGCCATTATTTCTTTGGCCCTGTTCTTTCTCTCTTTGCCTTTTAGGATTCCAATTATGCATATACCAAGTTTCTCTGCTCTTGAATTCTCTATTCCGTTTTTTTCACTCTTTTTTCCTCTTTGCATTTCATTTAGATAATTTCTATTGATCTATCTTCTCTTGCTTGTATTGTTTCTGACAAAACATCCGCCATCATTCCTCCCTGCCCCACCTCTATTTTTCTTTTCTTTTTCTTTTTCTTTTTTTTTGAGATGGAGTCTCACTCTGTCGCCCAGGCTGGAATGCAGTGGTGCAATCTCGGCTTACTGCAAGCTCCGCCTCCCGGGTTCACGCCATTCTCCTGCCTCAGCCTCCCGAGTAGCTGGGACTAAAGACACCCGCCACTACGCCCGGCTAATTTTTTGTATTTTTAGTAGAGATGGGGTTTCACTGTGTTATCCAGGATGGTCTCAATCTCCTGACCTCGTGATCTGCCCACCTCAGCCTCCCAAAATGCTGGAATTACAGGCATGAGCCACTGCACCTGGCAGCCCCACTTCTATTTTTCAGTACCTGTATGTGCCTTTTTCATTTGGCTAATTTCTTTTCATCTCCAGTTTTTGGCAATTCGGTTATGATGATTATGGTATTGTTTTCTTCTTATCTCTTCTTCTTGGGTGTTCTCTGGGTTTATAGTTTTCATTTAGTTTAGAAGTTTGTGTTATTTTTTATTTTTTTGAGACAGAGTCTTTGCTCTGTCACCCAGGCTGGAGTGCAGTGGTATGAACTTGGCTCATTGCACCCTCTGCCTCCTGGGTTCAAGTGATTCTCCTGCCTCAGCCTCCCTAGTAGCTGGGATTACAAGTGTACGTCATCACACCTGGCTAATTTTTTTTTGTATATTTAGTCGAGACAGGGCTTCACCATGTAGGCCAGGCTGGTCTTGAACTCCTGACCTTAGGTGATCTGCCAGCCTTAGCCTCCCAAAGTGCTGGGATTACAGGTGTGAAGCACTGCACCCAGCCAATTTAGAAGTTTTGACCATTAAGGTTTCAAATACTTTTTTCCTGTCTTCTCCCTTCATTTTTTTGGAGGTACCAATTACTTGTATGTTAGGCCAGTTAATATAAGCTGTTAGCTCAGTGATCCTCTGTTACATCATTTTTTCAGTGTTTCTGTCTCTCTCTCTCTCTCTCTCTCTCTCTCTCTCTCTCTCTCTCTCTATATATATAT
Organism: Homo sapiens; assembly: GCF_000001405.40. Taxonomy (NCBI): domain Eukaryota; kingdom Metazoa; phylum Chordata; class Mammalia; order Primates; family Hominidae; genus Homo; species Homo sapiens. The sequence goes on along the minus strand of NC_000010.11, from coordinate 99,184,809 downwards.
ATATATATATATATATATATATAATTTTGGATAGTTCTGTTGCCACATCTTCAACTCCATTGGTCTTTTCTTCAGCAATGTTTAAGTTACTGTTAATCCAATCTAATATTTTTTCATTTCTGCTATATATTTATTTTTAGAAACTCAACTTGTGTCTTTTATACATTTTATAGTTCTCATTATTACTCTCCTGTTTTCCTCTACCTTCTTGAACATATGTAATATATTTCTTAATGGCCTTCCTCTTAGCTTTTTTTTTTTTTTTTTTTTTTTTTTTTTTTTTTTTTGAGACAGTCTCGCTCTGTTGCCCAGGCTGGAGTGCAATGGCATGATCTCAACTCACTGCAACCTCCACCTCCTGGGTTCAAGCGATTCCACTGCCTCAGCCTCCCGAATAGCTGGGCCCATAGGCATGCACCACCAAGCCTGGCTAATTTTTATGTTTTTAGTAGAGACAGGGTTTCACCATGTTGGTCAGGCTGGTCTCAAACTCCTGACCTCAAATGATCTGCCTGTCTTGGCCTCCCAAAGTGCTGAGATTACAGGTGTGAGCCACCATGCCCGGCTGCTTTTTTCTTATCTTTGCTTACTCTTTCTACCATCTGTGTCATTTTGATATCTGTTTATGTTTATTGATTTTTCTCCTCTTTATGGATCATATTTTCCTGCTTCTTCATATGCCTGGTAATTTTTAATTGGATGTCAGACATTTTGGGTTTTATGTTGTTGGGTGCTAGTTGATTTGATATTCCTTTAAATATTTTTTTTGTTTTTTTCTGGGATGAAGTTAAGTTCCTTGGAGTCAGTTTTTTTGTTTTTTAAGGCTTTCTTCAAAATTTGTTAGAGTGGTAAAAAACAGTTCTTAGTCTATGCTAATTTGGCTTCTCTACTGAGGCTTTCTGAGGCTGTCAGTACCCTTCTGTATTCATACCCTTCTTACTCAGTGCCTTACGTGTTATGAAGTCTTTTCAGTCTGGCTGTCCAAAGTGAACTATTCTGGTCCTATGTGAACTATGGTGATTGCTTCACTTACTTCTTCCTGGTGGTTCTGTTATAGAAACACCAGGGGTTTGGTCTAGGTCCTGCTGCTTGCCGCACAGAAGGCCAATGACTGAGATGACAAGTATTGTCCAGGAAGAAGGCTTTAATTGGGTGCTGCAGTTGAGGAGATGGGAGCTCAGCATCAAATCCATCACCCTGATTGACTAAAATTAGGGGTTTATATAGCAGGGAAGAAATGTAACAATGTGTAAGAAAACAGGAATTAGGGAGGGCCAAGGAGGCATGTAGTGTGGTGATCTTGTGAGTTTCTGTTCTTTGATACTTTTTTGAGAGGCCTGAAGATCCTTTCTTGAGGATAAAACAAATACAAGTTTCCAGCTTTAACAGCAGAAAGGTCAGTTTCCATGTTTATCCAAAAACAACTGTGTACAGGGACTATTGGGGCCATTTATGTTACTTTCCTTGCCTCAGTAGTATCCTTACATATATGCATAGGTCATTACCTAAATACCATCAGGGAACCTCTCTGTGGGTCTCTGGAGCTTTTGCTCTTTGTGAAAATCCGTCTCCTATACTCTGTCCTATAAATTCTAGTTGCCTTGGCCACTCTTAACTCTGAATTGTGTTTCCTTGACTCAGTAAGACTACTGAGCTCTGTTTGGAATCCTCCTGCCTGTACTACAGTCTGAAAACTGTCTGTAGGCATTGAGGTGGGGGTACTCATAGGGCTCACCTTATTTGTTTTTCCTTCCTCAGGGATCACTGTCCTGCACTTTCTGTTTACCTATATCTGAAACTGTTGTTTTATGTATTTTGATTTGTTTTTTAGTTTTTTTTGTGTGTGTGTGTGGTGGCGTGATCTCTGCTCACTGCAAGCTCAGCCTCCCGGGTTCACGCCATTCTCCTGCCTCAGCCTCCCGAGTAGCTGGGACTACAGGCGCCTGCCACCACACCTGGCTAATGTTTTGTATTTTTAGTAGAGACAGGGTTTCACCATGTTGGCCAGGATGGTCTCGATCTCCTGACCTCATGATCTGCCCCCTCAGCCTCCCAAAGTGCTGGATTTACAGGTGTGAGCCACTGTGCCTGGCCTGTTTTTTAGGTTTCCAAGATAGGATGGTTAATCTGGTTCCTGTTATTCCATAATTACTGGATACCAAAAATCATATTATGATTTTAAGTTTCTCAGAATGTCTCCCTGTCCCCAGATATCTCCTGGACTGCCTTTCAGGGTGCTTATAATTCCATCATAAAATAATCATTACTTTGGATCTTTTTATATTTGAATATCTGCTTAGCATACAAAAGTGTCCCATGGGAAAGGAAGCATAACAGTACAAGCAGCTTGCTAAATATTTGTAAGGCATCTAAAGGCATAGAAATGTTATAGAACTGGAAGTCTGGATACCTGGCTTTTAGTCTTGGATCTACCGCAAACAAGGTGTGATCTGGCTAAGTTATTTGACTTTTTTGGGCCCAGTTTTATCACTTGTAAAATAAGGGGGATAAACTAGGTGATTAGTTGGCCTCTGACCTTGTGTACATTGGCAGAATGTAGAAGCCTGGAATTAGAGGATTTGGAGGAGTTGAGGAAAATCGCTAAAAGAGAAGAAGTAAAGAGGTCTCTTTTAAAATTATCCTTAAGCTTAGTACATTAATTTGCTAGGGCTACCATAACAAAATACCACAGACTTGGTGGCTTAAACATCAAACATTTATTAATCACAACAGAAAGTTATTCCTCCCAGTTTTGGAAGATAGAAGACTAAGATTAAGGTGTCAGGAGGTTTAGTTTCTTCTGAGGGCTCTCTCCTTGGCTTGCAGATGGCTCTGCCTTTTCATTGTGGTCTTACGTGGTCTTTCCTCTGTGAGCAAGTGTCCCTGGTGCATCTCTTTGTATATCCTAATCTCCCTCTTCTTTTTTTTTTAAATTATACTTTAAGTTCTGGGATACATGTGCAGAATGTGCAGGTTTGTTACATAGGTATACACGTGCAATGGTGGTTTGCTGCACCCATCAACCTGTCATCTACATTAGGTCTTTCTCCTAACGCTATACCTCTCCTAGCTCCCCACCCCCACAGGTCCCAGTGTGTGATGTTCCCCTCCCTGTGTCCATGTGTTCTCATTGTTCAACTCCCACTTATGAGTGAGAACATGCAGTGTTTGGTTTTCTGTTCCTGTGTGTGTTTGCTGAGAATGATGGTTTCCAGCTTCATCCATTCCCTGCAAAGGACATGAACTCATCCTTTTTTATGGCTGCATAGTATTCCATGCTGTATATGTGCCACATTTTCTTTATCCAGTCTATCATTGATGGGCGTTTTGGTTGGTTCCAAGTCTTTGCTATTGTGGACAGTGCCATAAACATACATGTGCGTGTGTCTTTTTTTTTTTTTTTTTTTTTTTTGAGACGGAGTCTCGCTCTGTCGCCCAGGCTGGAGTGCAGTGGCGGGATCTCGGCTCACTGCAAGCTCCGCCTCCCGGGTTCACGCCATTCTCCTGCCTCAGCCTCCCGAGTAGCTGGGACTACAGGCGCCCGCCACTACGCCCGGCTAATTTTTTGTATTTTTAGTAGAGACGGGGTTTCACCGTTTTAGCCGGGATGGTCTCAATCTCCTGACCTCGTGATCCGCCCGCCTCGGCCTCCCAAAGTGCTGGGATTACAGGCGTGAGCCACCGCGCCCGGCCGCGTGTGTCTTTATAGTAGAATGATTTATAATCCTTTGGGTATATATCCAGTATTAGAATTGCTGGGTTAAATGGTATTTCTGGTTCTAGATCCTTGAAGAATCGTCACACTGTCTTCCACAATGGTTGAACTAATATACACTCCCACCAACAGTGTAAAAGTGTTCCTATTTCTCCACATCCTCTCCAGCATCTGTGTTTTTTTTTTTTTTTTTTTTTTTTTTTTTGAGATGGAGTCTTGCCTTGTTGCCCAGGCTGGAGTGCAGTGGCTCAGTCTTGGCTCACTGCAACTTCTGGCTCCCGGATTCAAGCCATTCTCCTGCCTCAGCCTCCTGAGTAGCTGGAACTACAGATGCCTATCACCACGCCTGGCTAATTTTTTTGTGTGTATTTTAGTAGAGACGGGATTTCACCATGTTGCCCAGGCTGGTCTCGAACTCCTGAGCTCAGGCAATCCACCCACCTCAGCCTCCCATAGGGCTAGGATTACAGGCATGAGCCACCGTGCCTAGCCAGTTTCTTGACTTTTTAATGATCGCCATTCTAACTGGCCTGAGATGGTATCTCATTGTGGTTTTGATTTGCATTTCTCTAATGACCAGTGATAGGAGCTTTTTTTCATATGTTTGTTGGCTGCATAAATGTCTTCTTTTGAGAAGTGTCTGTTCATATCCTTCACCCACTGTTTGATGGGGTTGTTTTTTTCTTGTAAATTTGTTTAAGTTGCTTGTAGATTCTGGAAATTAGCCCTTTGTCAGATGGATAGATTGCAAAAATTTTCTCTCATGCTGTAGGTTGCCTGTTCACTCTGATAATTAGTTTCTTTTGCTGTGCAGAAGCTCTTTAATTAGATCCCATTTGTCAATTTTGGCTTCTGTTGCCATTGCTTTCAGTGTTTCAGTCATGAAGTCTTTGCCCATGCCTATGTCCTGAATGGTATTGCCCAGGTTTTCTTCTAGGGTTTTTATGATTTTAGGTCTTACATTTGAGTCTTTAATCCATCTTGAGTTAATTTTTGTATAAGGTATAAGGAAGGGGTCCAGTTTCAGCTTTCTGCATATGGCTAGCCAGTTTTCCCAACACCATTTATTAAATAGGACATCCTTTCCCCATTTCTTGTTTTTGTCAGGTTTGTCAAAGATCAGATGGTTGTAGATGTGTGGCATTATTTCTGAGGCCTCTGTTCTGTTTCATTGGTATATATATCTGTTTTGATATCAGTACCATGCTGTTTTGGTTACTGTGGCTTTCAGTATAGTTTGAAGTCAAGTAGTGTGATGCCTCCAGCTTTGTTCTTTTTGCTTAGGATTGTCTTGGCTATGTGGGCTCCTTTTTGGTTTCATATGAAGTTTAAAGTTTTTTTTTTTTCTCATTCTGTGAAGAAAGTCAGTGGTAGCTTGATGGGGATAGCAATGAATCTATAAATTACTTTGGGCAGTATGGTCATTTTCACGATATTGATTCTTCCTATCCATAAGCATGGAATGTTTTTCCATTTGTTTGTGTCCTCTCTTATTTCCTTGAGCCGTGGTTTGTAGTTCTTGAAGAGGTCCTTCACATCCCTTGTAAGTTGGATTCCTAGGTATTTTATTCTCTTAGTAGCAATTGTGAATGGAAGTTCACTCATGATTTGGCTCTCTGTTTGTCTGTTATTGGTGTATAGGAATGCTTGTGATTTTTGCACATTGATTTTGTATCCGAGACCTTGCTGAAGTTGCTTATCAGCTTAAGGAAATTTTGCGATGGGGTTTTCTAAATATACAATCATGTCATCTGCAAACAGGGACAATTTGACTTCCTCTTTTCCTATTTGAATACCCTTGATTTCTTTCTTTTGCCTGATTGCCCTAGCGAAAACTTCCAATAGTATGTTGAATAGCAATGGTTAGAGAGGGCATCCTTGTCTTTTGCTGGTTTTCAAAGGGAATACTTCTAGTTTTTGCCCATTCAGTATGATATTGGTTGTGAGTTTGTCATAAGTAGGTCTTATTATTTTGAGATGCATTCGATCAATACCCAGTTTATTGAGAGATTTTAGCATGAAGGGGTGTTGAATTTTGTCGAAGGCTTTTTCTGCATCTATTGAGATAATTATGTGGTTTTTGTCTTTGGTTCTGTTTATGTGATGGATTACGTTTATTGATTTGTGTATGTTGAACCAGCTTTGCATCCCAGGGATGAAGCCAACTTGATCGTGGTGGATAAGTTTTTGGATGTGCTGCTGGATTCGGTTTGCCGGTATTTTATTGAGGATTTTCGCATCGATGTTCATCAGGGATATTGGCCTGAAATTTTCTTTTTTTGTTGTGTCTCTGCCAGGTTTTGGTATCAGAATGATGTTGGGCTCATAAAATGAGTTAGGGAGGATTCCCTCTTTTTCTGTTGTTTGGAATAGTTTCAGAAGGAATGGTACCAGCTCCTCTTTGTACCTCTGTAGAATTTGGCTATGAATTTGTCTGGTCCTGGACTTTTTTTGGTTGGTAGGCTAGTAACTATTACCTCAATTTCAGAACTTGTTATTAGTCTATTCAGGGATTTGACTTCTTCCTGGTTTAATGTTTGGAGGGTGTATGTGTCCAGGAATTTATCCGGTTTTCCTAGATTTTCTAGTTTATTTGCGTAGAGGTGTTTATAGTATTCTCTGATGGTAGTTTGTATTTCTGTGGGATCAGTGGTGATCTCCCCTTTATCACTTTTTGTTGTGTCTATTTGATTCTTCTCTCTTTTCTTCTTTATTAGTCTGGCTAGTGGCCTATCTATTTTGTTAATCTTTTCAAAAAACCAGCTCCTGGACTCATTGATTTTTTTGAAGCATTTTTCGTGTCTCTATCTCCTTCAGTTCTGCTGTGATGTTAGTTATTTCTTGTCTTCTGCTTGCTTTTCAATTTGTTTGCTGTTGTTTCTCTAGTTCTTTTAATTGTGATGTTACAGTGTTGATTTTAGATCTTTCCCACTTTCTCCTGTGGGCATTTAGTGCTATAAATTTCCTCCTAAACACTGCTTTAGCTGTGTCCCAGAGATTCTGGTACTTTGTGTCTGTTCTCATTGGTTTCAAAGAACTTATTTATATCTGCCTTCATTTAGTTATTTACCCAGTAGTCATTCAGGAGCAGGTTGTTCATTTTCCATGTAGTTGTATGGTTTTCAGTGAGTTCTTAATCCTGAGTTCTAATTTGATTGCACCGTGGTCTGAGAGACAGTTTGTTATGATTTTTGTTCTTTTGCATCTGCTGAGGAATGTTTTACTTCCAATTATGTGGTCAATTTTAGAATAAGTGCGATGTGGTGCTGAGAAGAATGTATAATCTGTCGATTTGGGGCGGAGAGTTCTGTAGATGTCTATCAGGTCGCTTGGTCCAGAGCTGAGTTCAAGTCCTGAATATCCTTGTTAATTTTCTGTCTCATTGATCTGTCTAATATTGACAGTGGGGTGTTAAAGTCTCCCACTATTATCATGTGGGAGTCCAAGTCTCTTTACAGGTCTCTAAGAACTTGCTTTATGAATCTGGGTGCTCCTGTATTGGGTGCATATACATTTAGGATAATTAGCTGTTCTTGTTGCATTGATCCCTTTACCATTATATAATGCCCTTCTTTGTCTTTTTTGATGTTTTTTGGTTTAAAGTCTGTTATATGAGATACTAGGATTGCAACCCCTGCTTTTTTTTTGCTTTCCATTTGCTTGGTAAATATTTCTCCATCCATTTATTTTGAGTCTGTGTGTGTCTTTGCACGTGAGCTGGGTCTCCTGAATACAGCACACTGATGGGTCTTGACTCCATGCAGTTTGCCAGTCTGTGTCTTTTAACTGGGGTATTCAGCTCATTTACATTTAAGGTTAATATTGTTATGTGTGAATTTGATCCTGTCATTATGATGTTAGCTGTTTTTTTTTTCCCATTAGTTGATGTAGTTACTTCATAGAGATGATGGTCTTTACAATTTGGTATGTTTTTGCAGTGGCTGATACCGTTTTTTCCTTTCCATATTTAGTGCTTCCTTCAGGAGCTCTCGTAAGGCAAACCTGGTGGTGTGAAAATCTCTGCGCATTTGCTTGTTTGTAAAGGATTTTATTTCTTCTTCACTTCTGCAGCTTAGTTTGGCTGTATATGTAATTCTGGGTTGAAAATTCTTTTCTTTTAGAATGTTGAATATTGGTCCCCACTTTCTTCTGACTTGTAGGGTTTCTGCAGAGAGATACCCTGTTAGTCTGATGGGCTTCCCTTTGTGGATAATCCGACCTTTTTCTCTGGCTGCCCTTTACATTTTTTCCTTCATTTCAACCTTGGTGAATCTGATCATTATGTGTCTTGGGGGTTGCTCTCCTCAAGGAGTATCTTTATGGTGTTCTCTGTATTTCCTCAATTTGAATGTTGTCCTGTCTTGCTAGGTTGAGGAAGTTCTGGATAATATCCTGAAGAGTTTTTTCCAACTTGGCTCCATTCTCCCTGTCACTTTCAGGTACACCAATCAAACTTAGGTTTGGTCTTTACACATAGTCCCATATTTCTTGGAGGCTTTGTTTTTTTCTTTTCATTATTTTTTCTGTAATCTTGCCTTCACACTTTATTTCATTAAGTTGCTCTTCAATCTCTGATATCCTTTCTTCCACTTGATTGATTTGGCTGTTGATAGTTGGGTATGCTTCACGAAGTTCTTGTGTTGTGTTTTTCAGCTCCACCAGGTCATTTATGTCCTTTTCTAAACTGGTTATTCTAGTTAGCAATTCGTCTAACCTTTTTTCAAGGTTCCTAGCTTCCTTGCATTGGGTTAGAACATGCTCCTTTAACTTGGAGGACTTTATTATTACCCACCTTCTGAAGCTTACTTCTGTCAGTTTGTCAAACTCATTCTCCATCCAGTTTTGTTTCCTTGCTGGAGAGGAGTTGTGATGCTTTGGAGGGCAAGAGCCATTCTGGTTTTTGGAATTTTCAGGCTTTTTGTGCTGGTTTTTCCTCACCTTCATGGATTTATCTACCTTTGCTCTTTGATGTTGGTGACCTTCTGATGGGGTTTTTGTGTGGATGTCCTTTTTGTTGATGTTGATGCTATTCCTTTCTGTTTGTTAGTTTTCCTTCTAACAGTGAGGCCCTTCTGCTGCAGGTCTGCTGGAGTTTGCTGGAGGTCCACTCCAGGCCATTTGCCTGGGTGTCACAGCAGAGGCTGCAGAACAGCAAAGATTGCTGCCTGTTTCTTCCTCTGGAAGCTTCATTCCAGGGGGACACCTGCCAGATGCCAGCTGGATCTCTCCTGTATGAGGTGTCTGTTGACCCCTGCTGAAAGGTGTCTCCCAGTCAGGAGGCATGGGGGTCAGGGACCCACTTGAGGAGGCAGTCTGTACCTTAGCATAACTCGAACCCTGTGCTGGGAGATCTGCTCCTCTATTCAGAGCCAGCAGGCAGGAACGTTTAAGTCTGCTGAAGCTGCGCCTGCAGCTGCCCCTTCTCCCAGGTGCTCTGTCACAGGGAGATGGGAGTTTTATCTATAAGCCCCTGACTGGGGCTGCTGCCTTTCTTTCAGAGATTCCCTACCCAGAGAAGAGGAATCTAGAGAGGCAATATGGCTACAGCAGCCTTGCTGAGCTGTGGTGGGCTCCGCCCAGTTGGAACTTCCTAGCTGCTTTGTTTACACTGTGAGGGGAAAACCACCTACTCAAGCCTCAGTAGTGGTGGACACCCCTCTCCCAACAAGGTCGAGCTTCCCAGGTCGACTTCAGACTGCTGTGCTGGCAGCGAGAATTTCAAGCCAGTGGATCTTAGCTTGCTGGGCTCTGTGGGGGTGGGATCCACTGAGCTAGACCACTTGGCTCCCTGGTTTCAGCCCCCTTTCTGGGGGAGTAAACAGTTTTGTCTCGCTGGTGGTCCAGGAACCACTGGAGTATGAAAAAAACAAAAAAACTCCTGCAGCTAGCTTGGTGTCTGCCCAAATGGCCACCCAGTTTTGTGCCTGAAACCCAGGGCCCTGGTGGTATAGGCACCTGAGGGTACCTCCTGGTCTGTGGGTTGTGAAGACCACGGGAAAAGCATAGTATCTGGGCCGGAATGCACTGTTCCTCACGGCACAGTCCCTCACAGCTTCCCTTGGCTAGGGGAGGGAGTTCACCACCCCCTTGCGGTTTCTGGGTGAGGCAACACTCCACCCTGCTTCTGCTCGCCTTCCATGGGCTGCACCCACTGTCTAACCAGTCCCAGTGAGATGAACCGGATACCTCGGTTGGAAATGCAGAAATCACCTGCCTTCTGCGTTGATGTCACTGGGAGCTACAGACTGGAGCTGTTTCTATTCGGTCATCTTCTCTCCCTCTTCTTTTAAATAAACCAGTCAGATTGGCTTAGGGCATACCCTAATGGCTTCTTTTTAATTTAATTAGCTCTTTAAAGGCCCTGTCTCCAAATACAATCATGTTCTCAGGTACCGGGGGTTAGGGCTTCAACGTATGAATTTTAGGTGGATACAATGCATCCTGTAACAGCTAGTAGTTCCATAAGTACAAACTGGACAGGTACCTAATTATTCACTACAAATGCCTGAATTTCTGTGGTTAGACATGTTACCAATCTAGGATTTGAAGTGGCTGATCTCAAGTATTGATACCTTTATTAACTTTGCAGGATAGGGCACAGAATAATGGTCATCACCATAACAGGGAGGCTTGCTCCCATAGTAAGATCATTGTTGACGATACATCTCCTATATGGTTAGCTCTATGATAGGAGCTATAGAAGCTACAGAAGTAGACCCTGTGTTAGTTTTTAAGGAACTTAAATATAGTTGGAGAAATATGACAAAATTTTCTTAAAACTCCAGCAAATCATAAAGGACAATGAATATTATTTATGCCAAGTGCTATGAGAGTTCAGATGTCAGAACTAATAAGGTCTGAAGAAATAAGATAAGGGTTTGTGACAAAGATGGAACTCAAGATGTTCCTTGAAGATTGGATATTTTTGGATAAGCCAAAGAGGACAAAATAAAGGGAATAAAATGTTCACTTTTGTTAGAAAAATTTCATTGTCTAACGAGAGTTTTGTCTTCTGTGACTGGGTCAATTTCAGGGTGTTATTTGTGAAAATGGATATAATTGCTCCTTATCACTAAGGGATGACAATAATTAATATTGTAATTGTGGTTATAACTCTTGTAGTTCTTTTTTTTTTTTTTTTTTTTTTTTTTGAGACAGAGTCTCGCTCTTGTTGCTCAGGCTGGAGTGTAGTGGCGTGATCTTGGCTCACTGCAACCTCTGCCTCACGAGTTCAAGCTATTCTCCTGCCTCAGCCTCCTGAGTAGCTGGGACCACTGGTGTGTGCCACCATGCCTGGCTAATTTTTGTACTTTTAGTAGAGACGGGTTTCGCCATGTTGGCCAGGCTGGTCTCGAACTCCTGACCTCAGGTGATCTGCCTGCCTTAGCCTCCCAAAGTGCTGAGATTACAGGCTTGAGCCACCGCGCCTGGCCTCTTGCAGTTATTTCGAGATGGTTATAATATAATTTTTTTCAGAGTTATAAGTTTTACAGACCCTTTCCAGTATTTATTAAACACTTTTCAGATCTAATTTGTATCACAAATAAAATTTACTAAAGTTCCTCAAATAAAATTTACTAAAGTTCCTCATTATCACTTCTCTTGGCTTCTCCTGTGTTCCCTACTTTGGATAAGGGCATCACTGTCTACCTTGGGTCTTAAGGAAAACTTTGAAGTATTTTTGACTCTTTCCTGGGTCTAATCTCCATATTCATTTGGCTACTAGGTATAGCTATTCCTACTTCTATATTAACCTTTCTTACCTCTTTCTTAATCTATTGTGGCAGATTAATGGACCTCTTTGCTTCCCAGCTCTCCTAATATCTTCCTTATACTGCTATTAGAGCATAGCAGTATACTATGACGGGATGTTATTCTAGTGAACAGACTTCAGTAGACCACTTTTCTGAGGGCCTCTGACATCTCTCCAGAACCTGCAGTATAAAGCTCAAACCACAAGGGCACTTACAAATTTGCTTCTAGCCTGGCTTTCTAGCTTTCTTCCCACCCTACTATACTCCAGGCTTAGTATTCTGAGTATGACAGCAAGTGGAAAAGGGGGTATTCTAAACAAGAAGGCATGAAAATGTGTAATGTACTTATATCCTCCATTAGATAGACTTGTACTTACTCTTTAAGGCTTGGTGAAAATGTCATCCCCTTGATTACACATTCTCTGACTTCATTCCCTTTCTTCTTTTTCTTCTTCTTCTTTTTTTGAGACAGAGTTTCACTCTTGCTTAGGCTGGAGTGCAGTGGCGCAATCTTGGCTCACTGTAACCTCCGCCTCTCAGGTTCAAGCGATGCTCCTGCCACAGCCTCCCAAGTAGATGGGATTACAAGCATGCGCCACCACACCTGGCTAATTTTTGTATTTTTAGTAGAGACAGGTTTTCACCGCGTTGGCCAGGCTGGTCTGGAACTTCTGACCTCAGGTGATCCCCCCACCCTGGCCTCCCAAAGCCCTTTCTTAATTTATACAGATTATAAGTACTTACTATATTGTTTCAGAGTTATTTCTGTTCTTACATGTTTCCACAGTAGGCTGTGAGCTCCTTGAGGGTAGATAGGACCAATATTTATTCATCTTTATATTCCTAGTGTCCAATATAGTGTCCAATATAGTCCAATATAGGGCGTATTGTAGGAATTGATGTGTTCGTTTGAATTGATCACCAGCATACATAAATTATACTCTCTTTTGAAAGCCTGGTTCTTCACAAGGCTCCTAGCTCTGTAGGTCCCCTGAGGCTGCCACTAGGAGGCTCCAAAGCCATCCACATGAGGAATTTTGGTTTGCTTCCAGGTTAGGCAAGAAACTGATGATGCTTGACAAATTCTTATAAAAAAAATTCAGATGTTTTCAAGATGGCAGCAGTACACGCTGGGGACTAATGGGTGAGAGAAGGAGGGAGGCAAGGCTTGAAAAACTAACTCTTGGATACTAGGCTCACTATCTGGATGATGGGATCATTCGTATCCTAAACCTCAGCATCACACAATATATCCATGTAACAAACCTGCACATGTACATTCCCTGAATCTAAAATAAAAGTTGAAATTATAAAAAGTTATGATACCTAAATCTTTATTTTAATTTTTAGAATTCTGTTTTGTTTTCTGGTTGATGTGGCATTTAGCAGCTTTGGATTACACCAAAGGGCAATCCCTTTGGTGAAGTTATTCCTAAATGATAATAAGTCAGGAATATAAACATTTCAATCCTAGACACTCTAGGGGAAAGTCAATTCTCAAAGAGGTTAAGTTTTTTTTTTTAGTCACAGAATGAAGGCAAAGGCTATTGATGCCATAATCCAAGGCCTAAATACTTATCTGCTTCTTCATCAAAAAGGATGTATCAAGTGTCTTTGCCCATTATTCAATTAACTTCCAAAGGATGTTCATATACCAGATTCCAACAGAAATTGCCATCTCTGATTATTACTGCTCAATGGTCAAATATGTCAGGGTATTGGCTCTAATTGGCACTCATGAATGCTGCTTTGGTGTAGTCAATTCTAACTAATTTTCTTATAAGGTTGTTTTTTTAGGGTCCTCTTGATATTGGGATAATCCTAGAGCTTCTGTTTAGGGTGAGGAGTAAGAGAGGAACATTCAGAGCTACATCCATCTCTTCATGCACCTCTGTCTTTTTTTTTCCCACATCTAAATTCTGTCTTTATGGCTGAGTTCATCTTCCATGAGGGCTTCTCCAGACTGTAGTAGTTTCTTTTTCCTAAATTCGGAATAACTGCATCTTAGAGTTAGAATAACTTTAGTTAATGTAGTGCGATATTCTACCCAATGTGTGAATTCCACCAAGTGTGGTTTAAAATGGCCCCAGATACACTGAGTGAATTAGCACATGTCTTGGTTTTGGCCTAGGCTAGTTATGTAGCTGTTTTTATCTAAACGCAGTCCTCTTGTAAGAATGAATACTTTCTTCAAGCTAGGTATATCACTGCTGACTGTTTTTTATGATTATATTTGTCCCTTGGTATTTGTGGGGGATTGGTTGCAGTTCCTCCAGTGGGTACCAAAATCTGTAGATGCTCAAGTACCCGATATAAAAGGTAGTATTTGCATATAATCTGTACATATCCTCCTGTATACTTCAAATAATCTCTAGATTAATTTTAATACTTAATACAATGTAAATACTATGTAAATATTTGTTACACTATTGTTTAGAGAATAATGACAAGAAAAAGTCTGTACCTGTATAGACACAATTAAAAAATGTTTTCGATCAGTGGTTGGTTGAATCAACAGACACAAAACTCATGGATACAGAGGGCGGACTGTACTCAGTCCTTTTATTTAGCACTTTTGTGAAGAATCAGCCAAGCCAAACAAAATATCAGTGTGGTTGGAATCACAGAAATTGCAGGTGAAAGAAATGAAATAGATTTGATACATTCTGATACTTTGTATAGATTAGTATTAGATCCAGTTCTGCAGGGATTTTCACTTGAAAATACCCTTCACATCAATTGGATATGAGTTCTAGTGTACCGATGAAAAATCATGGCTGTGGTCAATACTATGAGGAGGGCCTTAGAAATATTTAGCATATGAATGATTTATGCTGATTTGTTGTGGCTGCTGCTGGGTTCAGCCTCCAACCCAATTGTATTGCATGTTTTCATGAACATTCTGGAGATTAAACTATAGTGTCTTCATCTGGGAATGATGTAAAGCTAGAGAAACAATGCAGGCCAGAGAGGAGGGAGCTGGAGCAGACTTGAATATTCATGGATATCTGCCAAGTATCCATATATATTTGCATACATTTAGAAGTGGCTAAAAATACTTGCTGAGGCAGTTCCTGCCAGAGTGTCGTTTGTTCTGCTGGGTGATACAGTGAGAAGAGCATTAGCAGTCAGGAGGCTTGGAGTCTAATCTTTCCTTGGTACAAAATGGCTGTGAAACCTCAGGCAAATCACTTCATCCCTAGCCCCAGTTTTCATATCTGTGAAAGGATATTCTACTCTACCCATTCCTCTCAAGCAGGAGTCAGCAAAGTACAGTCTGCAGACCAAATTCTGCCACCACCTGTTTTTGTATAGTTTTATTGGCACACAGCCATGCCTATTCATTTATGTATTGCATATGGCTGCTCTTGTATTTGGTATCAGAGTCATATTTTGTTTTTTTAATTTAGAAAGAAGATCTTTATTTCCCATAGAGAGTTGCAGCCCAGCCACAGAGTTGAGTAGTTGCAAGAGATTGTATGACCCACAAAACCTAAAATACTTTCTGTTTGGCTCTTTATAGAAAAAGTGTGCTAACCCCTGCTCTAGAGAACATTTGAAAAATTAGGGGGACTTTTCCCCCAAGAGACTGGGGATGCTACTGGTATCTGGTTGGTAAGGCCAAGAATGTCAACTGTCCTGCAGGGCAGGACACAATGAAGCACTGTCTTGCCTGAAATTCTGCTATTCTGATAACTCCCTCTTAAATATTCCTTCTCCTTTGTGAAAGAGAACAGCCACTTTGAAAGCTATATTTACTATGCAATTTTACAAGTTAAATGGGTCAGGACTTTTTTTTTTTTTTTTTTTTTTTTTTTTTTTTTTTTTTTTTTTTTGAGACGGAGTCTTGCTCTGTCACCCAGGCTGGAGTGCAGTGGTGCCATCTTGGCTCACTGCAACCTCCACCTCCCGGGTTCAAGGAATTCTCCTGCCTCACCTTCCTGAGTAGCTGGGACCACAGGCGCATGCCACCACGCCCGGCTAATTTTTTCTATTTTTAGTAGAGACGGGGTTTCACCACGTTAGCCAGGATGGTCTCGATCTCCTGACTTCGTGATCCGCCTGCCTCGGTCTCCTAAAGTGCTGGGATTAAAGGCGTGAGCCACCGTGCCCAGCCTGGCTCAGGACTTTTTTTTTTTTTTTTTTTTGAGACGGAGTCTTGCTCTGTCGCCTAGGCTGGAGTGCAGTGGCGCAATCTCGGCTCACTACAAGCTCCGCCTCCTGGGTTCACGCCATTCTCCCACCTCAGCCTCCCGAGTAGCTGGGACTACAGGCGCCCACCACCACGCCTGGCTAATTTTTTGTATTTTTTTAGTTGAGATGGGGTTTCACCATTCACAGGATGGTCTCGATCTCCTGACCTTGTGATCCACCCGCCTTGGCCTCCCAAAGTGCTGGGATTACAGGCGCAAGCCACCATGCCCGGCCAGGTCAGGACATTTTTTAACCACTCTCCTTAACCTGAAAAAGGGTATCTACCTTGAAATGAAATCATTTTTTATGTTTAATGGTGAAATATTACAGCATTCCCTTTAAAATCAGGAAGAAACCAATGATGCTTACAGATTATACCAGAGATTCTAACCAGCACAATAATGCCAAGAACTGTGAGGGGACTGAGGTTTCACCCTACCTGCAAGCTAAGCTAAGCTAATTGCCTGAAATTCTGATATTCTGATAACTCCCTCCTAAATATTCCTTCCCCTTTGTGAGTCTACCTGCAAGCTAAGAAAGATAGCCTACCAGAGTGCAGAAACTCAAGAGTTTTATGTCTTACTACAAATAAGAAAGGTAAAGTAAATAAAAATGTAAGAGTTGAGACAGAAGAAACAAAATTGTTATTATTAGCAGATGATATTTCCATAGTGAATTCATGAACATCTCTAGATAAAAATAGAAATAATGGGAGAACTCACCAAAGTTTCTGAATTGAAGCTCCATATACCAAAACCAGTTGCATTTTTATAGAGGGGCAAAAATTTAGAACATACTATTAAAATGATACCATTTATCAGGGCAGCAGAACTCAAAGTACCTATGAATAATCTGACAAATGTTATACCAAATTTTAATAGAGGAAATTATAAAATTTTATTGAAAAACATGAAGACCTACATGGAGATATGTCATATCATGGATAGGAAGATGAAATATCTTGAAATTGTCTCCAAATTAATGTATAAATTCAATGCAATTCAAACTCCTACAAAGCCGTGTGTGTGTGTGTGTGTGTGTGTGTGTGTGTGTGTGTGTAAATAGGCTGATCACCTCAATAGATGCAGAGAAAGCATTTGATAAAATTCGGTATCCATTCATGATAAAAACTCTCAGCAAACTGGAAGAGTAAGGAACTTCCCTAACTAATCTAATAAAATGTATAACGAATATATTTATGTGTATAGAGCTGAAAACTACAAAAAGTGGTGAAAGAAATCAAATGAGAGAGAGAGAGAGAGAGACAAAATGTGTTCATGGATTAGAAGACTCAGTATTATTAAGATATCAGTTCTTCTCGATGTGACCTATAGATTAAACTCAATCCCCAAAAACCATAGAAAACTTTTCTGTATACGTGTGTTTGTGTGTGTATGAATATATGGACATGAATACACACACACACACTAACTAGAATAAGTAAAACAGTTTTATAAAAGTAAGACAAGACAATATAGAGCCATTATAATCAAGGGAGTATGGTATTCATAGAAGAATAAACACATAAATCAGTGGAGCAGAATAGAGAGCTTAGAAATAGACCCACAAAATAATGTCAACTGATTTTTGACAAAGATGCAAAGGCAACTCAGTGCAAAAAGGAGAGTCTTTTCAACAAATGAGACTAGAAAAATTGGAAGTTCTTATGTGAAAAGATAAACCTTGCTACATTCCTCATACTTTATGCAAAAAATAACTAAAACAATCATATACCTAAATGTAAAACACAACACTTATAAAACTTCTAGAAGAAAAGGGAGAAATCTGTGTGACCTTGGAATTAGCAAAAAGTTTTTAGATACAATATTGAAAGTATGGGCCGGGCACGGTGGCTCATGCTTGTAATCCCAGCACTTTGGGAGGCAGGTGGGTGGATTACTTGAGGCTGGGAGTTTGAGACCAGCCTGGCCAACATGGTGAAACTCCGTCTCTGCTAAAAATACAAAAATTAGCCAGGTGTGGTGGCACACGCTTGTAATCCCATCTACTAGGGAGGCTGAGACAGGAGAATTGCTTGAATCCGGGAGGCAGAGGCTGCAGTGGGTCAAGATTACGCCACAGTACTCCAGCCTGGGCAACAGAGCAAGACTCTGTCTCAAACAAACAAACAAACAAACAAACAAAAAGGAAAGAAAAAAGAAAAAAAGAAAGTATGATCCATAAAAAGAAAAATAGATAAATTGGCCTTTGTCAACATTTAAAAAATTTTGGTCTGTGAAAGACCCTTTAATGAAAAAGTGAAGCCACAGACTAGGAGTGATTTTTTTTTTTTTTTCTTTGAGATGGAGTCTCACTCTGTCACCAGGCTGGAGTGCAGTGAGTGCAATCTCGGCTTGGAAGGAATATTTTAAAATCACAAATCTGATAAAGGATTTGTGCCCAGAACATATAAAGAACTCTTAAAATTTAAAAAATTAGAAAATAACCAAATAAAAAGTGGGCAAGAGATATGAACAGTTTACCAAAGAAGATAAATGAATGGAAAATAAGTATATGAAAATGTGCTCAACATCATTGTCATTAGGGAAATGGAAATTAAAACCACAACTAGATACCACTACAAATCTATTAGAAGTTGAACAAAGATAACTGAAAATACCACAATGAGATACCCCTATAACTGTATTAGAAGTCTAACAAACAAAACTGAAAATACCAATTATTGTTGAGAGTATGGAGCACCTGGAACTCTTATACAATGCTGGTGAGAATGCAAAATAATACAGCCATTCTGGAAAAAAGTTTGACAGTTTCCTATAAAGCTAAATGTGTAATTACCATATGACCCTGTAGTTTTGCTTTTATGAATTTACTCAAGTCAACTGAAAACTAATGTTCACAGGAAAACTTGTATATGAATGTTTCTTGAAACTATATATTCATTCTCGAAAACTAGAAACAACCTGGATTTCCTTCAGTGGGTGAATGGTTAAACAAACTATAGTACAGCCATTCAATGGAATATTATTCAGCAATAAAAGAATTAACTATTGATTCACAACAACTTGGGTGAATTCTAAATGCATTTTGCAAAGTGAAAGAAGCCATATCCCAAAGGCTACATATTGTATAATTCCATTGTTATGACATTCTGTAAAAGAGAAAGCTATAGAAACAGATAAACAAAACCAAAAAACAACAAAGTGTTGGCCACAATGAGGATGAATGGAGGGGTTGATAATGGAAGGTAGCATGAGGGAGTTTTTTAGGGTGATCATATTATTTTGTATGGTAATGGGCTAGTGGTTACTTGATTCTGTGCACTTGTCAAAACCCACAGGACTGGCTGGGTGTGGTGGCTCATGCCTGTAATCCCAGCACTTTGGGAGGCTGAGGTGGGCAGATCAGGTCAGGAGTTCGAGACCAGCCTGACCAGCATGGTGAAACCCCGTCTCTACTAAAAATACAAAAATTAGCGGGGCATGGTGACACGCATCTGTAATCCCAGCTACTCAGGAAGCTGAGGCAGGAGAATCACTTGAACCCAGGAGGTGGAGGTTGCAGTGAGCCGAGATCACACCACTGCACTCCGGCCTGGGTGACAGAGCGAGACTCCATCTCAAAAATAAATAAATAAATAAATAAATAAATAAATACGTAAATAAATGAACAGAACAAAACAAAACCCACAGGACTGTATGCAACAAATAGTGAATTTTACTGTCTTCACATTTTAAGAAACAACCAGGATATTGGGGGAACGTAAGGCAGACTACAGATCTGGCAAATAAATTTAAGTGTATTGTGATGAATGGCACAATCATACTGGAAACTTGGAGAAGAAAGAAGCTGAATAACTTTATTTTGAATAGACACTGTAAGGCTAAAGAAAAAAGAAGTATGCAGCACTGTACTGTGGTTGGTAAATATGTTTCTTAAAGGAGTATGGGTTAGCAATTCTGAAACTACTTTGTATGTATATTAGTGTTGAGCAAATAAGCAAATATAGTTTATGAAAACCAGGCTTCTTACTGTCAGAGAAAGAAATTACGGATAAAATGAGAATGCTAAAATGAATTCTTTTTTTTTTTTTTTTTTTTTTTTGAGACCGAGTCTTGCTCTGTTGCCAGACTGGAGTGTAGTGGCGCGATCTTGGCTCACTGCAACCTTCGCCTCCTGGGTTCAAGTGGTTCTCCTGCCTCAGGATCCCGAGTAGCTGGGACCGCAGGCGTGCGCCACCATGCCCAGCTAATTTTTTATTTTTAGTAGAGACGGGGTTTCACCATGTTAGCCAGGATGGTCTCAATCTCCTGACCTCGTGATCCGCCCACGTCGGCCTCCCAAAGTGCTGGGATTACAGGCGTGAGCCACCTGACCTCGTGATCTGCCCACCTTGGCCTCCCAAAGTGCTGGGAATACAGGCATGCGCCACTGCGCCTGGCCTAAAATGAATTCTTTAGTGTTGGATTGGAGTTGGACTAGAGTGTCCTTCTTTTCCTTTTAAGATAGTGAAATAAATATAGATATTATATGTGTACATCAGTTAGTAAGCCTATATACCTCTCTGAGCTCTTTCTACTTGAGAGGGTCTAGAAGTAGTGATACCCCAGTAGCAATGAACACATGTGGTGCCTAAATCTTGGTTTCTAAATATTATTCTCCAACAAAAGGAACCAGGTTTTGTTAGAGGAGTGGATGATTCTAGGATGGGAGGGAAAAATACAAGATGAGACTGGGACATTTGTGGTGCCAGAAAGTAAGGAAGTGCTTAAAAAAAAATAGATTGAGGATATGTCAAAAAATTATAGAAGCTCAGCTGAAAAAGCTCTCATTAGCCAAAGCTGGAACAGTTTGTCCAACAAAATAAAGAAATGTGGCTTAATAAAATAACATTCATAAGTTCATATATATATATATATATATATATATATATATATATATATATATATATATATATAATGCTTGAATAAATAAATGAGTGGAGAAGAGACAACTCTCTTCCTTATAGAAGAATTCCAATTAATAAATGTAGAGGGATTGAGAAAATAAGAATTGGAACACCAGAGTAATTATTGGTGTAGGTGAGATCCATTGAGGATTGCTAAAATTAGTGGGCAAAAGTTTACAGAATAATGTGCTATTGCATAGCCTTAAAATATCTCCTACAAAATATTCATTAATTACAAAGGCAAAATAGTAACGTTGTATGGAGAAACCCACCAGAACTAATTTTAACCAAGGGAACAAGTTTATTAATGTCACCATTAATAAGAGCTAAACATACCTTTGTGGTATCGTTCCACAAAATCTGTAACTTATTTCAATTATAAAGAAACTTCTGTCAGCCCAAATTGAGGGATATTCTACCTAAAACTGATGAGTACCTGACCAGTACTCTTCAAAACCACCAAGATAATGGAGACAAGGAAAGACCAAGAAATTATCACAGTTCAGAGAAGACTAAGGAGACATGGAAACTAATGCAATATGGGATTCTGGTTTTGGTCCTGGAATAGAAAATAGTTCTAGTAGAAAAACTGGTGAAATCTAAATAAAGTATGCACCTAATTAAATTTATGTAAACATTGGTTTCTTAGTTTTGATAATTTCCCTTGGTTGTATAAAATGCAATAAAAATATAAACCAATGTATGTTTTTTATTCATATGATGAAAGCCCATACATGTACACACGTGTACATACATATAAGAATATTACTTTCAGGATTTATGATGGTGGTTATCTTTCTGAGGAGGTGGAAAGAGGAAGGAGAATGTCATCGCAGAGTGGTAAACTGAGGACTTTACGTATTTTTGAACTATTTTATTTCTTTAAATAAATCTGAAGGAAATATGGCAAAATGTTATCAAAGAATAGAATGTGAGGGTGCATGGATGTGGATGGGCATTTTTTGTACACTAAAAAATATTTTATTATGAAAACAATGTTAAAATGAAGGCTATTTTTTTTTTTTTTGAGATGGAGTCTTGCCCTGTCACCCATGCTGGAGTGCAGTGGCGAGATCTTGGCTCACTGCAAGCTCGGCCTCCTGGGTTCATGCCATTCTCCTGCCTCAGCCTCCCTAGTAGCTGGGACTACAGGCGTCTGCCACCATGCCTGGCTAACTTTTTTGGTAATTTTAGTAGAGACAGAGTTTCACCGTGTTAGCCAGGATGATCTCAATCTCCTGACCTCGTGATCTGCCTGCCTTGGCCTCCCAAAGTGCTGGGATTATAGGTGTGAGCCACCGCGCCTGGCCATGAAGCCTATTTTCCAAAGATGGTATGCTGAATGCCTCGGAGATCTATGAATCTGGATTTATGGATGTTGTTTTGGACTGTTTTAGTTATCCAGATAAGAAGTAGATAGTATTAATTGGAATAGAAAAGAAGGGGACAACACTGAGACATTTTGAAACCAAAGTGGATAAACTTGGTAAACTGAAGGGGCAGGGAAAAAGAAATAAAAGATGACTGAGGGTCAGAGACTAGAAGACTAGGGAAATTAAAGGACAAGTTATTTGGAGGGAGAATAGGGTAGATAATGAGTACTTTGGCTTGGGAATATTAGGATCTCAGCACAGAAGCTCTTCTAAAGTCTGTGAACCTGTTTCAAGGATCTGAGGAAGAGTCAGCATCTTCCTTTTCTTGCTGCTGTTGTAGTGGCTGCATTGAAGACAGGAGGGAAGGGAGTGGCACTAGTTTTAGCCCTGTCCCTGTGTGTGAGGGAAGCCAAAGCATTCTTTCAGGTCTGCACCTGATCTTCTGGACCCAGCACTGTAACAGCAGCATACAAAATTCTATCCAAGTTTTAATATGCAATCTCATATAATCTGCAGAGAAGCAGAATATACATGATGTAACAATGGCATTTGAAGTCCCAAGGTTTTAAGATGGTTCATTTTAAACTACAGAGAAAACTCTGTAGCTCTGTTTCTTTTTATTTATTTTTATTTCTGTTAGAGTTTTTAAAAACTATGGTTAAATACACAGAACAGAATTTACCATTATAACAGAATTTACCATTTGAGTGTATGATTCAGTGTTATTAAGTACATTGATAGTTGTTTTACAAACCATTGCCACCATCCATCTCCAGAACTCATCATATTGCAAAACTAAACTCTGTACCTATTAAAAAATAACTCTTCATACCCATTCTCCTCAGCCTCTGTCAACCACCATTCTACTGTCTCTATAAATTTGACTACCCCAGGTACCTCATATAAATGGAATCATACAGTATTTATCTTTTTGTGCCTGGGTTATTTCATTTGGTATCATGTCCTCAAGGTTCATCCACATTGTAGCATATGACAGGATTTCCTTTCTTTTAAGGCTGAATAATATTCTTCTTTATGTCTTTATCACATTTTGTTTATCCCTTTGTCTATTGATAGACACTTAAGTTACTTCTACCTTTTGGCTACTGTAAATAGTGCTGCTGTGAACATGGATGTATTATTTTTGTGACTTTTTGATAGCTTTTTTTGGAGCTATAATTTACATATTTTCATAAAATTCACCCATTACAAGTATGTAGTTTAATTATTTCTATGAAATGTATAAAGGCTTCCAACAATTATCTTCATCCTTAGAACATTCTTATGCTTGTTTACAATCAAGCCCTTCTCCCATCCCAGCCTTAGAAAACCACTGATATGCTTTCTGTCAATTGATATGCGTTCTCCAGAAATTTCACATAAATGAAGTCATAATACGTGGTCTTTTTGTGTCTGGCTTCTTTCACCAGACACAAAATCTAGTCTAATGTTGTTGAGGTTATCCAGGTCTAGAATTTATTAGTAATTAGTTTCTTTTTATTTCTGAATGGCATTTCATTTTATGGATTTGCCACATTTTGTTTATCCATTTACTAGTTTCTGGACATTTGGGCTGTTGCCAGTTTTGGCTGTTATGCATAATGCTACTATAAATATTCATGTACAAGTCCTTTTTTTTTTTTTTTAACAGAGTCTCACTCTGTTACCGAGGCGGGAGTGCAGTGATGGGACCATGGCTCACTATCGCCTCAAACTCCTAGGCTCAAGCTGTCTTCCTGCCTCAGCTTCCTGAGTAGCTGGGACTACAGGCACATGCCACCACGTCTGGCTAATTTTTAAATTTTTTGTACAGATGGGGACTCCTTATGTTGCCCAGGCTGGTGTGGTGTCAAACTTCTGGCCTCAAGCCATCTTCCCACCCTGGCCACTCAGAGTGATAGGATTATAAGCATGAGCCACTGTGCCCGACCTCATGTAGAAATCTTTTTTTTTTTTTTTTTTTTTTGAGACGGAGTCTCGCTGTGTCGCCCAGGCTGGAGTGCAGTGGCGGGATCTCGGCTCACTGCAAGCTCCGCCTCCCGGGTTCACACCATTCTCCTGCCTCAGCCTCCCAAGTAGCTGGGACTACAGGCGCCCGCCACTACGCCCGGCTAATTTTTTGTATTTTTAGTAGAGACGGGGTTTCACCGTTTTAGCCGGGATGGTCTCGATCTCCTGACCTCGTGATCCGCCCGCCTCGGCCTCCCAAAGTGCTGGGATTACAGGCGTGAGCCACCGCGCCCGGCCATGTAGAAATCTTTATGTGGACATATGCTTTCATTTCTGTCAGGTAGGCTCTCAGGAGTGAGTTTGTTAGGTTGTACAGCAAGTTTATTTTGTTAAGAAACTACCAATGTGTTTTCCAAAGAGGCTGTAGCGTTTTACATTCCCACCAGCAATGTGTGAGGGCTCTTGTTTCTCCACATTCTTGGCAGCACTTGGTATTGTCGGTTTTCTGGGTTATAACTATTCTAGTGGGTGTGTAGTAGTATCTCATTGTGGTTTTAGTTTGCATTTCTCTAATGAATAATGATATTATATATAATTTTATGTGCTATTAGCCATTTGTATGTCTTTGGTGAAATGTCTATTCAGATCTTTTGTCCATTTTAAAAATTGGGTTGTCTTTTTATCAAGGTGTAAAACATTCTTTATATATATTTTATCATATATGTAATTTTAAAATATTTTCTCAGTTGGTGGCTTATCTTTTCCTTAGCTTAATTATATCTTTTTTTTTTTTTGTCAGAGTCTAGAGTGCAGTGGTGCATTCTTGGCTGACTGCAACCTTCGCCTCCCAGGTTCAAGTGATTCTTGTGCTTCAGCCTCCCGAGTCGCTGGGATTAAAGGCATGTGCCACCATGCCTGGCTAACTTTTATATTTTTAGTAGAGATAGGGTTTCACCATGTTGGCCAGGCTGGTCTTGAGCCCCTGGCTTCAAGTGATCCGCCCACCTCAGCCTGACAAAATGCTGGCATTACAGATGTGAGCCACCATGCCTGGCCTAATAGTATCTTTTAAAGAGCGAACACTTTTACTCTTGATGAAGTTCGATTTATTATTATTTTTCTATTTTGAATTATACTTTTGGTGTCATAACTAAGAAATCTGTACTTAACCTAAGGATACAAATATTTTTTCTTATATTTTTGTCTAGAAAATTTATAGCTTTAGATCTTATATTTAGGTCTGTGATTGATTTTGAGGCTTTTCTTTTGTATATGATGTAAGGTAAGGGTCTAAATTCTTTAAAAAATATTTTGAAATAACTTTAGACTTACAAAAACTTGCAGAAGTTGTACAGAAAAGTTAAGTAAGCTACAGACTTTATTCATATTTCACCAGTTTTACATACAATCATTTCTTCTATGTGTGTGCATGTATAGTTCAATGAAATTTTATTACATATATGAATTCGTATAACCAATATAACAATCAGAATGCATAACTGTTTCACCACGCAAAAGCAACTACCTCATACAACCTCTTTATAATCTGTTCTGTATCATTATAATTTTCTCATTTTGAAAATGTTTGAAACCTTTTGAAAATGCCTCCCTCCCTATCAATTTTGGTAATTTGTGTCTTCTTTCTTTGTCATCCTAGCTCAAGGTTTTTCAGTTGTATTAATCTTTTCAAATAATCAATATTTTGTTTTATTGACTTATCTTTTTGTTTTCTAGTTCATTGATTTCCATTCTGATCCTTTTTTTCTTTTTTTTGCTTGCTTCGTGTTTAAAATTTTCTTATTTTTCTAGTTTGTAAGTGCGAACTTAGATTATTGATTGATTATTGATGTGAGAACGTTCCTTTTTTAGAATATAGATGTGTAAAGATAAAAATTTCTCTCTAAGCACTGTTTAAACTGTGTCTCATGAATCTTTTGAAACTCAATCTGACAGTCTCTCTTTTGATTGACTGTTTAGTCCATTCAAATTTAGTGCAATTATTAATATGATTGAATTTATGTCTTTCACTTTGATATTTTCTATATTTCTTTTGTTAACTGCCTTCTTTTTGTTAAATGGATTATTAAGATTCTTAAAAAGACTAGTCAGTTAATTACTCTGTTGATTTTTACACTATGTTATTTTCAGTTGTTTTCTTTTTTTTTTTAATTATACTTTAAGTTTTAGGGTACATGTGCACATTGTGCAGGTTAGTTACATATGTATACATGTGCCATGCTGGTGCGCTGCACCCACTAACTTGTCATCTAACATTAGGTATATCTCCCAATGCTATCCCTCCCCCCACCCCACCACAGTCCCCAGAGTGTGATAGTCCCCTTCCTGTGTCCATGTGATCTCATTGTTCAATTCCCACCTATTAGTGAGAATATGCGGTGTTTGGTTTTTTGTTCTTGCGATAGTTTACTGAGAATGATGATTTCCAATTTCATCCATGTCCCTACAAAGGACCTGAACTCATCATTTTTTATGGCTGCATAGTATTCCATGGTGTATATGTGCCACATTTTCTTAATCCAGTCTATCATTGTTGGACACTTGGGTTGGTTCCAAGTCTTTGCTATTGTGAATAATGCCGCAATAAACATACGTGTGCATGTGTCTTTATAGCAGCATGATTTATAGTCCTTTGGGTATATACCCAGTAATGGGATGGCTGGGTCAAATGGTATTTCTAGTTCTAGATCCCTGAGGAATCGCCACACTGACTTCCACAATGGTTGAACTAGTTTACAGTCCCACCAACAGTGTAAAAGTGTTCCTATTTCTCCACATCCTCTCCAGCACCTGTTGTTTCCTGACTTTTTAATGATTGCCATTCTAACTGGTGTGAGATGGTATCTCATTGTGGTTTTGATTTGCATTTCTTTGATGGCCAGAGATGATGAGCATTTTTTCATGTGTTTTTTGGCTGCATAAATGTCTTCTTTTGAGAAGTGTCTGTTCACGTCCTTTGCCCACTTTTTGATGGGGTTGTTTGTTTTTTTCTTGTAAATTTGTTTGAGTTCATTGTAGATTCTGGATATTAGCCCTTTGTCAGATGAGTAGGTTGCGAAAATTTTCTCCCATTTTGTAGGTTGCCTGTTCACTCTGATGGTAGTTTCTTTTGCTGTGCAGAAGCTCTTGAGTTTAATTAGATCCCATTTGTCAATTTTGGCTTTTGTTGCCATTGCTTTTGGTGTTTTAGACATGAAGTCCTTGCCCATGCCTATGTCCTGAATGGTAATGCCTAGATTTTCTTCTAGGGTTTTTATGGTTTTAGGTCTAATGTTTAAGTCTTTAATCCATCTTGAATTGATTTTTGTATAAGGTATAAGGAAGGGATCCAGTTTCAGCTTTCTACATATGGCTAGCCAGTTTTCCCAGCACCATTTATTAAATAGGGAATCCTTTCCCCATTGCTTGTTTTTCTCAGGTTTGTCAAAGATCAGATAGTTGTAGATATGTGGCGTTATTTCTGAGGGCTCTGTTCTGTTCCATTGATCTATATCTCTGTTTTGGTACCAGTACCATGCTGTTTTGGTTACTGTAGCCTTGTAGTATAGTTTGAAGTCAGGTAGCGTGATGCCTCCAGCTTTGTTCTTTTGGCTTAGGATTGACTTGGCGATGCGGGCTCTTTTTTGGTTCCATATGAACTTTAAAGTAGTTTTTTCCAATTCTGTGAAGAAAGTCATTGGTAGCTTGATGGGGATGGCATTGAATCTGTAAATTACCTTGGGCAGTATGGCCATTTTCACGATATTGATTCTTCCTACCCATGAGCATGGAATGTTCTTCCATTTGTTTGTATCCTCTTTTATTTCCTTGAGCAGTGGTTTGTAGTTCTCCTTGAAGAGGTCCTTCACATCCCTTGTAAGTTGGATTCCTAGGTATTTTATTCTCTTTGAAGCAATTGTGAATGGGAGTTCACTCATGATTTGCCTCTCTGTTTGTCTGTTATTGGTGTATAAGAATGCTTGTGACTTTTGTACATTGATTTTGTATCCTGAGACTTTGCTGAAGTTGCTTATCAGCTTAAGGAGATTTCGGGCTGAGACAATGGGGTTTTCTAGATATACAATCATGTCATCTGCAAACAGGGACAATTTGACTTCCTCTTTTCCTAATTGAATACCCTTTATTTCCTTCTCCTGCCTAATTGCCCTGGCCAGAACTTTCAACACTATGTTGAATAGGAGTGGTGAGAGAGGGCATCCCTGTCTTGTGCCAGTTTTCAAAGGGAATGCTTCCAGTTTTTGCCCATTCAGTATGATATTCGCTGTGGGTTTGTCATAGATAGCTCTTATTATTTTGAAATACGTCCCATCAATACCTAATGTATTGAGAGTTTTTAGCATGAAGGGTTGTTGAATTTTGTCAAAGGCTTTTTCTGCATCTATTGAGATAATCATGTGGTTTTTGTCTTTGGCTCTGTTTATATGCTGGATTACATTTATTGATTTGTGTATATTGAACCAGCCTTGCATCCCAGGGATGAAGCCCACTTGATCATGGTGGATAAGCTTTTTGATGTGCTGCTGGATTCGTTTTGCCAGAATTTTGTTGAGGATTTTTGCGTCAATGTTCATCAAGGATATTGGTCTAAAATTCTCTTTTTTGGTTGTGTCTCTGCCCGGCTTTGGTATCAGAATGATGCTGGCCTCATAAAATGAGTTAGGGAGGATTCCCTCTTTTTCTATTGATTGGAATAGTTTCAGAAGGAATGGTACCAGTTCCTCCTTGTACCTCTGGTAGAATTCGGCTGTGAATCCATCTGGTCCTGGACTCTTTTTGGTTGGTAAACTATTGATTATTGCCACAATTTCAGATCCTGTTATTGGTCTATTCAGAGATTCAACTTCTTCCTGGTTTAGTCTTGGGAGAGTGTATGTGTCCAGGAATTTATCCATTTCTTCTAGATTTTCTAGTTTATTTGCGTAGAGGTGTTTATAGTATTCTCTGATGGTAGTTTGTATTTCTGTGGGATCGGTGGTGATATCCCCTTTATCATTTTTTATTGTGTCTATTTGATTCTTCTTTTTTTCTTTATTAGTCTTGCTAGTGGTCTATCAATTTTGTTGATCCTTTCAAAAAACCAGCTCCTGGATTCATTAATTTTTTGAAGGGTTTTTTGTGTCTCTATTTCCTTCAGTTCTGCTCTGATTTTAGTTATTTCTTGCCTTCTGCTAGCTTTTGAATGTGTTTGCTCTTGCGTTTCTAGTTCTTTTAATTGTGATGTTAGGGTGTCAATTTTGGATCTTTCCTGCTTTCTCTTGTGGGCATTTAGTGCTATAAATTTCCCTCTACACACTGCTTTGAATGCATCCCAGAGATTCTGGTATGTTGTGTCTTTGTTCTCGTTGGTTTCAAAGAACATCTTTATTTCTGCCTTCATTTCGTTATGTACCCAGTAGTCATTCAGGAGCAGGTTGTTCAGTTTCCACGTAGTTGAGCGGTTTTGAGTGAGATTCTTAATCCTGAGTTCTAGTTTGATTGCACTGTGGTCTGAGAGATAGTTTGTTATAATCTCTGTTCTTTTACATTTGCTGAGGAGAGCTTTACTTCCAACTATGTGGTCAATTTTGGAATAGGTGTGGTGTGGTGCTGAAAAAAATGTATATTCTGTTGATTTGGGGTGGAGAGTTCTGTAGATGTCTATTAGGTCCACTTGGTGCAGAGCTGAGTTCAATTCCTGGGTATCCTTGTTGACTTTCTGTCTCATTGATCTGTCTAATGTTGACAGTGGGGTGTTAAAGTCTCCCATTATTAATGTGTGGGAGTCTAAGTCTCTTTGTAGGTCACTCAGGACTTGCTTTATGAATCTGGGTGCTCCTGTATTGGGTGCATATATATTTAGGATAGTTAGCTCTTCTTGTTGAATTGATCCCTTTACCATTATGTAATGTCCTTCTTTGTCTCTTTTGATCTTTGTTGGTTTTAAGTCTGTTTTATGAGAGACTAGGATTGCAACCCCTGCCTTTTTTTGTTTTCCATTTGCTTGGTAGATCTTCCTCCATCCCTTTATTTTGAGCCTATGTGTGTCTCTGCACGTGAGTTGGGTTTCCTGAATACAGCACACTGATGGGTCTTGACTCTTTATCCAATTTGCCAGTCTGTGTCTTTTAATTGGAGCATTTAGTCCCTTTACATTTAAAGTTAATATTGTTATGTGTGAATTTGATCCTGTCATTATGATGTTAGCTGGTGATTTTGCTCGTTAGTTTATGCAGTTTCTTCCTAGTTTCGATGGTCTTTATATTTTGGCATGATTTTGCAGCGGCTGGTACCGGTTGTTCCTTTCCATGTTTAGCGCTTCCTTCAGGAGCTGTTTTAGGGCAGGCCTGGTGGTGACAAAATCTCTCAGCATTTGCTTGTCTGTAAAGTATTTTATTTCTCCTTCACTTATGAAGCTTAGTTTGGCTGGATATGAAATTCTGGGTTGAAAATTCTTTTCTTTAAGAATGTTGAATATTGGCCCCCACTCTCTTCTGGCTTGTAGGGTTTCTGCCGAGAGATCCACTGTTAGTCTGATGGGCTTCCCTTTGAGGGTAACCCGACCTTTCTCTCTGGCTGCCCTTAACATTTTTTCCTTCATTTCAACTTTGGTGAATCTGACAATGATGTGTCTTGGAGTTGCTCTTCTCGAGGAGTATCTTTGTGGCGTTCTCTGTATTTCCTGAATCTGAATGTTGGCCTGCCTTGCTAGATTGGGGAAGTTCTCCTGGATAATATCCTGCAGAGTGTTTTCCAACTTGGTTCCATTCTCCCCATCACTTTCAGGTACACCAATCAGACGTAGATTTGGTCTTTTCACATAGTCTCATATTTCTTGGAGGCTTTGCTCATTTCTTTTTATTCTTTTTTCTCTAAACTTCCCTTCTCGCTTCATTTCATTTATTTCATCTTCCATTGCTGATACCCTTTCTTCCATTTGATCGCATCAGCTCCTGAGGCTTCTGCATTCTTCACGTAGTTCTCGAGCCTTGGTTTTCAGCTCCATCAGCTCCTTTAAGCACTTCTCTGTATTGGTTATTCTAGTTATACATTCTTCTAAATTTTTTTCAAAGTTTTCAACTTCTTTACCTTTGGTTTGAATGTCCTCCCGTAGCTCAGAGTAATTTGATCGTCTGAAGCCTTCTTCTCTCAGCTCGTCAAAGTCATTCTCCGTCCAGCTTTGTTCTGTTGCTGGTGAGGAACTGCGTTCCTTTGGAGGAGGAGAGGCGCTCTGCTTTTTAGAATTTCCAGTTTTTCTGCTCTGTTTTTTCCCCATCTTTGTGGTTTTATCTACTTTTGGTCTTTGATGATGGTGATGTACAGATGGGTTTTTGGTGTGGATGTCCTTTCTGTTTGTTAGTTTTCCTTCTAACAGACAGGACCCTCAGCTGCAGGTCTGTTGGAATACCCTGCCGTGTGAGGTGTCAGTGTGTCCCTGCTGGGGGGTGCCTCCCAGTTAGGCTGCTCGGGGGTCAGGGGTCAGGGACCCACTTGAGGAGGCAGTCTGCCCGTTCTCAGATCTCTACCTGCCTGCTGGGAGAACCAGTGCTCTCTTCAAAGCTGTCAGACAGGGACATTTAAGTCTGCAGAGTTTACTGCTGTCTTTTTGTTTGTCTGTGCCCTGCCCCCAGAGGTGGAGCCTATAGAGGCAGGCAGGTCTCCTTGAGCTGTGGTGGGCTCCACCCAGTTCGAGCTTCCAGGCTGCTTTGTTTACCTAAGCAAGCCTGGGCAATGGCGGGCGCCCCTCCCCCAGCCTCGCTGCTGCCTTGCAGTTTGATCTCAGACTGCTGTGCTAGCAATCAGCGAGACTCCGTGGGCGTAGGACCCTCCGAGCCATGTGCGGGATATAATCTCGTGGTGCGCAGTTTTTTAAGCCGGTCCGAAATGCGCAATATTTGGATGGGATTGACCCGATTTTCCAGGTGCCCTCTGTCACCCCTTTCTTTGACTCGGAAAGGGAACTCCCTGACCCCTTGCGCTTCCCAAGTGAGGCAATGCCTCGCCCTGCTTCGGCTCGCGCACGATGCGCGCACCCACTGACCCGCGCCCACTGTCTGGCACTCCCTAGTGAGGTGAACCCGGTACCTCAGATGGAAATGCAGAAATCACCCGTCTTCTGCGTCACTCACGCTGGGAGCTGTAGACTGGAGCTGTTCCTATTCGGCCATCTTGGCTCCTCCCCCTCATTTTCAGTTGTTTTCTTAGTTGCTCAAGGGATTTACTATGCATCTTAATTTAGCACAGTCAATTTAAGGTTAATGTTAACTTAATTTTTATAAATTACAACAACTTTACTCAAATACAGCTTCTTTTCTTATCCTTTCTATTGTGTTAATTTTGTTCTGTGTATTACTATTACATCTATATATGGTATAACTAAAACATATTTTCTTCTATATATAATCTTACGAGTTTTTAAAACATGTAAAAGAGAAAAGGATTTTTGTTTATTTACATATTTACAATTTCTAGTGTATTTCATTTCTTCCTGTGTATCTGAGTTATTACTTGATATCATTGCCTTTTAACCTGAAGCACTTCCTTTAATATTTCTTGTGTTGCAGGTCTGCTAGCAACAAATTCTCTCAGTCTTTTTTTTTTTTTTTTTTTGAGGTGGAGTCTCGCTCTGTTGTCCAGGCCGAAGTGCAGTGGTGTGATCTTGGCTCACTGCAAGCTCTGCCTCCCAGGTTCACACCATTCTCCTGTCTCAGCCTCCCAAGTAGCTGGGACTACAGGCGCCTGCCACCATGCCTGGCTAATTTTTTGTATTTTTAGTAGAGACGGGGTTTCACTGTGTTAGCCAGGATGGTCTTGATCTCCTGACCTCGTGATCTGCCCGCCTCGGCCTCCCAAAGCTGGAATTACAGGCATGAGCCACAGTGCCCAGCCTCTTTTTTTTTTTAAATATGGAAATGACTTTATTTTGCCTGCATTTTTGAATGATAGTTTTGCTGAACATAGAATTATTGGTTGTCAGAAGTTTTCTTTTAGCGCTATTTATTTATGAGATAGGGTCTAGCTCTGTTGCCCAGGTTGGAGTGCAGTGGTGCAGTTATAGGTAACTGCAACCTCAAACTCCTGAGCTCAAGCAGTCCTCCTGTTTCAGCTTCCTGAATAGCTGGGATTATAAGTGCATGCCATCATGTTTGGCTAAATATTTCCTTTATTTTTTTTTAAGAGACAGAGTCTTGCTGTTACTTTTCGCCCTTTGTAAATGTCATTCTACTGCTTTCTAGTCTCCATTGTTTCAAATTGGAGGAAGTCAGCCATTAATTGTATTACTTGTTCCCTTTATGGATTAGTTTTTTTCCTCCGTGCTTTTAAGATTTTCTTTTTATCTTGGGCTTTTAACATTTTTATTATAATGTATCTAGATGTGGATCTCTTTGTGCTGAGTTTTGTTGTACTTGTGCTTGAGGTTTGTTGTACTTCTTGAATCTGTGGATTAATGATTTTTATCAAATTTTGAATGTTTTTGGTCATCATGTCTTCAAACAATTCTGCCCTTTATTTTTCCTCTCCTTGTAGGACTCCCGTTATGCATATGTTTGATTGCTTCATGTTGTCCCATAATTCTCTGAGGCTGTGGTCATTTTTCCTTGGTCTTTTTTATCTTTGTTTTTCAGGTTAGGTCATTTCTATTCACCTATCTTTAAGTTCTCTGATTTTTTTTTTTTGCATGGCTTGTAATATTTTATTGGAAACTGGCCATTTTAGATAGGTTATAGCCAATCTATACCATTCCCCTCTTGCTGATCTTTGTTGTTTTGTAATCAAAGTAGTTCTTTTTTTCCATGACAATTGTTGTTTTATGTTTTCTTTGTTTTTAGGTAAGTTATTTGGACTTTATATCTTTTTGTTGTGCTGTTACTGATATTTCTTTATAGTTTTAAAAATTTTTATTTTTATTTTTTAGCTTGGTTTCCTAGGGTTTGCCTCTGAGTCTGCATAGCTTAGTGATCAGCCAATGACTGTTCAGAGATTATGTTTAAAACATTTTGGACCCTTAATGTTTTCATGTTCAGCTGATGGATTTCTCTGTGGATTGATAAACACATTAAGTTTTGTGGCATTTTTTAGGTCTTTTTCACTTTATTTTTTCCTGCTGATCTCTTGGGTCTCTCCCATGTTTGTGCGTAGCCTCCCCATTAGCCAGTTATGTGTGAAGAACTTAGCCTATGTTGGGGCTCCCTTGCATGTGCATATAGCCTGCTAGTCAGCCAAGCTTGCATGGAAAGCATATGTAGCTCATTTTATGTCTCCTGAAGTGCCAGAGTCTTTCTATTAAAATGTTTAGCTAGGCCAGATTTGGTGGCTCATGCCTGTAATCCCAGCTCTTTGGGAGGCTGAGGCGGGAGGATTGTTTGAGACAAGGAGTTTGAGACCAGCCTAGGCAACATAGTGAGATTTCATCTCTACAAAAAATTTTTAAAATTTAGCCAGGTATGGTGGTGTGTCCCTGTAGTCCTGACTGTTTGGGAGTCTGAGGTGGGAGGATTGCTTGAGCCTAGGAGTTCGAGCTGTGGTGGGCTATGCCACTACACTCCAGCCTGGGTGACAGAGTAAGACACTGTCTTAAAAAATTTTTTTGGCTGGTCTGCCAGTCTGTCATTTGTCTCAACCAGAACTGCCACCTTAGGCTAGCACTGCTGTGGGTTACTAACTGGTTAGTTTATGGAAAAGTTGTGGAAGAAAGAATAAAGAACAAAAATACAAATGCTTTTATACCTAGATGTCCAGAAATAATTATAGACAATAAATTGATTCTAGTGCATCAACTTTGGTGCAAGATGCCCGCTCCTTTGTTGCATCTGTCAGGGTATATATTGGGTATTTTGGCATCCTTGAATTGTATACTAGGGTAAGGATCATAAGGGGAGATGGGAAGAGGAGTATGGATAGCTTCATATTTGGACCCAAGTTTGGAACTCTACTTTGATTACATAACAACAAAGAACATCTGTAAGAGGGAAGAACTAGCAGGGGGAATGAAGAGGTTTAGAGATCATCCAGGCCAGAAACTCCCCAGTTTGGTGTACCAGGAGAAAAAAAAAAAACAAGCATAGGGTTTTTAATTTTTCGTTTAGAGTTTTATGATTATTTGGTAAATTAGTTAAATGTATATCTAAGTTTTCTGGCTTTGAGTCTTTATTCTTTGTATTATGTCTGATAAAGACATAAGAAAAATACACATTTTTGTGGAACCATAAAAGTGTTGAAATGACCTAAAAGAATAATACTATCCTCCAATAATAACTTTCTGATATTACAATGTGATGTTATTATTGACAACCACTGAAACATCTGGCACTTGTTGAATTCCTAATATGTCTCTATTACTGTGATAAGTTCATTACAATTAAGCTATTGGTATTTTCATGTTTCTAAAAAAGGAAATTCCCTTCTTTATTAGGAAATGCATTGAGAGATTTAGTGGTTTGTCCAAGAGCTCTCTGATAGTAAGTACTAGAGGGATCCAAACTTGTATATATTTGAATTCGAAACCTGTGCTTTTAACCATCCTGCTGTATTGCTTCACATAATATAGGTGAAAATACCTAATCTTGTATCTGGCAGGTTTTAATATCTGTATTGAAATTACTTCATTATGCCTGGGTCACCCATTCTCTGCTTGAATATCTCCAGGGATGGGAAACTTACTCCTTCATGAAGTAGTCCTTTTCCTTATTTGACAGCTTCTGTTGTTAAAAAAGTTTTCTCACGTGGAACTGAACAGGTTTGGTTCTTGGGTACTCCCATAATGTTTGGCTTTTTAGATTTCCACAGAATAAGTCAACTATTTCTTCTGTATGAGAAAGCAAGTCATCTTTGGCTCTTTCTTTGCCAGGCTCAGTTTCAGCTATTTTTTTTTGTATAAATATATATATTTATTTTTTAAACTTCAATAGTTTTGGGGGAACAGGTGGTGTTTGGTTACATGCATAAGTTCTTTAGTGGTGATTTTGGAGTTTTGGTGCACCCATCACCCAAGCAGTATACACTGTTCCAACAGTGTATAGTCTTCCATTCCTCACCTGCCTCTTGCCCTTCCCTCTGAGTCCCCAAAGTCCATTGAATCATAGTTTCAACTATTTTATTGATTGATTGATTGATTGATTGATTGATTGATTGAGTGGAGTTTCGCTCTTTTTGCCCGGGCTGGAGTGCAATGGCGCGATCTTGGCTCACTGCAGCTTCTGCCTCCCAATTTCAAGTGATTCTTCTGCCTCAGCCTCCCGAGTAGCTGGGATTACAGGCATGCGCCACCATGCCTGGCTAATTTTGTGTTTTTAGTAGAGACGGGGCTTCACCAGGTTGGGCAGGCTGGTCTCAAACTCCAGACCTCAGGTGATGCGCCCACCTTGGGCTCCCAAAGTGCTGGGATTACAGGCGTGAGCTACTGCACCCGGCCAGTTTCAGCTATTTTAAAAGATCAACATTATTTTCCATATTTGTACTTTTCTTTGGACTTACTCTAGACTACCAGGATTCATCTGAGACTATTATAGCTGGAAATATGTAATACCACAAGCAGGATACTAATAACAAAAATA
This sequence comes from Homo sapiens, assembly GCF_000001405.40. Lineage (NCBI taxonomy): Eukaryota > Metazoa > Chordata > Mammalia > Primates > Hominidae > Homo > Homo sapiens. The sequence goes on along the minus strand of NC_000010.11, from coordinate 99,148,366 downwards.
ATTATAGGTACTCTTTATTGTGCTCTTATTGTATGCTTAGTGCAATGCCTTTTGTGTATCTGTACAATAACAGTAGCTAAAGAAATGTAATCTTAGAAAGGTGTTTTGTCTGCCACTTTTGTAACTAATAAGTGAATACCAAGCCAGGATTTGAACAGAGGTCTGCTTAACTCCAAACTCTTCACTGTGTTGCACTTGGGAGGCAAGGAATGTAGCACAGCTGTGTTGCCTTCTTTATTCTGCATGTTCTGGTTCTGTTAATTTAGACTAAGATTGCATTAATCATTTTGGCAGCAATATCATAGCACTGACTTATATTAAGCTGGTATTCAACTAAAGCCTACAAATCTTAGTAAGATCTTAAGTATATGAGCTTCTGTTTGGTCTGGCTTTCCCATCTTAAATCTTACATCATTAATTTTCAGTATAAATGTAGGATTTGTGTTCATGTCTTTACCTTCCATTTTTGGGATTTCAGCCTAAGTTTTTAGATTTCCAAGATAATTTTGAATTTTGAGTGTGTCATACATGATACTAACTCTTCCTCCAGATATATTACCATGTGCTTCTTTGATAAGTATCTTTGCTTTGTGTTTATCTAGTCATTGATACAATTTCAAGCAGATTAGAGTTGAATAAGGAATTCATACTTTTACTTTAGATACAGCATATCTATTTTTTTCCCTAAACATTTTTGAAATCTGCTTTTCTAAAGTTTAGGGCATACGTTTGGCCATGTTCATAGTTTTCCTTTCTGACTGTTATTAATATAAAGGTAATGTAGTTACTTTATTTCAAGGTTCTTGTTGGAATGATGTTGAGGATATCAGTTGTAATTGTTGCTTCTGCTGCATTCTGAGCAATATATTTATTAGATAGGAAATAGGGAGTTTAGTTGGTGTTCTACTCTTCAAATTAGACTTGTGTCAGAAGATATCAGGGTAATTGAAACTCTCCTTCACTTTTTATAGTATGTTTTGATACAAGTTTTATAATTTTTTCTGAGAAAGCATTCATATTTCTTTTCCACACGAACAGTCTATGGAATACCATTGTAACAGTATAACTCAGTTTTTCTTTTTAGTTCTTCCTTTTATTGTTTAATGTAATTCTACTCTTAAGCTCATGAGTTTCATATAGGAGCTCTGGAAAGAGCACTGAAATTGGCTTTGAACATCCCTGGATTTGAGCACTGACCAGGTTTTGTGAACTTGTGCAAGTCAAGCTTTGTGGACCTCAGTTTCGTCGTATTTAAGATAGAGGCAATAATAGTGTTCTTTATCATTTAGGATTATACAACAGGTTACAATTTTAAAAACAGTTAACTATTAATGACTTACATAAATAGTATATTTGTCTCATGACAAGAAATTAAGAGATAGGCAGTCTAGCACAGGTATGGTAGGTCAATAAAGACATTAGGGACTTAAGCTCTTTACATTTTTCTGTTCAACACTTTTAGTGTGTAATCCTTTACCCTCTTGCTTATTTTTATTTTTATTTTTTTTGATGGAGTCTCACTCTTTCACCCAGACTGGAGTGCAGTGGTACGATCTCGGCTCACTGCAACCTCCGCTTCCTGCGTTCAAGTAATTCTCCTGCCTCAGCCTCCTGAGTAGCTGGAACTACAGGCGTGTGCCACCACGCCCAGCTAATTTTTGTATTTTTAGTAGAGGTGGGGTTTCACCGTGTTGCCAGGCTGGTCTTGAACTCCTGACCTCAAGTAATCCACCTGCCTCAGCCTCCCAAAGTGCTGGGATTACAGGCGTGAGCCACTGTGCCCGACCCCTACTCTTGCTTCTTAACTCAAGGTTACAAAGTGGCTACTAGAACTCTGGGCTTCATGTCTATATTTTAGACATAGAGAATAGGAGGGACTAAAGGACTAAAGGGAAAAACTGAGTTTCTCTTAGTGAGGCTCTCTCTTTTAATCTGGCAAGGGAAGTCCCCCTTTAAGATGTCGGCCTGCAGCTCATTTTCCAGAACCATGTTACATAACTACCCTTTTCTGCAAGGAAAGCTGGGAAATTGTATAGTGTAGTTTTTCAGTCTCTATAATAGATGAAGCCAAGGGAGAAGGGATTGTGTTTAGGGTTTGGGTCAGCCAGTCAACAATGTCTGCCATTTACTTTGATAATATTTTTGGAAGGATCCAATGAGATGATGTAATCCAAAAAATTTTATAGAACGTAATTTATATAAATGTAAACTGCATTATTCCTCTTGACTTCTATTGGATTGTCTTAAAAGCTAGTATATTCTTGAACTTATTTATACAATTTTTGTATTTAAGTCTCAGAAAATCTGTGAGACTAGTTATTTGTTAAATGAGTTCATTTTATTACCCATATTCAAGAAATTGGTATATACATGTTTAGGCATAAATACTGCATAATTTCTACTCAGCTCTCCTGTTTTAATCTAAGAATTAGTGAGGACCATTTTCACATCTGGCTTATCTTTGTGTGCCACACATCCTAACTCTCATAGTCATGGGTTTGTATTTATACCTGGGCTTTTCTTTTAGAAATCTGAAAGAAAAGACTACTTCTCCAGAACAGTGTTTCACCCTTTTCACCATATGCCCTATTTTCTCTTAAGTGTCACTGAATATAGCTTTTCTTTTAGTACCATTAACATGGGCATTAGTTTTATTCTTTCCAAAATCATTGGTGTCAAAAGTGGCAAAGCAGTTATTTTTTAGCGCCTTCTATTAAAATTCTTCAGTTTTGTTATGCAAAACTTGAAAGTTTTTAGAGTTGCCACCTAGATTACTGCTGATGGTATCATTTGTACCTATGAGAATCAGTTGAATTATATTTTAATTTGTAAAAAATTAATAAATAACTTTAGGGCATAAGAGCTTCCTGCTAATTGGGAAGCATTCTTCTTCTTCTTTTTTTTTTTTTTTAAGACAGAGTCTCCCTCTATTGCCCAGGCTGGAGTGCAGTGGTGCAATCTCGGCTCACTGCAACCTCCACCTCCTGGTTCAAGTGATTCTCCTGCCTCAGCCTCCCAAATAGCTGGGACTACAGGTGTGTGCCACCACACCCGACTAGTTTTTTTGTATTTTTAGTAGATACAGGGTTTCACCATATTGGTCAGACTGGTCTTGAACTCCTGACATCGTGATCTGCCCGCCTTGGCCTCCCAAAGTGCTGGGATTACAGGCGTGAGCCACCACGCCTGGCTGAAGCATTCTGTATGAATTTTTCTTTTTGAGGAAGCTGTTTTCTGGAGACTATATCTGCTTTGAATGAAAATCATTCCGAAGTATAAAAAGCAGTATGGGAAAATAATTGGGGAAAAGGCAGATCTTCCATGACTCTAGACCTCCTGTGCTCTCTTCAGTGACTCAAAAAATATTTTTGGTTTGAAAGAATGATTATTAAGTCAGAATTAAACTATTTTACTCGAGGTACATGAAAAATAGCAGAAAAAACCATGACCAGGTAAGCCATAGATCGGCAGCTCTAACTTGAGCTGAGTAGGCTGGCTGGCAGGTGAATTTAAAAATAGACCAAGTATCCTAAATACACATGCTGGAGCTATCACCTGGTCCTGTAGCACGAGGTAGAGAGAATGACCTTCATAATTACCAGTATTCAAAATTGTATTATAATACTTTTTCCCATGGAAAACGGTAAGATATGTTAAGAAAAGGCCCCAGGAGGTAAACAAGTCCTGAAGGGCTGGGAAGGAGAATTGAGGAGTGAGAATCTTAAATGATGTCAGAAAGAGCTAAGAAACAGATAGATCTCCAAAGAATTTGGAAATGACCAGAGGAACTTTCAGGATGTGTCATGGAGTTGGAGAGCCTTCTGATTACTTCTGCATCTCTTTAGGTTGATGAAAATGCTGGTAGCTTATTAATTCTGTCATTTTGGGTGAAACAAGACTTTGATGATGTATTATTTTTTGTTTTGTTTTAGTTTTTGCTGCCTGCCTTCTTTCTTTCTTTTTGTAGACATTGTTCGAAGTGATGTTGCCTTAGATAAACAGAAAGGCTGCAAGATTGCCCAGCACCCTGATGTTATGCTGGAGCTCCAAAGGGAGAAGGCAGCTCAGATGCATCTGGTTCTTCTAAAGGAGCAATTCTCCAATACTTACAGTAATCTCATATTAACAGGTAAGGCTATTGGAGTTGGTTGAAATCTTAGAGCATTCAGTTAGTAACTTGTTTTTTGGGGTACACATCTGTCTGTCTACACCCACTATATCACTTTTTAAATTGTGATGACTTGTCTTTCTATTACAAATATTCCTTGTAGTTTGCAGATATATTTTGGTTTGAAGTTATGGGTGATTCAGCATGTGTTTTCTTCTCAAAACACAGAACTGATGAAAACCTATTGAAGCCTTTAAAAATACGACTTTCTAAATGTATGCCAGTAGATTTGAGAGAATTACTAAATTTGGTGTCTTTTAAGAAGCAGCTATTTTCCTCTTTCTGTGTATGCCCTTTCTATGAACCCAGTGAATATAAAGATGAAATGTAAAAGAGATAATGGTCTTCAGGCAGAGCAGAGAATGTTCTATTCTTGGTGGAGTTTGGAAATATCTGGGGAATTTGATTTTCTTCTTAAGAGCAAAGAGGCTATGAGACTGAGCCGTGCTCCCTTATATCCTTGATTCTAGGAGGAAAGTGAATATGTGTCAGAGCTACAAGGAGAATCAACTTTTTTCAAGGCTGCTTGCAGACTTGCTGGTAATGAGCAAATGAGCTGCATGGTTTTGTCAGGCTTTGGAAAAGATTATAATAGCAGAATCTTATGTGAGAATCATTAAGGATTTGAGATGAACTCAGAAGAGCAGTCCAAGTTACCTCCATTTTCTTGAGACCACATAAGGCAGACCTACGTTATAGTGATCCAAATAAACTTTAACAAATCAAAAGTATGTGTTTTCCCTTGTTTATGAATATTAAAAAAATAAAAAGATGGATTGTCTGACAGGCTATGAACATCTCACACTTATTTTTGTAAGCTCTAAGTTAGGAAAACTTTAACTTTTTTTTTTACAGACTTCTTGGCATGTCACCAGGAATTGCTGAGTGGCAACCAAATTGTTTTGCTTTTAGAAAAGCACAGGACTCTTCCAGCTTTTCATCTTGTACCTGGTGAAAAACCCAACAGCATGAGATGAAAGCCAGACTTAAATGTGGCTTTGGTGAGCAGAAAAGGGGATTATGGATTTCATAAGTATAGGCCCTGTTTTTTGCTCTTTGATAGGTCATTAAGAAGGGAAAACTTAAAAGTGATTTATGGCCAATGCATGTATTTCCCTAAATTGGTTAGTGAAATTGGGTTTAAGTTTAGATGTTTGGGAAGAGCATAGATGTTTCTTCAGGTTTTTTCAGTCAACCTCATATGTATTTGTGCATGTGTGTGTGTGTATAAATACGTGCGTGTGTGTGTGTAATATTTTCCAATTCAGTGAGTGGAAATGAAATATTTTTATTCCATCTTTATTCTAATATTTTTAGGCACTTATAAGAGGGGTCAGACCTTGTGTTCTTTAATGTGGTATAGAAAGGGCTTAGGGTAATTCTAACCCTAAACCGAGGCTCCAGAGTATGGCTTGAAGGCATATTATCTTTGAAAACACAAGTGTTCTATTGAGTTTAGTGGAATCTTTTCTAATTCTCAGTAACATAATCCCTTTGGATGTTTATTCGCAGTTCAAACTGTTGGAATCAACATTGTCAACTTTTACCCTGACAACTTGCTTACTTTCTACTAAACAAACTTACCCTAGAGAAGAGCCTCTTTCCTGCTCTCACTTCTCCTAAGCTGCTTCAAAGAGTCCTCAGGCATTTTCCACATTTTTCACCCAAATGCCTGTGCAGAGGTGGTACCTTGCTGCAGACAGAGCATTCTGCATGTCCTCATTTATTTACATGAAAGTTCAAAAGGTTTTGATTCCAGGTGTTGGGAAGAGATGGAGCCATTTCAGTTTAGCACCAATGGTAAAACTATTTTAATTTCCTTTAACTAAGTCTTTGATTTTACACAGTGTGGTTTTCTAATTGTTATGAAGTTTAATCCTTGATTTCTTGTATAAATCTTGAGAACATGGTCTCCAGACAGCTAAACATAATATTTAAACATAACTAAACTAACTTTTGTAAATATTTCCCTTTTCAGTGATGAATGTATATTGGTAAGGAGGGTGAGGTTGAAGGGGCAGGGACCTCTCAAATGAAGTGACTTTCTTTACCAGCACATTCAGAACACATAGTCCAGGATTTCTTTCTGTATAAGTCTGGCATAACCTTGAAATATCTGCAATGAAAGTATTTATGTGCGAACACAATGAGGAAACTGGGCCTCTGCAATCTCAGAAAGAGATCACTTTTTACATCCTTCTCCTCTACCCACCAGTTATTTATAGAATTTTATGTGTATGGGTGTATAGTAATTGTTTTCTGGTCAGTTACTGGTATATTCTTTATTTTAAAAATGGGACAACTAAGATATCAGTATAGTAACAAAAATTAAGTGATTCAAGTGTCAGATGGTTAAAAGCATGTTAAAAATGATAGTTGTTGAGTTCCACCTCACAAGCAAGTCCTCATTCTTTGATGTTCCACCTTTACCTGATGTGACTGTCAGCTGTTGATGGGAGAGGCATGCCTTCATATTCTGCATTACAGCTAATGATCCCTGTTAAACAGCCACTTATTTACTCCAGATAAGGGCAAATTGTATTCTAGCTTTGAAGGTCTTTTAACCATTTAATAAAAGAAAACAACTCTACAATTGTTAGTGATAGCCCAGTTAATGGAAATAATAAAAACTAATACAATTTAATATATATACTTCGTTGAAGTATTCCTTATTACATTGTATTTGTAGAAAAGTAGATTCTTTTAATATATTTTTGCATAGTTTTAAACTTGTCTTAATGTTTTCATGTCAATGGTTTATATGATACTGGAAATAATGTTAGCCTCACCTAGCCTAGAGGGTTTTTAAAGTAAACTCTAAGGTTACAGGGAGATGATGGAGTAATTCCAGTAGAGCATCAGTGATGGAACTGTTTTAAATGGTGATGAGTCATGTACTGCACTTTTCCCACTGACTCACCTATGGGGGCGTATATGTTTGTCCTGCAGTTTCTTGAGCTGGAGAGTGTTGTTATTGTGCATGTCACTCAAGGAGTGGCTAATGAGAGGGAGAATTGGGTAGGAGACTTTAAAAAAAGAACAGGAATCAGATGTGTTCTTTGTGCTCTCATGATTCTTAATACAACAATGCTCTATAAATTTGTTGAAAATGTTCTACTGTGTACATAAAGAATGAATTCATTAGAAGACTACTTTTTTTCTGAGACAGAGTCTTGCTCTGTCACCCAGGCTGGAGTGCAGTGGCACAATCTCGGCTCACTGCAAGCTCCGCCTCCTGGGTTCAAGCGATTCTTCTGCCTCAGCCTCCGGAGTAGCTGGGACCACAGGCAAATGCCACCACATCCGGCTAATTTTTGTATTTTTAGTAGAGATGGGGTTTCACCATATTGGCCAGGGTGGTCTCAAACTCCTGACCTTGTGATCCGCCCACCTCGGCCTCCCAGAGTGCTGGGATTAAAGGCGTGAGCCACCGCACCCAGCCAGAAGACTACTTTTTAGGTATAATATTGACGTGTATTAAATAACTTTTATGGGTTCGAATTCAGTTGTCTCCCTTAACCTTGCTCCCTCCCCTTGAGGTATAAATTGAACTTTTGAGGTAGATCCTTGTGCTGTAATCAAATGAAAAACATAAAAGTTAAGTCAACCTTATGGGGAAATAACATTTCTAGGATTTTGTTTAGAACATAAACTCCTAGAAGGCAAGGAATATCATATGTGTGCAGCATTCTGGATTGCATGTAAAGCATAGTGAATGATCCTGAAATGAGGTCAAATTTCTAAAAATTTATTTGTGTTGTGAAAGTCATCTAGTCAACTGTCTGTATCCAGACAGCTTGAAACTGTAGCCAATAATTATAGATGGATGGCATTACACAAGACACTTTCTAATATTCCTTTATGAGGATTCTTGTCATGTGTTGGCTGCCATTTTTGGTTTTCTACCTCTTCATTCAGTCATTAGACTCCAAACTGGACTGAGATTCCAATGGTTGGCTTTATAGTGTTACTGTGGCAAATAAATTAAGCAAAAGAGACTTCCACTTCCAGTTGTGGCCCATTCTATTAACTTCAATTGAGCAACAGTGTGCAAATCAGTGAAACAAGGACTGTTTTTTCAGTTAGCACAAACCATAATTATCTGGGGACTATTGCTACTTTATCAAAGTAAAATAATGTTTAAAAAAACACCTTGAAAAGTGATTATGTAGCATTGTGTGCTATTTATTTGCATGTTTATTAAAATACTATAGAGTGATGTGGATTATATCACCATTATTTTACTTTGTCTGATAAAGTTGGAAGCAAATGCCAGGGGGATAAAACCTGGTATTAAATAGTCTGCGATCCAGGAGTTTGGGTTGTGCTGTACATTCAGTCACACCCACCTGGGTTGATATTGATACACAAATGTATTTTCCTACAAAGCAGAAAGTAAATGAAGTAGATGGTTCCTTGTCTCCTGACACTAATGTAAAATGTGACTCTTCTAGAGGGCTAAAGATTGTATCACATGTATGTATATATATATCTTAAATTTTCTAGGGAAATTTTTCCATATAAAAATTTATAGACTAGCCCCTGCAATGGTGAAAGACATGTTTTACAACTAGCTGATAAATGAAATCCTTGTGTTCGTGCTTTATAAGTAATAAATATAGTAAACATCATAACTATTCAAGCACACTTGATGGGATTTATAGTGTAATTTTGAAGTAACACACATATATATATATATTTAACCTCTCTTTTCAGTTTTAGTTTTGTTTATTCATTAATTTTTATTATTTATTTATTTAAAATGTCAACAGCTTTAGGGGTACAAGTGGTTTTTGGTTTTATGGATGAATTGTATAGTGATGAAGTCTGAGTTTTTAGTGCACCCGTCACTTGAGTAGTGTACATTCTACCCAATATCTAGTTTTTTGTTTTTCTCCTTTCTCCCCCTTCTGCTTCTGAGTCTCCAGTGTCCATTATACCACTCTGTATGCCTTTGCAAACCCATAGCTTAGCTCTCTCTTATAAGTGAGAATATACATTATTTGGTTTTCCATTCCTGAGTTACTGCACTTAGAGTAATGGACTCCAGCTCCCTGGAAGTTGCTGAAAAAGACATCATTTTATTCTTTGTTATGGCTGAGTAGTATTTCATGGTATATATGTCCCATTTTCTTTATCCACTTATTGATTGATGGGCCCTTAGGGTGGTTCCAAATCTTTACAATTGTAAATTGTGCTGCAATAAACATATATGTGAAGGTGTCTTTTTGATATAGTGGCTTCTTTTCCTTTAGGTAGATACCCAGTAGTGAGATTGTTGGATTGCATACCTTTAGCCTCTTTTAAAAAAATGATTAATTTCTGGGGTACATGTGCAGAACATGCAGTTTTGTTACATAGATATACACATGCCATGGCGGCTTGCTCCACCCATCAACCTGTCACCTACATTAGGTATTTCTCCTAATGTTATCCCTCCCCTAGCCCCCCATCGCCCAAAAGGCCCTGGTGTGTGATGTTCCCATCCCTATGTCCATGTGTTGTCATTGTTCAACTCCCACTTATGAGTGAGAACATGCGGTGTTTGGTTTTCTGTTCTTGTGATAGTTTTCTGAGAATGATGGTTTCCAGCTTCATCCATGTCCCTGCAAAGGACATGAACTCATCCTTTTTTTATGGCTGCATAGTATTCCATGGTGTATATGTGCCACATTTTCTTTATACAGTCTATTATGGATGGACAATTGGGTTGGTTCCAAGTCTTTCCTATTGTAAATAGTGCCACAATAAACATGTGTGTGCATGTGTCTTTATAGTAGAATGATTTATAATCCTTTGGGTATATACCCAGTAATGGGATTGCTGGGTCAAATGGTGTTTCTGGTTCTAGATCCTTGAGGAATTGCCACACTGTCTTCCACAATGGTTGAACTAATTTACACTCCCACCAACAGTGTAAAAGCATTCCTATTTCTCCATATTCTCTCCAGCATTTCTTGTTTCCTGACTTTTCAATGATCACCATTCTAACTGGCGTGAGATGGTATCCCATTGTGGTTTTGATTTGCATTTCTCCAATGACCAGTGATGATGAGCATTTTTTCATATGTCTGTTAGCTGCATAAATGTCTTCTTTTGAGAAGTGTCTGTTCATATTCTTTGCCTACTTTTTGATGGGGTTGTTTGTTTTTTCTTGTAAATTTGTTTAAGTTCTTTGTAGATTCTGGATGTTAGCCCTTTGTCAGATGGATAGATTGCAAAAATTTTCTCCCGTTCTGTAGGTTGCCTGTTCACTTTGATAATAGTTTCTTTTGCTGTGCAGAAGCTCTTGAGTTTAATTGGATCCCATTTGTCAATTTTGGTTTTTGTTGCCAGTGCTTTTCGTGTTTTAGACATGAAGTCTTTGCCCATGCCTACGTCCTGAATGGTATTGCCCAGGTTTTCTTCTAGGATTTTTAAGGTCCCAGGTCTTACATTTAAGTATTTGTTCCATCTTGAGTTGATTTTTGTATAAGGTGTAAGTAAGGGGTCCAGTTTCAGTTTTATGCATATGGCTAGCCAGTTTTCCCAACATTTATTAAATAGGGAATCTTTTCCCCATTGCTTGTTTGTGTCAGGTTTGTTAAAGATCAGATGGTTGTAGATGTGTGGTGTTATTTCTGAGGCCTCTGTTCTTTTCCATTGGTCTATATATCTGTTTTGGTACCAGTACCATGCTGTTTTGGTTACTGTAGCCTTGTAGTATAATTTGAAGTCAGGTAGCATGATGCCTCCAGCTTTGTTCTTGTTGCTCAGGATTGTCTTAGCCCTGTGGGCTCTTTTTTGGTTTCATATGCAGTTTAAAGTAGTTTTTTCCAATTCTGTGAAGAAAGTCAGTGGTAGCTTGATGGGGATATAGCATTGAATCTATAAATTACTTTGGGCAGTATGGCCATTTTCACGATATTGATTCTTCCTATCCATAAGCATGGAATGTTTTTCCATTTGTTTGTGTCGTCTTTTATTTCACTGAGCAGTGGTTTGTAGTTCTCCTTGAAGAGGTACTTCACATCCCTTGTAAGTTGGACTCCTAGGTATTTTATTCTCTTAGTAGCAATTGTGAATGGGAGTTCATTCATGATTTGGCTCTCTGTTTGTCTATTATTGGTGTATAGGAATGCTTGTGATTTTTGCACATTGATTTTGTATCCTGAGACCTTACTGAAGTTGCTTATCAGCTTAAGGAGATTTTGGGCTGAGAAGATGGGGTTTTCTAAATATACAATCATGTCATCTGCAAACAGAGACAATTTGACTTCCTCTCTTCCTATTTGAATACGCTTTATTTCTTTCTTTTGCCTGATTGTCCTAGCCAGAACTTCCAATAGTATGTTGAGTAGGAGTGGTTAGAGAGGGCTTCCTTGTCTTTCGCTGGTTTTCAAAGGGAATACTTCTAGTTTTTGCCCATTCAGTATGATATTGGTTGTGGATTTGTCATAAGTAGCTCTTATTATTTTGAGATATGTTCCATCAATACCCAGTTTATTGAGAGATTTTAGCATGAAGGGGTGTTGAATTTTGTCAAAGGCCTTTTCTGCATCTATTGAGATAATCATGTGGTTTTTGTGATTGGTTCTGTTCATGTGGTGGATTACGTTTATTGATTTGCGTATGTTGAACCAGCCTTGCATCCCAGGGATGAAGCCGACTTGATCGTGGTGGATAAGCTTTTGGATGTGCTGCTGGATTCGGTTTGCCAGTATTTTATTGAGGATTTTCGCATCGATGTTCATCAGGGATATTGGCCTGAAATTTTCTTTTTTTGTTGTGTCTCTGCCAGGCTTTGGTATCAGGATGATGCTGGGCTCATAAAATGAGTTAGGGAGGATTCCCTCTTTTTCTGTTGTTTGGAGTAGTTTCAGAAGGAATGGTACCTGTTCCTCTTTGTACCTCTGGTAGAATTCGGCTGTGAATCTGTCTGGTCCTCAACGTTTTTTTGGTTGGTAGGCTATTAATTACTGCTTCAATTTCCGAACTTATTATTGGTTTTTTCAGAGATTCGACTTCTTCCTGGTTTAGACTTGGGAGGGTGTATGTGTCTAGGAATTTATCCATTTCTTCTAGATTTTCCAGTTTATTTGCGTAGAGGTGTTTATAATATTCTCTGATGGTAGTTCGTATTTCTGTGGGATCGGTGGTGATATCACCTATATCATTTTTTATTGTGCCTATTTGATTCTTCTCTCTTTTTTTCTGTATTAGCCTGGCTAGTGGTCTATGTATTTTGTTGATGTTTTCAAAAAACAGCTCCTGGATTCATTGATTTTTTGAAGGGTTTTTCATGTCTCTATCTCCCTCAGTTCTGCTCTGGTCTTGGTTATTACTTGTCTTCCCTTAAATTTTGAATTTGTTTGCTGTTGCTTCTCTAATTCTTTTAATTTTGATGTTAAAATTAAAAGAATTAAATATTAAATTAAAAGAATTTAAATTGTTTTAATTTTTTATCTTTCCTGCTTTCTCTTGTGGGCATTTAGTGTTATAAATTTCTCTGTACACACTGCTTTAAATGTGTCCCAGAGATTCTGGTATGTTGTGTCTTCGTTCTCATTGGTTTCAAAGAATGTCTTTACTTCTGCCTTCATTTAGTTATTTACCCAGTAGTCATTCAGGAGCAGGTTGTTTAGTTTCCATGTAGTTGTGAGTGAGTTTCTTAATCCTGAGTTCTAGTTTGATTGCACTGTGGTCTGAGAGACTGTTTGTTATGATTTCTGTTCTTTTGCATCTGCTGAGGAGTGTTTTACTTCCAATTATGTGGTCAATTTTAGAATAAGTGTGATGTGGTGCTGAGAATGATGTATATTCTGTTGATTTGGGGTGGAGAGTTCTGGAGATGTCTATTAGGTCTTCTTGGCCCAGAGCTGAATTCAAGTCCTGAATATCTTTGTTAATTTTCTGTCTCATTGATCTGTCTAATATTGACAGTGGGGTGTTAAAGTCTCCCGACTGTTATTGTGTGGGAGTCTACATCTCTTTGTAGGTCTCTAAGAACTTGCTGAGTGTTCTTGTATTGGGTGCATATATATTTAGGATAGTTAACTCTTCTTGCTGCATTGATCCATTTACCATTACATAATGCTCTTCCTTGTCTCTTTTGATCTTTGTTGGTTTAAAGTCTGTTTCATCAGAGATTAAGATCGCAACTCCTGTTTTTTTTTGCTTTCCATTTCCTTGGTAAATATTCCTCCATCCGTTTATTTTGAGACTATGTGTGTCTTTGCAGGTGGGCTGGGTCTCCTGAATACAGCACACTGATGGATCTTGACTCTTTATCCAATTTGCCAGTCTGTGTCTTTTAATTGGGGCATTTAGTCTGTTTACATTTAAGGTTAATATTGTTATGTGTGAATTTGATCCTGTCATGATGCTAGCTGGTTGTTTTGCCCATTAGTTGATGCAGTTTCTTCATAGTGTTGATGCTCTTACAATTTGGTATGTTTTTGCCGTGGCTGATACCAGTTGTTCCTTTCCAGATTTAGTGTTTCCTTCAGGAGCTCTTGTAAGGCAAGCCTGGTGGTGACAAAATCTCTCATCATTTACTTGTCTGTAATGGATTTTATTTCTCCTTCACTTATGAAACTTAGTTTGGTTGGTTATGAAATTCTGGGTTGAAAATTCTTTTCTTTAAGAATGTTGAATATTGGCCCCATTCTTTTCTGGCTTGTAGGGTTTCTGCAGAGAGATCCACTGTTAGTCTGATGGGCTTCCCTTTGTGGGTAACCCGAACTTTCTCTCTGGCTGTGCTTAACATTTTTTCCTGCATTTCAACCTTGGTGAATCTGACGATAATGTGTCTTGGGGTTGCTCTTCTCAAGGAGCATCTTTGTAGTGTTCTCTGCATTTCCTGATTTTGAATGTTGTGCTGTCTTGCTAGGTTGGGGAGGTTCTCCTGGATAATATCCCGAAGAGTGTTTTCCAACTTGGCTCCATTCTCCTCATCGCTTTCAGGTACACCAATTAGATGTAGATTTGGTCTTTTTCACATAGTCCCATATTTCTTGGAGGCTTTTTCTGTTCCTTTTTATTCTTTTTTCTCTAATCTTGTCTTCTCTATTTCATTAAGTTGATCTTCAATTACTGATACCCTTTCTTTCGCTTGATCGATTCAGCTATTGAAACTTGTGTATGCTTCACGAAGTTCTTGTGCTGTGTTTTTCAGCTCCATCAGGTCATTTATGTTCTTTTCTCAGCTGATTATTCTAGTTAGCAATTCGTCTAACCTTTTTTCAAGGTTCTTAGCTTCCTTACATGGGGTTAGAACATGCTCCTTTAGCTCAGAGGAGTTTGCTGTTACCCACCTTCTGAAGCCTACTTCTGTCGATCTGTCAAACTCATTCTCCATCTAGTTTTGTTCCCTTGCTGGAGAGGAGTTGTGATCCTTTGGAGGAGAAGCAGCATTCTGGTTTTTGGAATTTTCAGCCTTTTTGCACTGGTTTCTCCCCATCTTTGTGGATTTATCTACCTTTGGTCTTTGATGTTGGTGACCTTTGGATGGGGTCTTTGAGTGGATGTGCTATTTTTTTCTATTTGTTAGTGTTCTTTCTGACAGTCAGGCCCCTCTGCTGCTGGTCTGCTGGAGTTTGCTGGAGGCCCACTCCTGACTGTGTTTGCCTGGGTATCACCAGCAGAGGCTGCAGAACAGCAAAGATTGCTGTCTGATCTTTCCTCTGGAAGCTTCTTCCCAGAGGGGAACCTGCCAAATGCCAACCAGAGCTCTCCTGTATGAGGTGTCCGTTAGCCCCTACTGGGAGGTGTCTCCCAGTCAGGATACATAGAGGTCAGGGACCCACTTGAGGCGGCAGTCTGACCCTTAGCAGAGCTCGAATGCTGTGCTGGGAGGTCTGCTGCTCTCTTCAGAGCCATCAGGCAGGGACATTTAAGTTTGCGGAAACTGCACCCACAGCTGCCCCTTTCCCCAGGTGCTCTGTCCCAGGGAGATGGGGGTTTTATCTATAAGTCCCTGACTGGGGCTGCTGCCTTTTTTTCAGACATGCCCTGCCCAGAGAAGGGAAATCTGGCAGTCTGGCCACAGCAACCATGCTGAGCTGCAGTGGGCTCCGCCCAGTTTGAACTTTTCAGAGGCTTTGTTTACATTGTGAGCATAAAACCGCCTACTCAAGCTTCAACAATGGTAGACGCCCCTCACCTCACCAAGCTCATGCATCCCAGGTCAATCTCAGACTGCTGGTGTGCTGGCAGTGAGATTTTCAAGCCAGTGGATCTTAGTTTGCTGGGCTCTGTGGGGGTGGGACCCTCTGAGCCAGACCACTTGGCTCCCTGGCTTCAGCACCCCTTTCCAGGGGAGTGAACAGTTCTGTCTCGCTGGCGTTTCAGGCACCATTGGGGTATGGAAAAAAATAACTCCTGCACCTAATTCGTTATCTGCCCAAATGGCCACCCAGTTTTGTGCTTGAAACTTAGGGCACTGGTGGGGTAGGGACCGGAGGGAATCTCCTGGTTTGCGGGTGTTGAAAACCGTGGGACAAATGCAGTGTCTGTGCCTGAGTTCCTCAGGCTCAGTCCCTCACAGCTTCCCTTGGGTGGGGGAGAAAATTCTCTGACCCCTTGTGCTTCCTGGGTGAGGCGACACCCCACCCTCCTTCGTCTTGCTCTCCATGGGCTGCACCTACTATCCAACCAGACCCAATGCGATGAACCAGGTACCTCAGTTGGAAATGCAGAAATCACCTGCCTTCTGCATCGATCTCGCTGGGAGATGCAGACTGGAGCTTCTCCTATTCGGCCATCTTGCCAGCAATCCCCCATTCAGCCTCTTTTAAATGATTCTTGTGATTCTGGATTTCAGGCTTCTTGAATCAATATCAAAGAGTTCATTTTTTACATTTTATTAATTTTACTTCAATAGTTTTTCGGGAACAGGTGGTTTTTGGTTACATGCATAAATTCTTTACTGGTAATTTCTTTTCTTTCTTTCTTTCTTTCTTTCTTTCTTTCTTTCTCTCTCTCTCTCTCTCTCTCTCTCTCTCTCTCTCTCTCTCTCTCTCTCTCTTTCTTTCTTTCTTTCTTTCTTTCTTTCTTTCTTTCTTTCTTTCTTCCTTTCTTTCTTTCCTTTCTTTCTTTTCTTTTTTAAGACGGAATTTCCCTGTTGTTGCCCAGGCTGGAGTGCAATGGCACAATCTTGGCTCTCTGCAACCTCTGCCTCCCAGGTTCAAGTGATTCTCTTGCTTCAGCCTCCTGAGTAGCTGGGATTACAAGCATGTGCCACCACATCTGGCTAATTTTTAAATTTTTAGTAGAGATGGGGTTTCATCATGTTGGCCAGGCTAGTCTTGAACTCCTGCCCTCAGGTGATCCTCCTGCCTCGGCCTCCCAAAGTGCTGGGAATACAGACATGAGCCACTGTACCCGGCCTTTAGTTGTGATTTCTGAGATTTTGGTGCACTCATCACCCAAGCAGTGTACACTGTAATCAGTGTGTCATCTTTTATCCCTCTCCAACTCTGAGTCTCCAAAGTCCATTGTATCATTCTTATGCCTTTGCATCCTCATAACTTAGTTCCAACTTATGAGTGAGAACATACAATGTTTGGTTTTCCAATCCCTGAGTTACTTCACTTACAATAATGGTCTCCAGTTCCATCCAAGTTGCTGCAAATGGTCTTATTTCTTTCCTTTTTATGGCTGAGTAGTATTCCATGGTGTGCATGTGTGTTTGTTTCTGTATATGTGTATATACATATATATATATACACATATATAAATATATATCACATTTTCTTTATCTACTTGTTGGTTGTTGAGCGTTTAGTCTAGTTCTGTATTTTTGCAATTGCAAATTGTGCTGCTATAAAATGCATGTGCAAGTGTGTTTTTCAAATAATGACTTCCTTTCCTCTGGGTAGATACCCAATAGTGGGATTGCTGGATCAAATGGTAGTTCTGCTTTTAGTTCTTTAAGGAATCTTCATACTGTTTTCCATAGTGGTTGTGTTTTCCCTGTTCAGTATGATGTTCACTGTGAGTTTGTCATAGATGGCTTTTATTACATTGAGGTATGTGCCTTCTATGTTGATTTTGCTGAGGGTGTTTTAATCATAAAGGGATGCTGGATTTCCTCAGCTGCTTTTTCTGTATCTATTGAGATGATCATATGATTTTTGTTTTTAATTCTGTTTATGTGATGCATCACATTTATTGACTTTGTAATGCCCAACCTGGTTTTTACTAACTCTGTTTTTAGACTCTCCCTTTTCCTTTAATCACCTAGCCTTGTTTCCACCTGAATTGACTCTCCCTTAGCTAAGAGAGCCAGACAGACTCCATCTTGGCTCTTTCACTGGCAGCCCCTTCCTCAAGGACTTAACTTGTGCAAGCTGACTCCCAGCACATCCAAGAATGCAATTAGCTGATAAGATACTGTGGCAAGCTATATCCACAGTTTCCAGGAATTTGTCCGATTGATAACTCCCAAAGCCCCGGGTCTGTCACCTTGTAATAGTCTTAAGGCCCCTGCACCTGGAACTGTTTACTTTCCTGTAACCATTTATCCTTTTAACTTTTTGACTACTTTACTTCTGTAAAATTGTTTTAACTAGACGCCCCCCTCCCCTTCCTAAACCAAGGTATAAAAGTTAATCAAGCCCCTTCCTTGGGGCCAAGAGAATTTTGAGCGTTAGCCGTCTCTTGGTTGCTGGCTAATAAAGGACTCTTAATTCATCTCAAAGTGTGGCCTTTTTCTAACTTGCTCAGGTACAACAACTTGTGTATGTTAAACCATCTCTGCATCTCTGGTGTGAAACCCACTTGATCATAGTGTATTATATTTTTGATATGCTGTTGTATTTGGTTAGCTAGTATTTTTTTTGAGGATTTTTGGATCTATGTTCATCAGGGATATTGGTCTGCAGTTTTTTGTTTTTGTTATGTCCTTTCTTGGTTTTGGTATGAAGGTGATACTGGCTTCATAGAATGATTAAGGAAGGGAACCTCTTTCTTTATCTTGTGGAATAGTGTCAGTAGGATTGCTACCAATTATTTCAATGTTCAATAGAATTCAGCTGAGAATCCATCTTCTCCTGGACTTTTTTTTTTGTTGGCAATTTTTAAATTACCATTTCAATCTCACTACTTGTTATTGGTCTGTTTAGAGTTTCTGTTTCTTTCTGATTTAATCTAGGAGGGTTGTAGACTTCCAGGAATTTATCCATGTCCTGTAAATTTTCTAGTTTGTGCACGTAAAGGTGTTCCTGGTAGCCTTGAATTATCTTTTGCATTTCTGTGGTATTGGCTGTAATATCTCCCATCCCATTTCTAATTGAGCTTATTAGGATCTTCTCTCTTCTTTTCTTGGTTAATCTCACTAATGATGTATCAATTTTGTTTATCTCTTCAAAGAACCAGCTTTTTGTTTCTTTTATCTTTTTTTTTTTTTGGTTTCAATTTCATGTAATTCTTCTCTGATCTTGATTTCTTTTCTTCTGCTTGGTTTGGGTTTGGTTTGTTCTTGTTTCTCTAGTTCCTTGAAGTATGATCTTAGATTGTTTATTTGTACTCTTTCAGACTTTTTCATGTAGGCATTTGATGCTATGAACTTTCCTCTTAGCATTGCTTTAGCTGTATCCCGGAGGTTTTGAGAAGTTGAATCACGGTTATGATTCAGTTCAAAGAATTAAAAAAATTTCCGTCTTGATTTCATTGTTGACCCAAAGATCATTCAAGAGCAGATTATTTAATTTCCATGTATTTGTATAGTTCTGAGGGTTTCTTTTGGAGTTAATTTCTAGTTTTATTCACTGTGTTCTGAGAGGATACTTGATATAATTTCAATTTTTAAAAAATGTATTGAGACTTGTTTTGTGACATATATGGTCTATCTTGGTGCATATTCTATGTGCTGATGAAAAGAATGTATATTCTACAGATGTTGAGTAGAATGTTCTGTAAATATCTGCTAAGTCCATTTGTTCTAGGTTATAGTTTAAGTCCCTTGTTTCTTTGTTGTCTTTCTGTATTGATGACCTGTCTAGTGCTGTCAGTGAAATATTGAAGTCCCCCACCATTATTGTGTTGCTGTGTATCTCATTTCATTGTTTTATAAATTTGGGAGCTCCAGTGTTAGGTTCATATATATTTAAGATTGTGATATTTTCCTGTTGGACTGATCCTTTTAGCTTTGTGTAATGTCCCTCTTTGTCTTTTTAAACTGTTGTTGCTTTTAAGTCTGTTTTTTCCGATATAAGAGTAGCTACTCCTGTTCACTTTTGGTGTCCGTTTGCATGGGATATCTTTTTTTCACTCTTTTACCTTAAGTTGATGTGAGTTGTTATGTGTTAGGTGAGTCTCTTGAAGACAGCAGATACTTGGTTGGTGGATTTTTTTTTAAAAAATGAAATTAAATTTTATTTTAAGTTCTGGGATACATGTGCAGGATATGAATATTTGTTACATAGGTAAACATGTGCTATGGTGGTTTGCTGCGCCTATCAACCCATCACCTAGGTATTAAGCCCAGCATGCATTAGCTATTTTTCCTAATGCTTTTCTTCCCCTTGCCACATCCCCCAGCAGGCCCCAGTATGTGTTGTTTCCCTCCCTGTTCCAGGTGTTCTCACTGTTTAGGTCCCACTTATAAGTGAGAACATATGGTGTTTGGTTTTCTATTCCTTTGTTAGTTTGCTGAGGATAATGGCTTCCAGGTTCATCCATGTCCCTACAAAGGACATGATCTCATTCCTTTTTATGGCTGCATCGTATTCCATGGTGTATCTTCTGTACCACATTTTCTTTATTCAGTCTATCATTGATGGGTATTTTGGTTGATTCCATGTCTTTGCTATTGTGAATAGTGCTGGAATGAACATATGCATACATATATCTTTGTAATATAATAATTTATATTCCTTTGGGTATATACCCTGTAATGGGATTGTTGAGTCAAATGGTATTTCTGGTTCTAGGTCTTTAAGGAATTGCCACATCATCTTCCGCTATGGTTGAACTAACTTACATTCCCAGTTTGGTGGATTTTTATCCATTCTGCCATTCTATATCTTTTAAGTGGAGCATTTAGGCCATTTACATTCAACATTAGTATTGAGATATGAGGTATTGTTCTGTTCTGTATTCTAATTGTTGCCTGAATACCTTGTGTTTTTTTCCCCATTGTGTTATTGTTTTATAGACCCTATGAGATTTATGCTTTAAGGAAGTTCTATTTTGGTGTATTTTAAGGTTTTGTTTCAAGATTTAGAACTCCTTTTCGCATTTCTTGTAGTGCTGGCTTGGTAGTGGTGAATTCTCTCAGCATTTGTCTGAAAAAGACTTTATCTGTCCTTCATTTAAGAAGCTTAGTTTTGTTGGATACAAAATTGTTGGCTGACAATTATTTTGTTTCAGGAGGCTAAAGATAATACTCCAATCCCTTCTGGCTTGTAGGGTTTCTGCTGAGAATTCTGTTAATCTTATAGGTTTTTCTGTATAGTTTACCTGATGCTTTTGTCTCACAGGTCTTAAGATTCTTTCCTGTGTCTTGATTATAGATAACTTGATGACTATGTGCCTAGGTGATGATCTTTTTGCAATGAATTCCTCAGATGTTCTTTGAGCTTCTAGTATTTAGTTGTCTAGATCTCTAGCAAGGCCAGGGAAGTTTTCTCCAATTAGTCCCTCAAATAAGTTTTCCAAACTTTTAGATTTCTCTTCTTCCTTAGGAACACCAGTTATTCTTAGGTTTGTCTGTTTGACATAATTTCAAATTTCTTGGAAGCTTTGTTCATTTTTCTCAAATTCTTTTTTCTTAGTCTTTGTCCGATTGGGTTAATTCGAAAGCCTCTTTGAGCTCTGAAGTTCTTTCTTCTACTTGTTCTAGTCGATTGTTGAAACTTTCCAGTGCATTTTGTATTTCTCTAAGTGTGTCTTTCATTTCCAGAAGTTGTGATTGTTTTTCTTTATGATATCTATTTCTCTGAAGCATTTTTAATCCATATTCCATATTGTTCTTTTCATTTCTTTAAGTTAGTTCTCTCATTTCTCTGGTATCTCCTTGAGTAGCTTAATAATCAATCCCCTGAATTGCTTATCAGGCAATTCAGAATTCTTCTTGGTTTGGATCCATTGCTGGGGAGCTAGTGTGATCTTTTCAGGGTATTATAGAGCCCTGTTTTATCATATTACCAGAATTGTTTTTCTGGTTCCTTCTCATTTGGGTAGACTATGTCAGAGGGAAGATCTGGGACTCAAGAGCTGCTGTTCAGTTTCTTTTGTCCCATGGTGTGATCCCTTCATGTGGTGCTCTTCCCCTTCCCCTAGGGATGGGGCTTTCTGGGAGCCAGACTGCAATGATCATTATTGCCCTTCTGGGTCTCGCTATCAAGTGGGGCTCCCAGGCTCCAAGCTGGTTCTGGGGAATGTCTGCAAAGAGTCCTATGATGTGATCCATCTTCAGGTCTCAGCCATGGATACTAGTGTCTGCTGTGGTGGAGGTGGCAGGGGAGTAAACTAGACTGTGTCAGGGTCCTTAGTTGTAGCTATGTTTAGTGTGCTGGCTTTCTTGAATGATGGATTATGCTAGCAGTAAAGTTGTCATGTGTAGAGACTCAGAACCTCTGGTTAGCCAGGATGTTGCAGGCAGTAGAATTACCTGTTGTTTCCTTATTCTTGGGGGAGCAGGGTTATTCTGTCATGAGTTGTTGTAATGGCCTGAGTTGGTTGACCTCCAGCCAGAAGGTGGCACTTTCAAGAGAGCACCAGCTGCAACAGTAGTAAGGAGATCTACGCTTGCCATACATTGGCCAGGGTAACTATTCTGGTTTCCCAGGCGATGGGTGGGGCCATAAAGCTTGGATGAGCTGTCTTTTCTGTTCAGCTACTAGGGCAGGTAGTGAAATACCATCAGGTTGGGGCAGGGTTAGGTGAGTCTGGGCTCAGACTTGGGCAAGGCTTGCTGCGGCCACTGTGGGGGATTGGTTGTGGTTCTCAGGCCAATGGGGTTATATTCCAGAGGGGATTATGGCTGCCTCTGCTGTGTCACATAGTTCACCAGGGAAGTGGGGGCATAGCTGGTAGCAAAAGGCCTCACTCAGCTCCCACACAGTTGGTAAGGCTGGTCTTGTTCCTGCAGTGCCTCACTCAGACCTTGCACCAGGTCGTAAGCTTCCCTGCTGAGAAAGCAAGCACAGATTTCAGGCCCTGCCCCTCCCATCTGCTCACACTGTCATCACCAGCTCCTGTGCTCGTTATCTGCAGCAGTCCCCATTCGCCTCCTGGATTCTGCTCATGAAAATTCACTCCCAGTCAAAATTATTACAGATTTCAGTTGGAAGCTTCTTTCACCCTGTAGCCCCTCCCTAATTCTACTTGCTGCCTTCTCTAGGGACCCTTGAGAGATAAGTTAGGGATGACTTCCTTGGGCTCGAGCTAAAGACTAGGAGTGCCTACAAGGCTCTTCCCACTGTTGGTTCTACTTCTGTATTTTGCATGGTTCCCTAAATCCATTTCAACTATAGGTAAGGTTAAATCTTTCTCCTGTGATCTGGATTTTCAGATTCCCCATTGGGGATGTGTGTTCAGAGGCATGTTTTCCCCCTCTCACGCTTTGGGAACTCACAGTTTTTTGCCTGTGATGGAGAATTTGCAGTGGCATGCCACTTCTTTCAAAGGATCAGTGAATTCTTTCAGTTTTCCTAGTACGTTCCCATGGTGGTTCTTGGAGCAAAAGTTCACAGTGTGAATCTCCACATGCTGTTCTGTCCATGCCAGTGGGAACTGTGTATTAACCCAGTATCCAATCTGCCGTCTTCCTTAGCTATCTCAGCTTCCTAATATTATAGTCTAGGAGCCAGGGGATTAGATAGAGTCTGAGCAGTGGCCTCTCCCATGCCATAAAGAAAAGTTCAAAATTAAATTTTTATCATGGAAGGACCAATCGTAGACACAGTCTCTGCATGATTCACTCTCCAGGTAGTGTAGCAGAGTTCATTTTGAAGTATGGTTTAAAATACATGAATTTTCAGGATTTTTATCCAGAGCAGTGATTCTTAGGTTTGGGAGCGTAAAGCTTTCCTTATTAGGGATCAGGAGAGGAAGTTTTTGTGTGTGTGTAATGAAGAGGTTTTATAGCTATTTTCTGCCTGATTGGGGGCATGGGTAATCAAAATACCCCGATTCAACTTTCAACAGCATTTGCTGAGTGCTTACTGTATACCACTATCTTCTGCTGCTACTCACAATACTGTACTATGTCATCTTTTGGGACACTCCATTATTAGACTTCCCTTATGCTATTGATGGCAGTGGCAGCCCATATGGAGTGGCTGCTGTGAAGATGCCAGCTGCAGTTTGGGAGGCACAGCCAGGGCTGCACACTCCATGGAGCTGGCAGGAGCCCCACTCCATTTTGAGTTGGCACAGTGGGAGCCCCATCTTTCCAGACAAAGCTGAAGCTGCCCAGTGATGGCTGCGGACCCAGGGATCTCTGCACTCTCAAATGCCAGGGAAGCTCCTCTGCCCCAGCAGGCTCGGAAGTGCCTACTCCTGCTGTCTGGCCTTGCCATGCTTCTGGTGCCTGCACCAATTTTGGAGCAAAGTTGAGGCCAAGCCTGGGTACTGTTGCAACCTGGCTGGGTTGGCATGTGCTTGGGGCAGTGCTGACACACCAGTCCCCTGCTGCCTTGGCCCCCTCTGGACTTTGGGTGCCAACAAACACAGGAGGGAGCCTGAGGGAGGGGCTGAGGGTGGCTCAGCACAGGCCTGCAGGCACCTCTTGGCACTAACAGCCTGGGAGTTGTGGACATGATTAATGGTGGCAGGAGGCAGACAGGCTTCTGGGCAGAAAGTGGTGGGTATCTGGTGAAGCCCCACCTTCAAGCCAGGAATTGCCTGAAGCATGGGGGCCAGGCTGTGAGTTCTGGCTGGAGTCTGAGGACCAGAGTGAGAACTTACGGTCCTTTTTCCGGGCCCACCCATAGCCACCCATGGACCAAATCAGTACACACTTTCTCCCTTCTAAGCCCGTAAAAACCCTGGACTCAGTCAGACTCAGGCAGAAATCAGGATGACCTGCCTGCAGGTATGAGCCACCCACTCCAGGTCTCCTCTCCACTGAGGACTGCAGAATCAATGGGACAACCTGCCTCAGTGCCCAGGCGCAGCCTCAACTTTGCTCTGAAATTGGATAGGAGCTACCCACTCCATGTCCCCTTTTTGCTGAAGGCTGCACAGACGTCAGGACAACCTGCCTACGGATAGGAGCTACCCACTCTGGGTCTCCTCTCTGCTGAGAACTGCACACTCATCAGGATGACTTGTCTGCAGATAGGAGCTACCCACTCTGGGTCTCCTCTCCACTGAGAGCTGCACAATTGTCAGGACGACCTGCCTGTGGATATGAGCTACCCACTGAAGGTCTCCTCTTCACTGAGGGCTGCAAACTTGACAGGATCACTTGCCTGTGACTAGGACTGCTCACTATGGGTCTCCTTGCCACTGACAGCTGTACTCATCAGAACCACCTGCCTGTAGAAAGGAGCTACCCACCTTGGATCTCCTGAGAGCTGTATAGTCACTCAATAAAGCAACTCTTTGCCTTGCTCACCCCTAGTTTTCCATGTACCTCATTATTCCTGGACACAGGACAAGAACTCAATGGTGGGACTGAAAGAGCTGTAACACAAACAGTGCTGAAACACGCCCCCACTTGCCTTGTTGTGGGCAACAAGAAGGAGAGAAGCGATAAGGAGAGAAGAGCTGAAACCACGCTCTGCCTTTAGTGCTGTTTTTAATCTTTTTTAGTCTAGCAGGCAAAGCCTTTAGTGTTCTTTTAAAGTTTTTTTCAGTCTAGCAGCTAAAAAACATCTAATTGTTGCAGTTTTCTGACTATAATTGGGGTTTGTATATTTTAACCTGTTTATTGGTGATTTGCCTATCCTCTTTGGTGAATTACCTTTTCATATTCTATGCCTTTTTAAATTGGGTGTTGATCTTTTTCTTAATAGTTTGTAATTGCTCTTTGTGAATAGAAATGTTAATCCTTTGTCATATGTATTGCAAACCATTTTTCACTCTGGATATAATCTATTTTTTGACTGTTTTTAATTTAGAGCTTTACTCTTTTACTGTGACTGGAATTTATGTTTACATGTAGTGTGATGTGTATAAGTATATAACATTTTCTTCCAAATGACTAGCCAGCTTTGTCTACACTGTTTTTAAAACATTTTTTGCCACTGTATTGAAATACCATAGATGTTATATATTATATTATACTCCCACATGTATTTGTACCTATTTCTGAATTCTGTTTTCTGTCATTTTCCTATTCTTTATTTCTGTGCCAATGGTATACTGTTTTGATTTCTGGTAAGGCTTATTAACTACTCTCTCATTTTTCTTTTTAAAGATTTACTTGACTATTCCCATATAATTACTTTTCAAAATGAACTTTTCATTTTCTCCAGTTCAAGAAAATTCATCACTGGATTCCATTTGGAATTACATTCAAATTATTGTCCAATTTGGGAAGGATTGATATTTTTCAGTATTGTCTTCCACTTAAGAAAATAGTATATATCTCCATTTGTTCAGTTATTTTGTGTCACTTGGTAACTTGACAATATTTAGAATTTTCTTTCTATTCTTATTAAATTTATTTTAAGATATTTTATAGTTTTATTGAGAGTGAATTTTTTTCCACTTGTAAGTTTTTTTCTGGTGTAAAGAGAAAATGCATACTTTAATTATTTTAAACTTGTATTCATTCCTTTTACCAAATTTTCTTAATTCTAGTAGCTTATTCATAGAGTGTTTTGTGTTTCATAGGTATACAGTCTTATCAAGGACAAAGGTATATTTGTCTTTTTTCTAAATTTTTACCGATTATTTTCCTTTTAATTTATCAAAATCCCCAAAAGAAGATTGAAAAATAGTGGTGATAGCTGCTTTTCACATGATTTAAATGCAAATAACTTTATTATTTAATGTACATAACTATCTGAATATTTTCCCACTGAAGCCAGTACATTTGAGGTAAAAATAAGTTTATATATATTTAAAAGTAGGATAACTTCTGTTATTATTTCTGATTATAATACAGACAAAAATATTTTGATTGGTTTTCTTCTAATCATCTCTATGCATTCTCGCACACATGCAAATGTAAGTCATAAACATAGAAGCACATACATATACATAATTTTATATAAATCCAGTAATACAGTATGTGCCTGTTATCTTGTTACCACCTTAAAATTTTGTGGACTTCTTTCTGTCTATAGCAATAAGTATAGGATCATATTATTTTTAATGGCTACCTTAGAATTACATTGTATGGATGTATCATAATTATTTAATTGATCTTCTGTTGATAGCTCTCATGGTTGTCTCTAATTTTTCATGATTATAAATGATGTCATGATGAACATCATTGTAGATATATTTTTGCACAATTCCTAGAAGTGTGATTGCTTCCCGCATATTTAAAATTTTAATGTATTTAGTAAAGGGACTTTTATAAATGTCCTGCCAGTTTATACTTATCCCAACACTACACAGGAGAGCTCATAAATCTTGTCTCATATTAATCCTGATTATTTTCCATTCTTTTATCTTTGTCAGTGTAATAGACAATAATTGATATGGCATTGTTGTTTGTAATTTTATTTCATTGACTGCGAGTGAAGGTAACTGTCTTTTTACATTCTTTATTTTTATTTTTTCTGGGAATTATCTTTTAAAAATATTTTCTTTTAAGTTAAACACTTTTTTTAAACTTGTTTCTTTTTGTAAGCTTTTATTTAATATATTTTTTAAGTTCAGTGGTACATGTGCAGGTTTGTTAGATAGGTAAATTTGTGTCATGGGGGTTTGTTCTACAGATTATTTGATCACCGAGGTATTAAACCTAGTACCCATTAGTTATTTTTCCTGATCCTCTCCCTCCTCCCACCCTCCACCCTCTGATAGGCCCCAGTATCTGTTGTGCCCCTCTATGTGTCCATTTGTTTTCATTGTTTAGCTCCCACTTGTAAGTGAGAGCATGCAGTATTTGGTTTTCTGCTTCTGTGTTAGTTTGCTAAAGATGATGGCCTCCAGCTCCATCCATGTCCCTGCAAAGATCATGCTCTTACTTTTTATGACTGCATAGTATTCTGTGGTACATTTTCTTTATTCTGTCTACCATTGATGGGCATTTAGGTTGATTTTATGTTTTTGCTATTGTAAATAGTGCTGCAATGAACATACGCATGTATGTGTCTGTGATACAATGATTTACATTCTTTTGGGTATATAACCAGTAATGGGATTGCTGGGTTGAATGGTAGTTCTGTTTTTAGCTCTTTGAGAAATTACCACACTGTTTTCCTCAATGGTTGAACTAATTTACACTCTCACCCATGGTGTATAAGCATTCCTTTTTCTCTGCATCCTTGCCAGCATCTGTTATGTTTTGACTTTTTAATAAAAGTTAGAATGGTTGGCCGAGCATGGTGGCTCATGCCTGTAATCCCAGAACTTTGAGAGGCTGAGGCAGGTGGATCATGAGGTCAAGAGATTGAGACCATCCTGGCCAACATGGTGAAACCCTATCTTTACTAAAAATACAAAAATTAGCTGGGCGTGGTGGCACATGCCTGTAATCCCAGCTACTCAGGAGGCTGAGGTAGGAGAATCACTTGAACCTGGGAGGTGGAGGTTGCAGTGAGCCAAGATCGCACGATTGCAGTCCAGCCTGGGCAACAAGAGTGAAACTCTGTCTCAAAAAAAAAAAAATTAGAATGGCTATTATTAAAAAGTCAAAACATAATAGATGCAGGAGAGGATATGGAGAACAGATGCTGACTGTTATTATCTTTGAAATGGTATCTTATTGTGGTTTTGATTTGCATTTCTCTAATGATCAGTGATGTTGAGCTTTTTTTCATAGGATTATTGGCCACATATATGTCTTTCAAAAAGTGTCTTTTCATGTCCTTTGCCCACTTTTTAATGGTTTTTTTAAATCGTAAATTTGTTTAAGTTCCTTATAGATGCTGGATATTAAACCTTTGTCGGATGCATAGTTTGCAAATATTTTCTTCCATTCTGTAGGTTGTCTGTTTACTCTGTTAATAGTTTCTTCTGTGGTGCAAAAGCTCTTTAGTTTAATTAGATCCTGTTTGCCAATTTTTGCTTTTGTCGTGATTGCTTTTGGCGTCTTTGTCATGAAATCTTTGCCTGTTCCTATGTCCAGGATGGTACTGCCTAGGTTATCTTCCAGGGTTTTTAAGTTTTGTGTTTTACATTTAAATCTTTAATTCATCTTGGTTGATTTTTGTATATGGTGTAAGGAAGGGGTCCAGCTTCAATCATCTGCATATGGCTAGCCAGTTAGTCCAGCACCATTTTTTGAATAGGAAGTCATTTCCCCATTGCTTGTTTTTGTCAGCTTTGTCAAAGATCAGATGGTTTTAGATGTGCAGCCTTATTTCTGGGCCCGCTATTCTGTTCCATTAGTCTATGTGTCTGTTTTTGTACCAGTGCCATGATGTTTTGGTGACTGTAGTTCTGTAGCATAGTTTGAAGTCAGGTAGTATGATGTAATGCCTCCAGCTTTGTTCTTTTTGCTTAGGATTGTCTTGGATATTTGGGCTCTTTTTTGCTTCCATATGAATATTAAAATAGCTTTTTCTAGTTCTGTGAAGAATGCCATTGGTAGTTTAAAGGAATAGTATTGAATCTATAAATTGCTTTGGGCAGTATGACCATTTTAACAAAATTGATTCTTCCTGTCCATGAGCATGTAATGTTTTCCATTTGATTGCATCATCTTTGATTTCTTTGAGCAGTATTTTGTAGTTTTGCTTATAGAGATTTTTTACCTCTCTCATTAGCTGTATTCCTAGGTATTTTATTCTTTTTGTGGCAGTTGTGAATGGGATTGCATTCCTGATTTAGCCCTCAGGTTGACTGTTGGTGTAGCAATGCTAGTGATTTTTGTACATTGATTTTTTATCTTGAGACTTTGCTGAAGTTATTTATCAGTTTAAGGAGCTTTTAGATGAGACTATGGGTTTTTCTAGATACAGAATCATGTCAACTGTAAACAGGTATAGTTTGGCTTCCTCTCTTCCTATTTCAGCCTTCCTTCCCTCCCTCCCTCCCTCCCTCCCTCTCTCTCTCTTTCTTTCTCTTTCTTTCTTTCTCTCTCTTTCTTTCTTTCTTTTCTTTTCTTTCTTTCTTTTCCTTTCTTTCTTTCTTTTCATTTTGTTCTGTCATCCAGGCTGGAGTGCAGTGGCACACTCTTGGCTCACTTCAACCTCCACCTCCCAGGTTCCAGTGAGTCTCCTGCCTCATCTCCCAAGTAGCTGGGAATACAGGTGCCTACCACCACGCCCAGCTAATTTTTGTATTTTTCGTAGAGACAGGGTTTCATCATGTTGGCCAGGCTGGTCTTGAACTCCTGACCTCAAGTGGTCTGACCACCTCAGCCTCCCAAAGTGCTGAGATTACAGGCGTGAGCCACCACACTCGGCCCGGGATGCCCTTTATTTCTTTCTCTTGCCTGTTTCTCTGGCCAGGACTTCCAATACTATATTGAATGGAGTGGTGAGAGAGGCTATCCTTGTCTTGTGCTGGTTTTCAAGGGTAGTGCTTCCAGCTTTTGCCCATTCAGTATGATATTCACTGTGGGTTTGTCATAGATGGCTCTTATTATTTTGAGGTATGGTTTTTTTTTTTTTTTTTTGGAGAAGGAGTCTTGCTCTGTTGCTCAGGCTGGAGTGCAGTGGCGTGATCTCAGCTCACTGCAAACTCTGCCTCCTGGGTTCATGCCATTCTCCTGCCTCAGCCTCCTGAGTAGCTGGGACTACAGGCGCCTGCCAACACACCTGGCTAATTTTTTGTATTTTTAGTAGAGACAGGGTTTCACCATGTTAGCCAGGATGGTCTCGATCTCCTGACCTTGTGATCCACCCACCTTGGCCTCCCAAAGTGCTGGGATTATAGACGTGAGCTACCACACCCAGCTGAGGTAGGTTCTTTCAATACTTAGTTTATTGAGAGTTTTTAACATGAAGGGGTGTTGAATTTTATGGAAAGCTTTTCCTGCGTCTATTGAGATAATAGTGTTTTTTTTTGTCTTTAATTCTGTTTATGTGATGGATCACATCTATTGATTTGCATATGTTGAACCAACCTTGCATCCCAGAAATAAAGCTTACTTGATTGTGATGAATAAGCTTTTTGATGTGGTGGATAAGATTTTTGATATGCTGCTGGATTCAGTTTACCAGTATTTTGCTTAGGATTTTTGCATCGATGTTCATCAAGGATATTGGCCTGAATTTTTCTTTTTTTAAATTGTGTCTCTGCTATGTTTTGGCATCAGGATGATCCTGGCCTCCTAGAATGAGTTAGGGAAGGGTCCCTCATCCTCAATTTTTTGGAATAGTTTCAGTAGGAACAGTACCAGCTTTTCTTTTTATAACTGGTAGAATTCGACTGTGAATCTGTTTGTTCCTGGGCTTTTTTGGGGTGTTAGGCTATTTATTACTGTTTCAATTTCAGAGCTCATTATTGGTCTGTTCATGAATTCCATTTCTTACTGGCTCTGTCTTGGGAGGGTGTATGTGTACAGAAATTTATTCATTTCTTCTGTATTTTCTAGTTTATGTGCATAGAGATGTTTATAATAATTGCTTATGATTATTTATATTTCTGTGGGGTCAGTGGTAATACCCTCTTTGTTGTTTCTGACGATGTTTATTTGGGTCTTCTCTCTTCTTTATTTGTCTAGCTAGAGTTCTATCTATTTTATTAGTTTTTTTTTTTTTTTTTTTTTTTTTTTTTTTTCAAAAAAACAACTCTTGGATTTGCTGATCTTTTGAATGGTTTTTTATGTCTCAGTCTCCTTTAGTTCAGCTCCGAGTTTGGTTATTTCTTGTCTTCTGCTAGCTTTAGAGTTGGTTTTCTCTTGGTTCTCTGGTTCTCTTAGTTGTGATGTGAGGTTTTTTGTTATTTATTCTGTGAATTATCTACTTATTTAGGATTAATTTAATTTATTAATTAATTAATTTAGAATTGTTTATTTACATGACTTTTAAATTGGGGTATTGGTTTTCTTGAATTATAAAATCTCTTTATTAAGGATAGAAATCTTTTGTCATGTATATTGCAAAAAAAGGTATTCTCTGGCTTTTAAAGTTTGTGTTGTATGTATTGCTTAGTAGTCTTTCTTTTCGTTTTTCTTTTCGCTTTCTTTCTTTTTTTGTTCTCACCCCTACCAGGTTAGCAGTTTAGGGATTGTCGCTATTCTGTCTTTAGTGTTCTCAGACCAGAATCTGTTTGGGGGCTCCTGCTCTTTGGTGATATTTGGGGGTATTGTACTTTCAGTTCCTGAGCCATATAACCTGCCTGCATTCTAGGTGGCAAGGCAATGCGTTTATCCTCTCCTGCAGCCCCTACCTTCCCTTCTCCCTGCCACTTCCCATCAACTGTTGCCTCTGGTAGCAGGCAAGCAGTACTTTTTTCTTTTTGTGTTCTAATTAGGGAGTCTGGCTTTTGTTCTCCGTGTCTCACAGGGCACTTTTTCATCTGCATTCTCTCTTAGAAGTTCAACAACTGGCTGCCACTTTGACAGAGATGAGGTTGGCAGGTTCGGAGTAGGGACTACTTATATATGGCAGTCAGGGAAGGCCTCTCTTAGCTGTGACTTTTCAACTGTATAATTGTCAGTGTTAGAAATCTTGGCATCCTCGTCATTGATAGGTGGGTAGT
This sequence comes from Homo sapiens, assembly GCF_000001405.40. Lineage (NCBI taxonomy): Eukaryota > Metazoa > Chordata > Mammalia > Primates > Hominidae > Homo > Homo sapiens. The sequence goes on along the minus strand of NC_000010.11, from coordinate 99,116,493 downwards.
AATATTTGCATTGCTTTGATCTTGGGGTTATTTTAGGAATCATTGTCTTCGAGGGTGTCAAAACTGGACTAATAATTTTCTGGGGTTTTTTTGTATTTGAATAATAAGATAGACTGTAAAAATATAAATGCCAAGAAATCTACATCTTTTTATAGATGAAGGAATCATAATGGGCCCTTGGTGCAGAAATGTGCAAGTGGTTGGACAACTTTAATTCCACATAGTATATTGATTCACAATGTGAGGTTTGGAATTTAGACTGTTAGAGTTTGAATCTAGATCAGTGTTTCTTGGTAATCTAGGATGTACGTAAGGATTAGTGAAATAAAATGCAAAGAATCACTCAGTCCCCTGGGAAATAAAGGTCTGAAAATGTGTCTTGGGAAGCATTGTCATATTTTAGCTAAACATTTTGGGTTCTTTTAAGGCATGATGCTAACTAGATGAACATTTGTTGGTATTAGAATTCTTTCTGATTACCCTAAAATGAAGTTGAGCTGAACAAAAATTAGATGGCATTTTACATTTTTAGAATGAGCCTAATGCTGTTATCAACACAATGGAATGTCTGTGTAAAAGTCAATGGCCATGCACAAATGTGGTCATGAGATTAAAAGGCACATGACTAGAAGTTCCCCTTTTCTCCAACTGTTTTAAGTCAAATTTTAAGTACAAAGATATGCTCTCTGTTGCTTAGAAGTCCTCTTACAAACCATCACATAAGTGAATACTTTTTTTTACCAGCTCAATTTTTCATTAGATTCAACCTTCATAAAATTGTATTTTATACATATGATCAGAAAAAAACAATATGGGAAAAAGGTTATAATTACAAAAACTGTACGTATTGTACAGTAAAAGCATTGCATTGGCAGTTAATACAGAGAATCACTAAAGGAGGCCAGGTGTAGTGGCTCACTCCTGTAATCCAGATTCTTTGGGAGGCCAAGATGAGAAAATTGCTTGAAGCCAGGAGTTCAAGAACAGCCTGGGCAACATAGCAAAGCCCTGTCTCTACAAAAAATAAAAAAAAAAAAATTGGCCAAGCGTGGTGGCTCACACCTGTAATCCCAGCACTTTGGGAGGCCAAGGCGGGCGGATCACGAGGTCAGGAGATCGAGACCATCCTGGCTAACACGGTGAAACCCCGTCTCTACTAAAAATACCAAAAAATTAGCTGGGTGTGTTGGCGGGCGCCTGCAGTCCCAGCTACTTGGGAGGCTGAGGCAGGAGAATGGGGTGAACCCGGGAAGCAAGAGCTTGCAGTGAGCCGAGATGGCGCCACTGCACTCCAGCCTGGGTGACAGAGCGAGACTCCGTCTCAAAAAAAAAAAAAAACACATTTAGCTGGGCGAGGTGGTGCATGTGTATAGTCCCAGCTTCCCCGTTGGCTCAGGCAGGAGGATCCCTTGAAGCTGAGGAGTTGGATGTTAACGGCCAACTATGTTCCTGCCACTGCACTCCAACCTGGGTGACAGAGCAACCCTGTCTCAATAAAACAAAACAAACAAGCAAACAAAAAAAACTAAAGGATATATATTTTTAAAGTGGTCATGTTCTTCTTCTTCTTCTTCTTTTTTTTTTTTTTTTTTGAGACGGAGTCTCAGGCTGGAGTGCAGTGGCGCCATCTTGGCTCACTGCAAGCTCTGCCTCCCGGGTTCACGCCATTCTCCTGCCTCAGCCTCCCGAGTAGCTGGTACCACAGGTGCCTACCACCACGCCCAGCCAATTTTTTGTATTTTTAGTGGAGACGGGATTTCACCATGTTAGCCAGGATGGTCTCGATGTCCTGACCTCGTGATCCACCCGTCTCAGCCCCCCAAAGTGCTGGGATTACAGGCATGAGCCACCGCACCCAGCCATTCTTCTTTTCTCAGGATTAGACTTGGGAACATTGATTTATTTATATCCTAAGTTGTTGAAACTTTGTCTTTATGAATTTCAGAATGAACTTCCTCCATGTTTGTAGAAGTCTTTGTGTTAAGAGATCTGAAGAGATGATGATTACTTCTTGTTTTTCATCTTCCTTTGTTAAAGATGATGTAGGAAGAAGTCCTTTGAATTCATTTTAACTTTAGCTCTCCTGTTTTCTCAGTATGAGAAGCAGTTTCTTAGAGGTTCCTTCATTTAGTTTGATGACATCACATCAAAACTCATTGAATAAAAAGGAATTTTTTTTGGACGGTGACTTAAATGCAGACAGCTCTTTCCAGATTTGGTTGAATATGGGTGAATTTTAGAGTATTTAGTTAAGTGCTGTCCAAGGTCAGGTGTGGGCCAGAGAGGGTGTAGAGGCACTTCAGAAGATATGCAAGGAAATCCCCTGGGTGGGGAAGTTTTGCTAATAACCTGTAAGAAGATGACTTGTTTTGTACAATTCTGGTTTATTCTGAGATTGGAGTGGAAATTTTTCCTAATTGATTAGTTTATTTCCAGTGTATTTCAACGTGTTGCAGTTCACATGTCCCTAGCTAAGTGGACTTAAAGTAAAGGGATTTTTGAAAATAAATTGGATTAAATATAGTACTAATAATGTCAGCACATAGGAACAACAAGAAAATTGCAAAGCTAATGGTTTGTCTTTAATATGAACTCTTGGTCAGCCATGTAATGAGGTAAAAATAGTCCGAAAAGAAGTTGAGCCAAAAAAAAAACCTAAATTACTTCACTAATACACAGTATATTCATGTAACACAACTGCACTTGTACCTCTAATTTTATAAAACTAAAAAATTTTAAAGAGTTAAAAAAGTCTGTTATTAAAAAACTATTTGAAACTTGGATTTACATTTGTTATATTTCATGAATCTTATTGAAAGTTTATATAATGCCCAGAACATAATTATTAATACTGTTCTTTAAATGGAGCAAAATGGTTTTTGAACCATTATCAAAGTAAAACAAATTTTAAAAATATTACTTAATTTTCAGCTGATTAATTTAAAATTCTGTTTGATCTGTTTTATAATGTAATTATATATTACCGCAGTAGGTGCATATGTAATATACATGTGTGTATATACGTATGTATATATGAATGATATATGTTCAAAAATGTTTTATCAATAAGTATATACAATAAAAATATTTAGAGACCACCAACCTGTGAAGTCCTTTATTCCTAAAAGCAACATAGAAGAATGGTTATGAGCAGGAACTTTGGGGTTAAACAGACGTAGGTTTGGATTCTGTATTTACCATGTACTAGTTTTATGGAGCTTGTGCAAACTACTTGATCTCACTCCCATTTATATAGTAGGGAAAGCAATATAAGATCATGAGGATTAGATTAGCTAATATTATTGAATGCTTAATAAGAAGCCATGCACTCAATGAATGGTTGCTATTGTTGTCATTGTTATATTGTTACTAATAGAGGGTTGCCTATCCTTTACAAAAACTTCCATAAATAAGCTCATGTCTCAGATACAATCACAATGCAAAGTGAAAATGAGCTAAATGGAGTCCAAAAGAAGTAAGTCCTTAAGTTTCATGGTTGTCAGAACTAAAATTTTCCATGCATGTGTATATGTGTGTGTGTGTATGAGTCTAGGCCTTAAAAGAAACATAGTTTATTATAGAGATTGCGTGGGTGTGGGCAATTGAACATACTTGCCACACTACTTTCCCAGAGCAGATCTGGTCTCTGTTACAGTTCTGAAGAAGAGAAATGCAACCATCCTACCAATTCTTTAGTGTTCTGTCTGTTTCATTAGAAAGTAATGGCTTCAGCTATTATATGTTACCTGTTCATTTTTCTTAGTATGAAGAAAATTTACAAATCTGAAAATAAAGTTCACATATAATCTGGGTGAGGGTGGAAGTATGGTGGGAGTAGGAAATGATAAATTGTACTTAGCCAGCAGGGAAAAATAACTTTATCTTCATTTGAAATAGTCATTTTTGGCCGGGCACGGTGGCTCACGCCTGTAATCCCAGCACTTTGGGAGGCCGAGGCAAACGGATCACGAGGTCAGGAGATCAAGACCATCCTGGCTCACATGGTGAAACCCCGTCTCTACTAAAAATACAAAAACAAAACAAAACAAAACAAAACAAAACAAAACAAAACAAAACACAACAAAAAAAAGCCGGGCATGGTGGCAGGCGCCTGTAGTCCTAGCTACTCGGGAGGCTGAGGCAGGAGAATGGTGTGAACCCAGGAGGTGGAGCTTGCAGTGAGCCAAGATTGTGCCACTGTACTCCAGCCTGGGTGACAGAGCGAGACTCTGTCTCAAAAAAGAAAAATTAAATAGTCATTTTGTTCTCCTATGGCTTATGTTATAAAATATATTATTGTTACTGTATTAGGGAGAAATTTTCAGAGTTGAGAGACCTGGATTTTAGCTTTGCCATTTGCTTCGCATGTATTCTGGGGCAACCCTCAGCTTCCTCATTCATAAACTTGGAATTAGAGTATTTGCCTTTTGTTAATATTCACTCAACCCATATTTGAGCACCTAGAATGTGCTGGCATGTGCTAGCACTGTGCTACTCACTAGGGATATGTAGATGATAAGACTTGACCCAATCCCTGCCCTCACTGAAGTTATACTTCAATATGTACAATATTTAATATTTGAAATATGTACAAACAATTACAGATCTCTAGCATTGGGGCTATATTGGAGGAATAGGAGTCTGAGTTGGCCTAGGGGAATTAAAGGGCTTTTCATAAAGGAAGTGGTACTAAAAGTTTCCTACTCTTACACTAAAATTCTGGTTAGCATCTGTTTTGGAAATTAAGAACTGTTTGAAAACTAAAAGGCATAGGCATAGCAGCACAGTTTTCTTCAAAGTTGTTGGTAGTATCTGATGCTTTCAAATAAACAAACTGGTTTATAGGTAAGTAACATATCTTTTTTGTATACTGAGATTAGAGGTACTATATTTAGGCACCTGTAGATATGTGGTTTGGAATTCGAATTGTTGAACAATTTGAAAGGAACGCAGTCTTTCTTCCTTCTTGTTCTTTTTCTTCATTTCTCTCTTCTCCTTATATAAGGATATACAGCAGGGTCTCAGCCCTCTGCCTTCTCCCTCTAGATTTTAATCTATAATCATAACTTGAACTATGCAGAGGTGGGTCCTAATTTTGTGGAGTCTGTAGCTTACAGAATTACAGAGGCTCTCTTTAAGAAAAAGAATACAAAATTATGAATTCACTTATAAAAGTGTATATGGAAAGACAAAAGAACTAGAATAGCCAACACAATACTAAAGAGGAAGAACAAAGTCAGAGGGCTGACAAGTCCCAACTCAATACTTACTATAAAATGACAATAATCAAGACCACGTGGTATTGGTGAAAGAATAGACAAATAGATCAATGGGACAGAATAGAGAGCGCAGAAATAGACCCCCATATATATAGTAAACTGATCTTTGACAAAGGAGGAAGGGTAATTCAATGGAGGAAGGATAGTCTTTTTGACACATGGCACCAGAACAACTGGCTATCTAGATACACAAAAAAAATGAGTCTGAAAACAGACTTTATATCTTTCATAAAAATTAACTCATGGATCATGGATTAAAAATGGATTAATAAACCATTTTAATGGATCACTTAAAATGGATCATAGACCTAAGTGTAAAATGATAAACTGTAAAGCTTTTAGAAGATAACATAGGAGAAAATATAGATGACAACATAGGAGAAAATGTAGATGAACTTGGATCTGTCCATGAGTCTTTTGATAAAACAACAAAGGCAGGAGAATAATTTGACACAAAATAATGATGATTTGACTGATGCTTTTGCAATTTTTTTGGGTAATTTCAATAGAATTTTTGTGCTTTCTAATATATTAGTAAAGGAGAGATTAATAAAAGTGGTATTTTTCTTCTGTCGTTAGGATTTAAGTATAATATTTATTTTATCCATAAAATCATTATTTTTAATGGCCAATTTCTATTTACTCTGAACATATTTTCCCAGGATTACTACTTTTCAACTTCTTTTGTGGAAAATGGGATTTTATATATCCTTGTATAATTGAGTCTTACTTCTCCAAAGTCTTCTCCTTTCCAGTGCATTCAAGTCATAATCTGTGTTGAAAGGACGGAGAATACTCATTATTCTCTTCTCATAGGGCAAGTAGGACATAGTATGCCTTTCAAGGGTGGAGCTTTTGCACATACCCTGAGGAGCAGTTTCTACGTTTATTCTGTGGCTGCTGCACCACTCTCTTAAGAGAGGATTTACGGCTGAAGAGCCAACTAGGCTCTCCAGCTGCTAATGCAGTCTCTTTTTCAAGTGGGCCTACCTAGCCTAAAAGAAGAGTATATACTAAGCAGAAAACACTGCAGTAAACTAGTGCTATAGAGCATGTCTTTTTCTTTTAAAATAGTTTCAAGATTATATTCTTTTAGGAGGAAAAACCAACGAACTAATATCCTTATGTCTTTGAATCAGATAATTCTCTTTATGATGTTTAAGAGATGTTTGCTTGTGATACAAATTTTTGCTATCGTATAATTTCTGGAGAACAAGTTGGTCTGCCTTCCTTAAATAATTTTTATTTCCTCCCTCACCCACCTCACATCACTGACTCCAGGCCTTTATTTCTTGATCCTTCATATGAGTAGATTCACAGAACTTGATTTTCATGGGACCTCCACAACCCGACTCATATTAAACATTTTTGTTTACTACTTTTATTTCTTCCAACTTAATTGTTATCTGTGATAACTCCATAATATCTTTTCTTATGAACTAGCAATACCCAACCTAGTGTATGGAAAATTTTTCTTCATGTCATCTTTAACCTCTTTGTAGAAGAGGAGAATGGAAGAGAAACACAGGGCCCACATTGATTTTGTAGCCAAAGCGCATTCTGGAGTGTTGGTGGGTATTGAATGCTGCCAGTTTTATTCTTGAGAACACTTCTCTTGAGATGAAGAGGCAGTAAAGAGACAACCCCATATAGCACAAGACCTTCCTGGTTAGCATTATCATTCCTTTCTCGGAGTTGACCAGTTTCAGCTGCGAAATAATCTATTCCACCCTGTGCTAGTTGGGAATGACTCTTTTGTTTGCTTGGCTGAAGTCATCATTTTAGCATTTAGTACTCTAGGCAATAATTCCAAGCAACTCATAAAAAGTTAACCAGATAAAAAAGTTTCCAAATTAAATAAAATTTAATTTGAAAGTGTTATTAGAAATCAAGTTTTACCCTGATACATTGTAGGTAGATAAACTGAGGCTGTTTTTTCAAGGTCACACAGTTATGTAGGTGGGACTAAAATCTAAACTTTGGATTTTGAGTTCATTGTTCTTCCCATTACATTGTAAAATGCTTTCTTTCCTGGAAATGAAGTAACATTTTGCCCAATTGGAAAACAGTTATACAATTAAAGACTTGATTTGTATATGTACTCCACAATTTTTATTGAGAGGCTGCTTTGTTGAATGCAGAGGTTGTCACTCACAAAATGGTTGCCATAAGTACATTAGTGTTTCAACCCTGGGTGAGCCTTCCTGACCGAGATTCATGACAACACATGGAGGATAAGTGCTGTACTCTTAGAGATAAGGATAAAGTGTTGTGGAACTCAGACTAACTTGCCTGGGGAATAGGGAGGGGCTTCACTATGTGGATGTCTTACCTGAGTCTTGAAGGAAGAATATGAATTGTAAAATGCATGAGAGGATATAGTTAAATTTTATTGAAAATGTGCCATATACTTAACCTTTTATGGCCTACTGAGACTTTTAAGTCCCTGTAGTAAAGGTGTCACTTACAAGAGCATCTAATTTAAGAAACCACTTCATGCTAAAAGGACTAAGGCTACAGTATAAACCTAGGAGGGACTTCTAAATTTTCTATAAGTCTTTCACTTTTATTTTTGATGGCTATTGGTAGTTGCTAATATGGTCTCGTTATAGAGTAATGAATAAACTTTAGGCAGGGATAATGGAGAAAAACAATATCCCTCTATCACATGCTTGTGTTTTTAATAGAATTATGATTGTTTATGTGATAAAATAAGTTAGCCATGAAATATATACAGTGAAATTGGAAGAAACAGATATCTAAACATAAGGGGTATACTGTGTTACTAAAATGAACTGATTTTTTTTTTTTTTCTAAACAGTGTCTTCTCTCAGACTTACCACACTAGTTGCTACAGGTTTCTTTCAGTATGGCCTCTTTTTAGCTTATGTCTGTTAGTCCAAAGTTATAAAATACTTGCTTAGTACTTTTCTTCTAATCTCTCAGAGTATAATAGGCTTTCAACAGACTCTCAAATCCTCTGGCACAAGTCACTTTTCCAACTGCCTAGTTACCTGTCTCTTTTTTTCATTCTTAGCTGTTTGCTATGTAGTAGCTCAAAATAACAGTATCTTTGCTTTCCAGGCGCTCTGAACTATCTTTCAAAGAGGAGGCATGGAATGTCACTATCTGCTTCAGCCATTTTTAATTCCTTCATCTAGAGAGGAATAGTCTGTTTAATTTATAGGAGTTAGGTCTATATTTTTATATCCTAATTGAAAAAGCAAAACAGATTTAAGCTGTTAAAAGGTCTCCTTACAAATAGTTCAATCTTGCTTCTCAGTGGAATATTAATATTTGCAGAAGGATAATAGGATGCTCTTTTAGAATAATGAATCCAGGAAATACTTAGTGTTCATTTTCTTCTCTTTCTTCATTCCAAGAAAACCAAATATACTAAATGAGCGTGTACCTGGGAGGTACTTGTTGAATGTTCATCTAGAAGTTCAGAAACTTCCATAAAATTTCCAATAATGTGCTATTGGTATTTTGAGTAGTCTTTTATCAGTCAGTCATTTATTAACTGAAAATTAAATGTGTATATAGGTATAATGGTGCCATGGAGAACAATAAGTTGAATATATGTTCTTGATTTCCAGGGTAGCTCACTAAACAAAGTGTTAAATATTGATCTAAAAATAAATGCAAAATAAAAATATAATTTAGAATTACAATCTTAATAGGCACATGTAAAATTAAATTTATGCTTAGTGTTGCTTGAGGTAGAAGACGGCATGGTTTGATGGAAAGTACTAACCCATTTTCCAAATTAGATGGGAAATAGGGAGATAATTGCTAAGACATGATAAAGGGCTAGAAAAACCAATGGTAGAAATTTCAAAAAATTGCAGTATCAGAATAGAAACTGATTGGTACTTAAAAGTATGGTTGGTTAATCTTTCATAACTAAAGGAAAGTTTCTTTAAGGGAAGGTTTAAATACTCTGTTTCAAAAGATGTCTAAACTATTATCAGATTAATATCAGAGAAAAGGATATAGAAAAATTAGTGAAAAGTAGTAAATTCTTAAAACTTAAGAGTCAGAGGCCAGATGTGGTGGCTCACACCTGTAATCCCAGCACTCTGGGAGGCCAAGGCGGGTGGATCCCCTGAGGTCAGGAGTTTAAGACCAGCCCAGCCAACATGATGAAACCCCATCTCTACTAAAAATACAAAAATTAACCAGGCATGGTGGTGCACACCTGTAGTCCTAACTACTGGGGAGGCTGAGGCAGGAGAATCGCTTGCATCCAGGAGGCAGAGGTTGCAGCGAGCTGAAATCACACCACTGCACTCCAGCCTGGGTGATAGAGTGAGATGCCATCTCAAAAAACAACAAAAACAAACTTAAGAGTCAGAAAGGCCTAGAATGAGTCAGCAGGACTAGAATGCTAACTTTAACTTTAATAGTGAAACTTTGGAAAATAACCACTTTAAGCCCCAACTTTATTAGCTATAAATGGGGATAATATTATCTACTTCATAAGGTTATTATGAAGATTAAGTAGTTTGTATGTTTAGGTTTAGCACAGTATCTATCTTATAGTAAGCCCTTAGGTAAGTGGCAGCCATTATTAATATTATTATTATTATTATTTTTAGATACAAAGTTCTTTAATAACTTACTAACAAAGTCAATTCAACAACATGTAAAACTTATAAAAAAGATTATATATATCATGACCCAGTTGGATTTATTTCAGAAATGCAAGATTGTCTTTATATTTGAAAATCAGTAGTGCAATGTATATATCATATTAATAGAATGAAGGACAAAAATACATCATCTCAAAGATGCAGAAAAAACATTTGATAAAACCCAACATTTATAATAAAAATTCTCAGCAAACTAGAAGAAACTTCATTCTGATAAAGGGCATCTACCAACAATTTAACAAAAGTATGATAATTGTACATTGCATTTTATAAACCATTCTTGAAATAAAGAAAATTTAAAATAGAGAGACAGCCTATGATCATGGATTGGAGAACTCAATATTGTTAAGATGACAGTTTTCCTCAAATTAATCTGCAGATTTAACACAATCTTTATCAAAATCCCAGTAGGCTTTTGTGTAGAAATTGACAGGTTTCTCCTAAAATTTATAAAGAAATGCAAAGGATCTAGAATAACCAAAATAATTTTGAAAAAGGAAGAACAAATTTAGAAAATTTTTACTACTCAATATCAAAACATTTTGTAATACTATAATAATGGAGACAGTGTGGTATTTGTATAAAGATAGGTATACAGATAAATGGAACAGAATTAAGAGTTTGCAATAATCGCTTATGATTTTTGACAAAGGTATTAAAACAATATAAGAGTGAAAAGCTAGTCTTTTCAACAAGTAGTACTGGGACAAGTGGATATTCGGATTAAAAAAAATAAATTTAGATCATTACCTCAGACCACACACGAAGTTTAGCTCAAAATGGACCATAGACATAATGTACCAGGTAAAACTATAAATCTTCTACAATAAAAGATAGGAGAAAGTTCTCATGTTCTTGGTGTGGGCAAAGAGTTCTTAGACATAACCATAACAGCTAGGGCCATGAGAAAAATGATAAATTTAACCTCATTAAAATTAAAAACTTTTGTACTTCAAAAGACACTATTAAGAAAATAAAAAGACAAGTCACAAGCTGGACAAAAAATTGCATATTATATATCTGGTAAAGGTCTTCTATCCAGAATAGAAAAAAAAAACTCTTACAACTCGATTATAAAAAAAAACCCAATTAAAAAGAGACAGAAAACACTCACAGAGAAAAAAAAAATAACCTGATTAAAAAATGGGAAAAGGACATGATTAGACATTTTTCCAAAGAAGATATTCAAATGGCTAATAAGCACATGAAAAGATGCTTAACATCATTAACCAACAGGAAAGTTGAAATTAAAAGCACAATATGATATCAGTGCACATCCACTAGAATCTCTCTTGAGAAGATTATAGTCTGGTTGGAAAAGACAGACACATAAATACTATCTGTTACAGTTACTACCAGGGAAATCTAAATAGGGTTTAGTTAGACATAAAAAGGCCATGGATGAAAAACTGTAGCAATAGACAGGCTGGATACCCCTCACTAGACTATGATGTTTCTATGATGTTTTGACTCCTAGCTTTTCTTTTTTTTTTTTTTTATTATATTTTAAGTTCTAGGGTACATGTGCACAATATGCAGGTTTGTTACATATGTATACATGTGCCATGTTGGTGTGCTGCACCCATTAACTCGTCATTTACGTTAGTTATATCTCCTAATGCTATCCCTCCCCTCTCCCCCGACCCCACGACAGGCCCCGGTGTGTGATGTTCCCCTTCCTGTGTCCATGTGTTCTCATTGTTCAATTCCCACCTATGAGTGAGAACATGTGGTGTTTGGTTTTTTGTCCTTGCAATAGTTTGCTGAGAATGATGGTTTCCACCTTCAGCCATGTCCTTACAAAGCACATGAACTCATCCTTTTTTATGGCTGCATAGTATTCCATGGTGTATATGTGCCATATTTTCTTAATTCAGTCTATCATTGATGGACATTTGGGTTGGTTCCAAGTCTTTGCTGTTGTGAAGAGTGCCGCAATAAACAAACATATGCATGTGTCTTTATAGCAGCATGATTTATAATCCTTTGGGTATATACCCAATAATGGGATGGCTGAGTCAAATGGTATTTCTAGTTCTAGATTGTTGAGGAATTGCCACACTGTCTTCCACAATGGTTGAACTAGTTTACAGTCCCACCAACAGTGTAAAAGTGTTCCTATTTCTCCACATCCTCTCCAGCACCTGCTGTTTCCTGACTTTTTAATGATCACCATTCTAACTGGTGTGAGATGGTGTCTCATTGTGGTTTTTGATTTGCATTTCTATTCATATCCTTCACCCACTTGTTGATGGGGTTGTTTGTTTTTTTCTTGTAAATTTGTTTGAGTTCTTTGTAGAACCTGGATATTAGCCCTTTGCCAGATGAGTAGATTGCAAAATTTTTCTCCCATTCTGTAGGTTGCCTGTTCACTCTGATGGTAGTTTCTTTTGCTGTGCAGAAGCTCTTGAGTTTAATTAGATCCCATTTGTCAATTTTGGCTTTTGTTACCATTGCTTTTGGTGTTTTAGACATAAAGTCCTTGTCCATGCCTATGTCCTGAATGGTATTGCCTAAGTTTTCTCCTGGGGTTTTTATGGTTTTAGGTCTAACATGTAAGTCTTTAATCCATCTTGAATTAATTTTTGTATAAGGTGTAAGGAAGGGATCCAGTTGCAGCTTTCTCCATATGGCTAGCCAGTTTTCCTAGCACCATTGATTAAATAGGGAACCCTTTCCCCATTTCTTGTTCTTGTCAGGTTTGTCAATGATCAGATGGTTGTAGATGTGTGGTGTTATTTCTGAGGCCTCTGTTCTGTTCCATTGGTCTATATCTCTGTTTTGGTACCGGTACCATGCTGTTTTGGTTACTGTAGCCTTGTAGTATAGTTTGAAGTCAGGTAGTATGATGCCTCCAGTTTTGTTCTTTTGGCTTAGGATTGTCTTGGCAATGCGGGCTCTCTTTTGGTTCCATATGAACTTTAAAGTAGTTTTTTCCAATTCTGCGAAGAAAGTCATTGGTAGCTTGATGGGGATGGCATTGAATCTATAAATGACCTTGGGCAGTATGGCCATTTTCACGATATCGATTCTTCCTACCCATGAGCATGGAATGTTCTTCCATTTGTTTGTATCCTCTTTTATTTCATTGAGCAGTGGTTTGTAGTTCTCCTTGAAGAGGTCCTTCACATCCCTTGTAAGTTGGATTCCTAGGTATTTTATTCTCTTTGAAGCAATTGTGAATGGGAGTTCACTGATGATGTGGCTCTCTGTTTGTCTGTTATTGGTGTATAAGAATGCTTGTGATTTTTGTACATTGATTTTGTATCCTGAGACTTTGCTGAAGTTGCTTATCAGCTTAAGGAGATTTTTGGCTGAGACAATGGGGTTTTCTAGATATACAATCATGTCATCTGCAAACAGGGACAATTTGACTTCCTCTTTTCCTAATTGAATACCCTTTATTTCCTTCTCCTGCCTAATTGCCCTGGCCAGAACTTCCAACACTATGTTGACTAGGAGGGGTGAGAAAGGGCATCCCTGTCTTATGCCGGTTTTCAAAGGGAATGCTTCCAGTTTTTGCCCATTCAGTATGATATTGGCTGTGGGTTTGTCATAAATAGCTCTTATTATTTTGAGATACGTCCCATCAGTACCTAATGTATTGAGAGTTTTTAGCATGAAGGGTTGTTGAATTTTGTCACAGGCCTTTTCTGCATCTGTTGAGATAATCATGTGGTTTTTGTCTTTGGTTCTGTTTATATGATGGATTACATTTATTGATTTGCATATGTTGAACCAGCCTTGTATCCCAGGGTTGAAGCCCACTTGATCATGGTGGGTAAGCTTTTTGATGTGCTGCTGGATTCGGTTTGCCAGTATTTTATTGAGGATTTTTGCATCGTTGTTCATCAGGGATATTGGTCTAAAATTCTCTTTTTTTGTTGTGTCTCTGCCAGGCTTTGGTATCAGGATGATGCTGGCGTCATAAAATGAGTTAGGGAGGATTCCCTCTTTTTCTATTGATTGGAATAGTTTCAGAAAGAATGGTACCAGCTCCTCCTTGTACCGCTGGTAGAATTCGGCTGTGAATCCATCTGGTCCTGGCCTTTTTTTGGTTGGTAGGGTATTAATTATTGCCTCAATTTCAGAGCCTGTTATTGGTCTATTCAGGGATTCAACTTCTTCCTGGTTTAGTCTTGGGAGGGTGTATGTGTCCAGGAATTTATCCATTTCTTCTAGATTTTCTCGTTTATTTCCGTAGAGGTGTTTATAGTATTCTCTGATGGTAGTTTGTATTTCTGTGGGATCGGTGGTGATATCCCCTTTATCATTTTTTATTGCATCTATTTGATTCTTCTCTCTTTTCTTCTTTATTAGTCTTGCTAGTGGTCTATCAATTTTGTTGATCTTTTCAAAAAACCAGCTCCTGGATTCATTAATTTTTTGAAGGGTTTTTTGTGTCTCTATTTCCTTTAGTTCTGCTCTGATCTTAGTTATTTCTTGCCTTCTGCTAGCTTTTGAATGTGTTTGCTCTTGCTTCTCTAGTTCTAATTGTGATGTTAGGATGTCAATTTTAGATCTTTCCTGCTTTCTCTTGTGGGCATTTAGTGCTATAAATTTACCTCTACACACTGCATTAAATGTGTCCCAGAGATTCTGGTATGTTGTGTCTTTGTTCTCATTGGTTTCAAAGAACATCTTCATTTCTGCCTTCTTTTCGTTATGTACCCAGTAGTCATTCAGGAGCAGGTTGTTCAGTTTCCATGTAGTTGAGCAGTTTTAAGTGAGTTTCTTAATCCTGAGTCCTAGTTTGATTGCACTGTGGTCTGAGAGAGAGTTTGTCATAATTTCTGTTCTTTTACATTTGCTGAGGAGTGCTTTACTTCCAACTATGTGGTCAGTTTTGGAATAAGTGAGATGTGGTGCTGAGAAGAATGTATATTCTGTTGATTTGGGGTGGAGAGTTCTGTAGATGTCTATTAGGTCCACTTGGTGCAGAGTTGAGTTCAATTCCTGGATATCCTTGTTAACTTCTGTCTTGTTGATCTAATGTTGACAGTGGGGTGTTAAAGTTTCCCATTATTATTGTGTGGGAGTCTAAGTCTCTTTGTAGGTCTCTAAGGACTTGCTTTGTGAATCTGGGTGCTCCTGTATTGGGTGCATATATATTTAGGATAGTTAGCCCATCTTGTTGAATTGATCCCTTTACCATTATGTAATGTCCTTCTTTGTCTCTTTTGATCTTTGTTGGTTTAAAGTCTGTTTTATGAGAGACTAGGATTGCAACCCCTGCCTTTTTTTGTTTTCCATTTGCTTGGTAGATCTTCCTCCATCCCTTTATTTTGAGCCTATGTGTGTCTTTGCATGTGAGATGGGTTTCCTGAATACAGCACACTGATGGGTCTTGACTCTTTATACAGTTTGCCAGTCTGTGTCTTTTAATTGGAGCATTTAGCCCATTTATATTTAAGGTTAATATTGTAATGTATGAATTTTATCCTGTCATTATGATGTTAGCTGGTTATTTTGCTCGTTAGTTGATGCAGTTGCTTCCTAGCCTCGATGGTCTTTACAATTTGGCATGTTTTTGCAGTGGCTGGTACCGGTTGTTCCTTTCCATGTTTAGTGCTTCCTTCAGGAGCTCTTTTAGGGCAGGCCTGGTGGTGACAAAATCAGCCTTTGCTTGTGTGTAAAGTATTTTATTTCTCCTTCACTTATGAAGCTTAGTTTGGCTGGATATGAAATTCTGGGTTGAAAATTCTTTTCTTTAAGAATGTTGAATATTGGCCCCTACTCTCTTCTGGCTTGTAGAGTTTCTGACGAGAGATCTGCTGTTAGTCTGATGGGCTTCCCTTTGAGGGTAACCCGACCTTTCTCTCTGGCTGCCCTTAACATTTTTTCCTTCATTTCAACTTTGGTGAATCTGACAATTATGTGTCTTGGAGTTGCTGTTTTTGAGGAGTATCTTTGTGGCGTTATCTGTATTTCCTGAATTTGAATGTTGGTCTGCCTTGCTAGATTGGGAAAGTTCTCCTGGCTAATATCCTGCAGAGTGTTTTCCAACTTGGTTCCGTTCTCCCCGTCACTTTCAGGTACACCAGTCAGATGTAGATTTGGTCTTTTCACATAGTCCCCTATTTCTTGGAGGTTTTATTTGTTTCTTTTTACTCTTTTTTCTCTAAACTTCTCTTCTCACTTCATTTCATTCATTTGATCTTCAGTCACTGATACCCTTTCTTCCAGTTGATCGAGTTGGGTACTGAAGCTTATGTATTTGTCATGTAGTTCTTGTGCCATGGTTTTTAGCTCCATCAGGTCATTTAAGGACTTCTCTATGCTGGTTATTCTAGTAAGCCATTCATCTAATCTTTTTTCAAGGTTTTTAGCTTCTTTGCGATGGATTCGAACTTCCTTCTTTAGCTCGGAGAAGTTTGATTGTCTGAAGCCTTCTTCTCTCAACTTGTCAAAGTCATTCTCCACCCAGCTTTGTTCCATTGCTGACAAGGAGCTGCGTTCCTTTGGAGGAGTAGAGGTGCTCTGATTTTTAGAATTTTCAGCTTTTCTGCTCTGTTTTTTCCCCATCTTTGTGGTTTTATCTGCCTTTAGTCTTTGATGATGGTGACATACAGATGGGGTTTTGGTGTAAATGTCCTTTCTGTTTGTTAGTTTTCATTCTAATAGTCAGGACCCTCAGCTGCAGTTCTGCTGGAGTTTGCTGGAGGTCCACTCCAGACCCTGTTTGCCTGGGTATCAGCAGTGGAGGCTGCAGAACGGTGAATATTGCTGAACAGGAAATGTAGCTGCCTCATTGTTTCTCTGGAAGCTTCGTCTCAGAGGGATACCCAGCCGTGTGAGGTGTCACTCTGCCCCTACTAGGGGGTGCCTCCCAGTTAGGCTACTCGGGGATCAGGGACCCACTTGAGGAGGCAGTCTGTCTGTTCTTAGGTCTCAAACTCTGTGCTTGGAGAACCACTACTCTCTTCAAAGCTGTCAGACAGGGACATTTAAATCTGCAGAGGTTTCTGCTGCCTTTTGTTCAGCTATGCCCTGCCCCCAGGGTTGGAGCCTACAGAGGCAGGCAGGCTTCCTTTAGCTGTGGTGGGTTCCACCCAGTTCAAGCTTCCAGCCTGCTTTGTTTACCTACCCAAGCCTCAGCAATGGCGGTCACCCCTCCCCCAGCCTCGCTGCTGCCTTGCAGTTTGATCTCAGACTACTGTGCTAGCAATGAGCGAGACTCCACGGGCATGGGTCCCTGTGAGCCATGTGCGGGATATAATCTCCTGGTGTGCCATTTGCTAAGACTGTTGGAAAAGCGCAGTATTAGAGTGGGAGTGACCTGATTTTCCAGGTGCCGTCTGTCACAGCTTCCCTTGGCTAGGAAAGGGAATTCCCTGACCCCTTGCACTTGCTGGGTGAGGCGATGCCTCGCGCTGCTTCAGCTCACACTCGGTGGGCTGCACCCACTGTCCTGCACCCACTGTCTGACAAGCCCCAGTGAGATGAACCCAGTACCTCAGTTGGAAATGCAGAAATCACCCATCTTCTGCATCACTCACGCTGGGAGCTGTAGACTGGAGCTGTTCCTATTTGGCCATCTTGGAACGAGAATGCTATTATTAATATTATATAACCAAAGCTTTGAAAAAAAGGAGATGTTTAAAATATAATAATGCATATTTAATGTTAACATTGTTTTTCTCTTATATTAAAATCAGACCTGCTCTTTATGTACTAGTTTATGAGAACCGTAGCACTTTAGTCAGCCTATGCAGGTTCAAAAATTGTTGGTGAAGTATTACTGATAAAATATTATTAACATCGTATGTAAATTGAACCCAAACCCTGTTAAAGTCTATGTCAATAAAATAATTATCATAAGTGAAGCTGATTCTGTGACTTTTTTCTTATGGAAATTTCAGAACATATTTTCTATGTGTAATAAATAAAGTAGCAATATTTTAAGAGATTTTTAAGAACCAACGTTTTCTACATACCTAAATGGAACAGATGATTTTTGCATTTTAATGATTCAGGTAAGATGGAGTTAAGAATAAAAGTGGCACATAAGAAGTACTCATCTAGGGTTTATTATATCATACCAAAGAAATACTAAGAGAGACTTAAGCTCTGTAAAATTCAAGAAGGCTAAAAGCAATGGAATTGAAAATAGCCTATTTGCAAAATATACAGTCATCTCTCAGCATTTGTTGGGGATTTATTCCAGGACCCTTATTGATACCAAAATCTGAGGGTGCCCAACTCCTTGATATAAAATGGGTTAATATTTTCATATAACCTACACACATCTAGATTTACATCATTTCTAGATTACTTTTAATACATAATACAGTGTAAATTCTATGTAAATAGTTGTTTTGCTGTATTGGTTTTTAAATTTATATTATTTTTATTGTTGTATTGTTACTTTTCAGTTATTTATTTCCAACACATGGTTGATTGAATTCATGGATTGAAATCTGTGGAACCCATAGATATGTAGGACTAACTGTATAGACTTTCTTAAAATATGAAATGTTAGTAATATTTGTGTCAGAATTGAATGACAAAGGGCTGAGGTTGGATTACACTTGGAAATGGAAAAGATAGACCCTCAGCGGGAAGTATAGAACCTTCAAAAATAAGTTATAGCCATAGAAGCCCTAGCCACATCAGAGTCTTGACAACTTCATGAGGAGACAGTGACTTTTCCTGTCTGCTTTGTTTTTTGAAAGCGGAAGATCTGGGATTCAGTCCTGGTTCTTCCATTTACTACCAGTTTCATTTTGGACATATTATTCAATTTCTGTAAACCCATTGTCTTATCTATAAAACGAGATAATTTCTATCTAGTTCGTAGGATTATAGTTTAGATTAAGTGAAATAAGTTACATTAGAAGTACTTTAAAAATTGTAAAATCTTGCTGAATTTTGCAGTAGTGTTACAACATAGGGATATTCCTAGGTGTTAACTATATTGTGTTTAAGAAAATAATTTTAAAAGATTACTATTGTGAAGTTATCACTATTAAAATAAGTTTGCAACCATGTAAAATAAAATTTTATTAACCTTTTAAAAATTTAGTTAACAGAGATGCTTAAATTTTAAAAAGAGAATGCTAGAGTTTACTGCGAAAAGAAAGCTTTAGAACTAATTGGGCCAGGTCAGTTATTTTCCAGAATATTAGAGAAACCCTAAAACACATTAAATACATAAAATTTTTTAATATTATTCAAATGATCAAATGTCTCTTAAGATGTAAAAGAGGCTTTGCTTTTTAGCTTTGTAGGGACTTAGGAAATATAAAAGTTCTTAAACCAAAAGATAGATGCCTTTTCTTTGAACTTATTTTTTCTTTGTTACCTTATAGTAGATGTAAGGGCAGTGAACTGTCTCTGTCCCCTATTTGAAGCACAGATGCAAATAGTGGTGTTGCTTTTTTCTGAATTAGTGTTCAAGTATGTTTGTAGAGTGAGACTTAGACCCTGGCCTTGTGCTGGTCTTGTCCTTGGGTATATACTGGCTGATAACTAGTGAGCCGGATTTAGTGGACTTCATTCCTAGGCAGCATATTTGCATATGCTCCTAAAGTCTGCAAATGATATAACTCCTGATGGAACCTTAGATGCAGTTTTGTCAGGACCTAGTGGTCCACCCTGTCTGGCATGGCTTTACCTTGGCTCCCACCAATGCTGCATTTGTCTCAAGTCTCTGCCATGCAGTGTGGATAGCTCTGAGCCAGCCAGCTGCCTCTTGTGCCC
The DNA here is from genome assembly GCF_000001405.40 of Homo sapiens. Classification (NCBI taxonomy): domain Eukaryota; kingdom Metazoa; phylum Chordata; class Mammalia; order Primates; family Hominidae; genus Homo; species Homo sapiens. The sequence continues at coordinate 99,096,857 of NC_000010.11, read as the reverse complement.
TTTTCTATGGATTCCCCTTTGCTCCTGAACATAGAAAGTCCCATATCATGATTGCTGTAAGAACAGTTACCTTCTCATTCTTTCCTCAGGGGTATGCGGAAACCTTTGGGTTTACTCAAGGATGCTTTTCCCCCGCTGTGGGAAAATAGGAAAAAAAAAAACACAACAATTTAGCTCAATTTCCACAAGTTAGAGAAAATACCATTCCTGGGAAACATTTTAATGTCCAATGATATGGATTATCCCTAAATGGAAAAGTTTAATCAGTCAATCCAGAAGAGGTACACTGAGAAGTGTATAAAATATAGACAATATAGAGGGATGTTTTAATAAAGTAGAGGGGAACTACATATTTAGGACATTCTTATTTTTAACTTTGGGAACATTGTTCGACAACCTTGGACCTCAGTTTTCTTATCTCTAAAATAGGCAACAAAATGTCTACCCCATAGGATTGTTGTTAGGATTAAATAAGTGAAGCACTTAGATAAGTGCCCAGTACATGGTATTGAATAAATTTAAGTAATACTGTTATTTTCATTGTTTACAAAATCTAGGAGAATGCTAGATAAGAAAACAACCACATTTTAAAATTATGTGCTATTGTATAATTATTCAGTGGAATGTTATGCAGCTATTAAATTTATAGATTTATTTTTAATGAAGAGGAAAAATATTTGTGGATAATGTTAAGAGAAAAACATGTACAAAACCCATCTGCTGAATGATCTCAATTTCGTTTTGAAAAGGAATATATGAACTTTATGAAGATTTGAAGAAGATATATCAAAGACAGTTTATACCTGAGTATACCATTATGGGTGGTATTAATTTTCTTTTATGTTTTTGCATATGGTCTTTATGCATCCAGTAAAATAATAGTTTCAGATTTCACCATAAGGTAAGACCACCGTCCATTGTATACAAGCAAAGAAAGTACTTTAAAATGCAATTCAGAAGAACTGAAAATAAAAAGTGTGAAAAGTATACCAGGATGTCCACACAAAAACTTGTATACAAATATTTATAACAGCATTAGTCATAATTGCTAAAAAGTAGAAATTACTGATGAATGGATAAACAAAATGTGATATATCCATACAATGGAATATTACTTAGCAATAAGAAGAAATGAAATATTGATACATGCTACAACATGGATGAACCTGGAAAACATTGTGCTATGCCACTCACAAATGGTTACATTATTGTGTGATTCCATTTATATGAGATGTCTGGCATAGTCAAACCTATAGAGACAGAAAGTAGGTTAGTAGTTAACTAGAACTGGAGGCTTTGAAGGACATGGGGAGTGCCTGCTAATAGCGTTTCTTTTTGTGGGTGATGAAAATGTTCTAAAATTGAATGTGGTGATGGTTGCACAACTATAAATATACTAAAAACTATTGAATTCTACAGTTTAAATGGTTGAAGTATAGCAGAATTCCATCCCACTGAAGCTGTTTAAAAATGTCACCAGGTAAATACAAAAAAGGAGTCACAATAGAAATATCAGTGAAAGTGAATGTTAAACTAAAAAGCATTAAATGAGATGAAACTAACTTTACCATGCTGAATACTAATAGATACAATATGCAATGATAGTTGTGAATATCTATGTACCAAAACAACTTTTCTCATATTCTTTTCTTTTCTTTTTTTTTTCTTCCAAAAGACAAAGTCTCAGGTCTGTTATCCACCTAAAGTGCAGTGGTGTAATCATAGCTCACTGCAGCCTTGAACTCCTGGGCTCAGGTGATACTCCTGCCTCAGCCTCCCTAAGATGGGACTACAGGCACACACCACCACACTCAGCTAATTTTTAAATTTTTTGTAGAGATGGAGTCTCACTTTGTTGCCCAGGCTGGTTTGGAACTCCTGACCTCAAGCGATCCTCCCACCTTGGCCTCCCAAAGTGCTGGGATTATAGGTGTGAGCCACTGTGACCAGCTCCAAACTTTTCTAAAGCGGAAATTTAAGAGATAAAAAAATAAGGTATTTGGCCTGGTGTGGAGGCTCATGCCTGTAATCCCAGCACTTTGGGAGGCTGAGGTGGGCGGACCACTAGAGGTTAGTAGTTTGAGACTAGCCTGGCCAACACGGTGAAACCCTGCCTCTACTAAAAATACAAAAATTAGCCAGGTGTGGTGACATGTGCCTATAATCTCAGCTACTCCAGAGGCTGAGGCAGGAGAATCGCTTGAGCTTGGGAGGTAGAGGTTGCAGAGAGCCAAGATGGCACCACTGCACTCCAGCCTGGGCCACAGAGAAAGACTCTGTCTCAGAAAAAAAAAAAAAAAAAAAAAAAAAAAAAAAATATATATATATATATATATATATATGAATGATAAAAAAGAGAGAATAACTGAAATGTTAATATTCATGACATCATGACTTCTCAGTTCAACATAGAGCAAGTAGACATCAAAAGTATGAATTGGATATAGAAATGTATATGTGTGTATACACATACTTTTACTTTGAAATAAAGAAGATAAACCTTTTTAAGTACTCCATGGAGTATTTTCTGCACTTGACTGTAAAATGTTCACAATTCATAGAGAACGTTTCAATACAGTCCCAAAGATTAAACCATATGTGCCTCAATAAAGCTAGAAATTAATAACGTGAACGACGACAAACCCTGCTCCAATGTGGAAATTAAAAAACAAAAATAAAAGCCCCCAAACTCTCTTTTAAGTAATTCATGGGTCAAATGGAAAATATAAGCAACTTTAAATTATAAAATTTCTGGAAAATAATGGTAGCAAAATATTAGAAACTGTGAAATAGAGCTAAAACAGTGGTCCTAGGAAAATTTGGAGTCACAGATAATTATCAATAAAGAAAGAGTAAAAAAATCAATGTATTGAGCACTTAATTTAAAAAGTTGAAAAATTGAAAATATATATCTATACACATAGTATGTGTTTGTGGAAAGAAATTCAAGAGAGAAATATAAGAAGCAAATAAAAGTGATTATCTAGAGATGGACACAGGCAGGGTATGGGATAAATAAAAATAGATTAAGAGGCAGTTTTTTTCTCTACATGCCTGCTATAGTTTGAATGTATCCTCCAAAATTCATGTGTTGGAAACTTAATCCCGATGCAACAATGTTGGGAAGTGATGCTTAATGGGAGGTGATTAGTTCATGAGAGTTCCATCCTTATGAATGTATCAATGCTGCTATAAAAGTGCTTTTGGGAGTGGGCTCTTGCACTTGACATTCCACCTTCTGCTATGTGATGATGCAGCATGCAAGGCACCATCTTGGAAGAAGATGGCCTCACCAGTTACTGAACCTGCGGGTGCCTCAACCTTAGACTTCTCAACCCCCAGAACTACGAGCTACTAAATTTCCCTTCATAAATTACTCAGTCTGGTATTCTGTCATGGGAGTGCAAAACAGTCTCAGACAATGCCTCTTTATGATGTTTTGCTGCGTAAACCACGTGAATGTAAAAATTTATTCAAAATTTTAAATTTATAAAGTCAATGTTACTAGTTTTTTTTTTCAGGAAAATATTCTCATGCAAAAATTTTAACAAGACAGTTATGATTGATAGCTAGTTAACAGAGCTGAGAGGGGAATTCCTGAGTGGTAGAAAGGGCGATACTTTTTTTTTTGAAATGGAGCCTTGCTCTGTCACCAGGCTGGAGGTACAGTGGCACGATCTCAGCTCACTGCAACCTCTGCCTCCTGGGTTCAAGTGATTCCCCTGCCTCAGCCTCCCAAGTAGGTGGGACTACAGGCACACACCACCATGCCCGGTTAATTTTTTGTATTTTAGTAGAGATGCGGTTTCACTATGTTGGCCAGGCTGGTCTCAAACTCCTGACCTTGTGATCTGCCCACTTCGACCTCCAAAGTGCTGTGATTATAGGCGTGAGCCACTGTGCCCAGCCAGCAATACTTTATAAGAAATGTCCTTATTGGAAAATGAAGTACATCTGTTTATATGACCAAATATTATATAATTTTAGATTCTCGGAAGTCAACAAGTCTCATTGGAACCACAAAAGCAGTTACGTTATTTTTTTGATGTCTACTATGTCCTAGGTGTGTTGTTTCTAATTGTTACAACAACTTTGCAAAAATTGGTGGTGATATTATCAATTATGTATTAAGAAAATGGTGGCTCAGAAAGGCTAAGGGACAAGGCTGACTTTGAATGTTAGGCTGGCTTTGAATGTTTTACTCCAAAACTCAGTTAGGCACCTTCCCTCAGACCATGCTGTACCATGCTGTATCCAAACTTCAGTTGATTATGCTTGCAGATATTTTGAAGTAGTAGCATTTTGGAAGTATTGTTGCTAAATACTTAGGTTTCTGAGGGTTTTCAGAATATTCTTCTCTGTGAAATTTCTATTGGAGATTGTAAATTGACATTATTTTCAAAGGTCAGTGAAGGTGCTTGCTTTGGACTGAACACATTAGACCACAGTTTACCATTTTTAGAGTAATAGATTAGTTGAGTCACAATACTTACTGACCTGATTATTAATGCTAATGACAATAATATCTATCACATAGTAAACTCTTATTATTTAGTACGCATTATGTTTATTGTGTTTCTAATGTTTATCATATAGTAAAATTCTGTGGGATTTTATTAGATGTTGTGTGGTGGGAAGAGGTTGCATGGTTATGCAGGTTTGGGAAATACTGAGTTAAAACAGTTTTTCCTATAGGACTTATCCAAGCCTTTAATATGCTGATATATATGTGAATCTCAATGAGATGAATATAGAATGTGGTTTTCCCTAATTTTATTTGATCAGTAACTCTTTTCCTCCCTGTTTTCTCCCCACTTTCCCAGCAAGTCTTGAGACTGGAATGATCTAAAGAATGTATTTTCAAAAGTACCCTCTAAAAGGATTTGTTTGGAAAGGATTCTCAGCAATTGAGCTCATGCATGTAACAAAAATGACAGCAACTTTTGAGTTAAAGAATTTCTGAAAGCTCACAGATAATTAAAAATCCGTAGTGAATTTTAAGTTAATGAAGGAAGTGACATGTCCTTTAATGAGAGAGAATGTGGTAAAAGGATGAGAAAAAATGATACGGCAGAACTACAACATCAAGAACATTTGAAATAGGGGACATAGTAATGACATTCATGCCCCCATAAAAGAGTAAATTAAAAGCAGCTGGGCAGAAGAATATGCTAGCATAGCTATCAAAAAGTACCACAATAGGGAATGGAGCACAGAATGCCAAATGGAGCATATTTAGGAGACTTTGTGCCTTCATTTTTTTTGTTGTTGTTTTTGTTATCTTATATTTTAAGTCAGAGCAACTCCATTTTTAAGAAAACAGAGAATGGGTTCAAAATCATAGCAAGTAGTGGCTGGGCTTTTAAAAAAACTTTGTTAATAGATTGATGTAGCAGTGAATATTTTAGAAGTAATCATGGACATAGAGTCTAGAGACCTGGGTTCAGCTTTTGCTCTGCAGGTACCAACTAAGTGGCTTTGAACAAATAACATAGTGTTATTTATTCTCTTTTTCACAAGGTTTAGTTTTAATAAGGTAGTGGGTACACTTCTCTGTGCTACATAGGCATTTAATAAGTTTAGTTGTAGTTCTATGTCTCTTTGAGTGCGAAAAGAAGGTTGGGATATGTTAGAGCTTCTGTTTCATTTTTAATTTGATGGGATGCTATTACCAGAAACTGCTAAGGACTAATAGTTTAAAAGAATATTTTTGTCATAGGTAGAAATGTTGATCTTTCAATATGTCTGAAGGCTTGTTAGCATCAAAAGAAGATATGGCTCTTTTGTTTGGTGTTTTTTTAAATGTGTAGTTAAGGTAAAATCTAAATGTTGAAATTAAAAGAGGATCTGGATTCAAGGAGAGAGCCCTGTGGAAGGCAGGCCAGGACAGAATTGGCTGCAGTGGATTTTGAGGACTGATAAACTAAAACAGTAGTTTTCAAAAGTAAATAAGCATAAGAATTACCTGAGGAACTTATTAGAAAAATGAAGATTAATAGGCCGCAACCTCAGAGCTCTTGAGTGGAAGCAGGAAATTCCTTTTTTTTTAACCAATAAGCACCTTAGATATTTTGAGGTAGACAGATCTTTGATCACAAATTGAAAAAATTGAGGTACAACCTATGTGAAACTATCATTAAATAATGGTAGATGATATAATAATGTTATAACAGATGAAATAATGGTTTTTAGGAAATTTAGTATTTTCACATATTTGATTACTGTGTCAAAATAAATTCCTTGAAATGTTTTTCTTATCCTACTCATTTATTTATTTGTTCAAATATTTCTCATTTATGCATGTATACTTAAATTTTATTTAGCACTTATTGATTCTTAAATTTATTTATATTTATATTTTCACAAGGAAAGTATTCTGGTAATGGTTTACTGCTTTGGGAAGGTCTTGTTGCAGTAGAACTTCTGAAAAGCTCTAGGCTCTTCTTAAAAGTTCCTTCCTTCGTTCAGAACATATTTATTGGGGATGGACTATGTACTAGGCACTGTTTAATTACTGCAGAATATAATAATGACCATTTTAGAAGAGAAGAGAAAATAAGCTAAACAAAATGTTTATTCTGCTAGATGGTGATGAGTGCTATGGAGAAAAATTACAGCAGGAAAGGGGGGCTAGGGAGTATTCAGTTCTAAATAGGATACTGAGTACTAGCCAGAGCAATCAAACAAGAGAAAGAAGTAAAGGGCATCCAGATCAGTAAAGAGGAAGCCCAATTGTCACTGTTTGCTGATGACATGATTGTATATGGAAAACCCTAAAGACTCATCCAAAAAGCTCCTAGACTGGTAAATGGATTCAGAAAAGTTTTAGGATACAAAATTAATGTATACAAATCAGTAGCCCTGCTATACACCAACAGCAATCAAGCTGAGAATTAAATCAAGAGCTTAACCCCTTTTACAATAGCTGCAGAAAAATAAAATACTTAAGAATATACTTAACCAAGGAGGTGAAAGAACTCTACAAGGAAAACTATGAAAGACTGCTGAAAGAAATCAGAGATAACACAAACAAATGGAAACACATCCCATGCTCATGGATGGGTAGAATCTTTATTGTGAAAATCACCATACTGCCAAAAGCAATCTACAAATTCAATGCAATTCCTATCAAAATACCACCATCATTCTTCACAGAACTAGAGAAAACAAACCTATAATTCATATGGAGCCAAAAAAAAGAGCTCAGATAGCTAAAGCAAGACTAAGCAAAAAGAACAAACTTGGAGGCATTACATTACCTAGCTTCAAATTATATTTTAAGGCCATAGTCACCAAAACAGCACAGTACTGGTATAAAAATAGGCACATAGACCAATGGAACAGAATAGAGAACCCAGAAATAAAGCCAAATACTTAACGGCCAACTGATCTTCAACAAAGCAAACAAAAACAAAGTGGGGATAGGACACCCTGTTCAACAAATGGTGCTGTGATAACTGGCAAGCCACATGTAGAAGAATGAAACTGGATCCTCATCTCTCACCTTATACAAAAATCAACTCAAGATGAATCAAAGGCTTAAATCTAAGACCTGAAACCATAAAGATTCTAGAAGATAACATCGGAAAAACCCTTCTAGACATTGGCTTATGCAAAGAGTTTATGACCAAGAACCCAAAAGCAAATGCAACCAAAACAAAAATAAATGGATGGGACTTATGAAACTAAAAAGCATCTGCACAGCAAAAGAAATAATCAGCAGAGTAAACAGCATAGAGTGGGAGAAAATCTTTGCAATCTATACATCCAACAGAGGACTAATATCCAGAATCTACAAGGAACTCAAACAAATCAGCAAGGAAAAAAGCAAATAATTTCATAAAAAGTGGGCTAAGGACATGAATAAGCAATTCTCAAAAGAAGATATACAAATGGCCAACAAACATGAAAAATGTTCAACCTCATTAATTATCAGGGAAATGCATGTGATACCATCTTACTCCTGCAAGAATGGCCATAATAAAAAAAAATAGATGTTGGTGTGGATGTGGTGAAAAGGGAATGCTTTTACACTGTTGGTGGGAATGTAAACTAGTACAACCACTACAGAAAACAGTGTGGAGATTCCTTAAAGAACTAAAAGTAGATCTACCATTTGATCCAGCAATCCCACTCCTGGGTATCTACCCAGAGGAAAATAAGTCATTATACGAAAAAGATACTTGCACATGCATGTTTATAGCAGTGCAATTCACAGTTGCAAAAATGTGGAACCCGCCCAAATGCCCATCAATCTATGAGTGGTTAAAGAAAATGTGGTATATATACACCATAGAATACTACTCAGCCATAAAAAGGAATGAAATAATGGCAATTACAGCAACCTGGATGGAATTGGAGACCATTATTCTAAGTGAAGTAACTAAGGAATGGAAAACCAAACGTTATGTTCTCACTCAGGTGGGAGCTAAGCTATGAGATGCAAAGGCATAAGAATGATACAATGGACTTTGGGGACTCAGGGGAAAGGGTAGGAGGTAGGTGAAGGGTAAAAGACTACACATTGGCTACAATGTATACTGCTTGGTTGATGGGGGCACCAAAAATCTCAGAAATCACCACTAAAGAACTTATTCATGTAGCCAAATACCACCTGTTTCCCCAAAACCTATTGAAATAAATAAATAAATAAAGTATTGAGGGGAGAGGTCACTGGGAAAGTGGCATTTGAGGGAGACCTAAAGTACTTGGGGAGCAGGTCATAAAGGTAATAGGGAAAGTATTCCAAGCTGATGGGAGTATCATGGGTAAAAATCCATGAGCCGTGAGCATGTTGACTGTGTTTCAGGGACTTCCAGGAGCCCAGTGTGGCTGGAGAGGGATGAACAAGGGGAATCTAGTAGGCAAATATGTTTAGAGAATTAATGAGAAGGGGGGGTTCAGGAATTAAGGGATGGAAGGGAATGGATGGATAGCTTATGATCCTGGGAATTCTAAAGTTAGAAATTCAATTGAAATCTATAAGAAGTCATAATTTCAACTCTTCAGATAAAAGTACTCTTCTGTATTGCCATATTTAGACCGTGAAATAAAACTTCCTGTTTTTAAAATTATCAGCATTCATTGAAATCTCAGTTTTATTTTCTCTTTAAATAGGGGGTAGATCCAGAAATGAAAAATTTTGCTGTGGGCTAGTCGTCAGGACAATAGTGGACCCAGGGACTTACAGGACATGAAATCTCATTCTTTGCTTAGGTCAAAAGGCCACACAGGATCCCACCCGGTTACGCATGTAGCTTTTCACTTGATCGCAGCCTTCATGCATCATTTCTGGTATTGTGTGCACATCTAAGAGAAAAGGAGCCAAAATCAAGCCAGTCTTAACAAACAGAATTTCAGCAGTCATGTTAGGAATATGCAGAGGACCATAGTCTGGCCTTAGATGCGCACCCAGAATTTCCATTGACGTCAATACTTATTGCTTACGTGTATCCAAGGGCAGGATCTGGTCCTTAGAAATTAAATTAAATAATTCCCTGTGTGGGACGCCAGAAAGTATCACAGATTTACTGAGAGCGACAAGCTACTAACCATGAAAGGGAAGTTTTTCTGTGGTAATGTCAACACTGACAAACTTAAATGACCCAGGGATGCAAAATATGGGCCCCGCCCATTACTATTTAAGTTTACAAACATTATGATCTGCAAATATGCTTTTGAAAGTACACATGATTTTTCAAACATGCAAGAGATGGCTCCAGTGAAGTTTTCATTTGTTGCCTGCTGTATGCATTTAAATGCAGTGAAATTAAAATTCTAACCCCTAAGATTTTAAAATAACTTTCATTCTATAATTTTAGCTTGGAATAATATGGAGAAACCCAAACATTCTTCAAGCTAGTGCTACATTTCATCCCTTGGTGGATGCATTTTCCACAATGAAGTTGTCTAGAGTTTAATAATTGCTAGGGATCTTTTGGACTGAACAAATAGGATGATAATACTCTGTGTTATCTGATTTGGGAGTTGGATGGAGGTCAAGCTCTTGTCAATCCTCAGAAGGAGAGAAATAGTTTTATGCTTTTATTTGGCATAATAGTAAATGGCATTTAGTCTTCAAAATGGGAAAACACATTTACTTTTTGGATGAAAGATGAGATTAGGATGATTTGTTTTCTATAACAGATCCAATTCAAATATATAGAAAGGTAATTATTTAAAATCTTCAGATGAAAGTACTTTTCCGGCCGGGCGCGGTGGCTCACGCCTGTAATCCCAGCACTTTGGGAGGCCGAGGCGGGCGGATCACGAGGTCAGGAGATCGAGACCATCCCAGCTAAAACGGTGAAACCCCGTCTCTACTAAAAATACAAAAAATTAGCCGGGCGTAGTGGCGGGCGCCTGTAGTCCCAGCTACTTGGGAGGCTGAGGCAGGAGAATGGCGTGAACCCGGGAGGCGGAGCTTGCAGTGAGCCGAGATCCCGCCACTGCACTCCAGCCTGGGCGACAGAGCGAGACTCCGTCTCAAAAAAAAAAAAAAAAAAAAAAAAGAAAGTACTTTTCCGTATTACCACCTTTAGACTGTTTAATGCTGGTTAATAATAATTCCTTTTCTTCAAGTCTTCAATTCACTTAAAGTAACATTTATTGTGTAACTCTTTTATGTTAGTTTGAGGGCTAGCATTCTGGGCTAAACACTGAGTCCTAACTCTCTACTACTCAGCATACACTGAAGGGGCCAGACATACTATACTATATATAGAAGATAGAGTATGGTAAGTTCTGTAATAGGCATATAAACAAAATTCTGGAAGAGAATGAAGTGGGGGTGAAAGAGCTTAAATTTGCCTATTTTTGGAAATGCCTTAAGTAGCACTGATCATCTGTGGTGTACTTTGGAAATGAATATGATTTTGACAGGTGACAGAGGTATGGGCAGGGCAATAAGAACAGTATTCTAGGTGGAGTGATAACCCTGAACAAAGAATTAGATGGGTGCTTGATGTGGATTTTAGGGAGCAGTGAGGCATCTGATGTGTTTAGAACATAAGTTATATTGAATAGGGATAGTGGAGATAAAATAGTTGAGGCCAACCTTTGACCTTTGAATGCTAAACTGAGGAATTCGGCTTTTGCCCTGAAAGTACACATTTCTTACTGTTTTTGTCTAATCTCAGTCCATAACAGGATAAAATTCTGGTCATTTCGCTTAAAAATAGGCTCAGACATAATATCACATACACACACCCAGTTTTTATTTTTTTAACCTTCTCTCAATACTTTTAATAAATATGATTCCTTACCCACTCAGGAAGGTTTTAATGCTGAGTAAACAAGTTTATGAAGCAGTATGATGGATGTCATAGAAGGGACTCAAGGTGAAAAGAAGTGATGTGAAAATCTTTGGGTGAGAAAAAGAGATACCAAGAAGCAGAAACAGCTTTCAGTTCTTATCTTCTTAGGGGAGTCTTCTTTTGCTTAGAGATGATGTAGATTTAAAGCACAGGCATGCAGCTAGCCCCATCGTGGCACACTATGGTGCTGGGACATACTGGGCCTTGGTGTTAGCTACAAATACAGGAGCTTGGACAAATTACTTCTCTAGACCTCATTTTCTTTATTATGAAAATGAGAAGTTGGTCTAAACAAGTTCTAGGTTCCCTTCCTTTTCCATGATTCAATACTGAGCAGTCATGGCTGCATCTAGTAAGAGAGATCCCTCTTGGATTTGTCTTTGCTGCTGCTGGGCAGTGCCAAAGCACACTAGCATCTCACTCTAGATGCACTTGCAGATTCCTGCACCTGGCTTGCACTCCTCCCTCCCTTGACTTTGCACCTACAGGCCACGTGAAGGGTGATGGAGGAGAAAGGTAATAGAAGTGAAGAGAACGAGAAGTGCTAGAGGTAAGGGAAAGTTGGTAGTCAAAGGTGTATTTGAGCTGGAGGTGTGACGTATGTAAATTTAGGAGAGGGAGAATTACAAAATAGGCAAAGCTGTTCTTTCTCACTGCAGAGTTTGTTACTTTTTAATGTACCTTCTGTGTGTCAGGCAGTGGTAACAGGGGCAAGTTGGTCCATTGGCTTATTTTTACAGATTTTACTCTGTTTACTTCTTTAAATACAATTGCATTGTTTGCTGGCAACCAAAGACAAGCATTTACAAGAGGTTCTGTCTCTGCCTAGCTTTACTAGAATTTTGTTTTTGTTTTTTTGTTTTTGCCTTTTAGAGTTTTGTGCCTTGAAGAGGTAAAGTTCAAATTGATGGCCTCATGCAAATCAATTTCTAACCAGTGGAGCCAACCTGTGCAACAAAAATGGTTCCCCAGGGAAACTCACTGTGGCGTTGTTTGCAGAAGTCTCTAACTTTAAAAATAACTCTCTGAGTATAAGGAAAAGAAAACCCATACCCTGAGAACATTTGGATCTTTCCTCTTTTAGGAACTTTGACCTACCTGGGAACAAATGTGCACCTTGTGATTTGTCAGTGAAAGGGGCCAACACATATTTGCATAAAAAAGAAAGTCCACTTTACATTTTAATTTCCCCCTGGCACTTTTCTTAGGGGAAAAAAAAGAACCTGAAATAGCTATTTTGTTCTTAGTTCTCAAGAACTGAAAGTATGGACTTCAGTGCCCTTAAATGCACTGGTTACCAAGAAAAGCAAATGCTTCTCTGTGGCATTCTGTTGACGTTCTGCGTTACTCTGCCTAGCATTTATTTCAGGATAGGGAGGAATTGAGTTTTATGGTCCTTGCTGCAAAGGGCACAAGACAAACAAGTCTTGGACTTCTAAGCTGGCTGTGAATGACAGCCCTTTTCCAATAGCTATATTTTCTGTTTCAGATCAAAAATGGGATAACTGAGTCTGAAATGACTCTTGGGAAAAAACCCTGGGCAGTTACTTAAAAAAAAAAAAAAAAAAAAAAAAAAGGCTTTCACACATTCCCATATGGTTTTTTTGGGCCTTTAGTCCAGACTTGCAGATGAACAATGCCTTCTGGCTCAGGTATTTCCAGTCTTTTGCAAAATTCACATTGTCTTCTTTGACTTTTGTTCTTTTTCCTTCAAGACATTTTCTTTTCTGTTATTGGCACCAAAAGCATATTTGTTGGAGGAAAAGAAACTCAAGAGTCCCTTTCAACAAATACCTCTTCCCAAGAAAAATAAATGAAAAGATAGTTGAGAAGGGATAGAGAACTTGGTCTATTTAAAACCAAGATTTCTGATCTCTACCCATCTCCCCGTGCCCCCTGATTTTTAATCCTTCAAGCTGAGGCAGTAAATCTGGGGTACCATGTCATATAAAATAAGGAAGTAAAATATTTAGAAGCCCACTGTAAATTGTGAAATGCTATCTAAAGGTAAGATCTTATAAAAAATGGAAGAAGGGATTTAAAAGAGACCTCCTAGACCTATTATGTGATTTACTTCAGGTACTTGGAAATGCCCTATTTTTCACAGATGCTTTTGATTACAAAATTTGTAGAATAGTGACCTTGAGGTTATCTAGTTCACATTTTCCTTTGGGCAGAAATCCACTTAAATCATGTTAGAAAGATGGATACTCTTTTCATGAAAGTCTATAGAGTAGGAGAATCCATATCTCTTTTGACAGCCTTTGCCAGTGTTTCACATCCCTTCAGACATGAATTCTGATTTTTGATCTAAAGACCTCCTGCTAGTAATGTAAGGCTGTTCCTTTGTCCCATTCTCAATGGAAACAGGATAGCTGTAATATCCCTTTACATGCTTGAAGGCTTGGCTTCTCTAAATGAAACATGTCTGGTTGCTTTTGAATTTCTATGTAGTGTCTATTTCCTAAAACTTTATTCCTCTAAACATCTTCTCAATTCCCCAGATCTTGTTTTAGTTGTAGAGGCCCAAAGTAGAGCTCTCTAAACAAAGGCTTCCTCAGTGCTGTAAAATGAATTTGTATCTCTTTGCTGTTCTCTTCTTTTATGTATTTCTACATATAAAAATCATCTTTATTTGTTTTGCTACTAAATGGCATAATTTATTTTCGAAATTCAGTTATTTTTGTATTTTGCATGTTAAGGCTCTAAGCCTTAACTTAGGGTCTGGGTAAATATGAACTCCAAGACTCCTCGAAAATAGGGTAGAAATAATAGCAAAATTAAAGATGTTTGTATTCCCTGTGAATTTATTTTTTCTTTCATTCAACACAGAATGTGTATCTAGTACGTGCTAGGCATTATAAATTTAGCAGTGAACAAAGATGATAAAATCTCAGCTCTCCTGGAGCCAACGTTCTAGTGAAAAATTTCTCTTTCTTCTACTTTTTCTGTTGACATTTATATGGTCTAACAATGTAGCTGAGGCTGGGTATATAAGGTAGATGAAAGTAGGGTACCTGCTCAGCTGTAATATGGAATGAATGACCCCTTAG